>NC_000003.12:54555454-54858484 GCF_000001405.40 Homo sapiens
CACCACAAGCCAGAGCAGTTATCTGGGTGAAAATGAAAAAAGAAAACTACAAAAGGAATTTGCTGCTAGGTTATAGGATGCATTACAAAGACAGATCAGGGTTGTGGGAGGCGCTCTTCACATACAAATTGTAAATTTATCACAAAGGTTGTGTGGGACTCTTACTCCCCAAACATCTGCTACTAGTCTGTTTTACTAAAAGCTGAACATCTGATAGATTCTTGACTGGCACTGGGGGTAATTTCATGTCTCGGAAGGTAGAGGAAACAGAACTGCTATTCCTGGATTACACATTGACCAATATGAATAATAAGTTAATGTGGATTGGATAGGAATATTGGAGAAAATGACCATGCTATCCTGGAATTCACTTTATTGAGCAGAGTTCTGGGCATTGATACATACACTTGACATTCAGCAAAGTGATTTTAATCCAACTTAGTGCATTACAGGTAGGACCCATTGACAGAGGTCAGGAAGAATGGTTAGCTTAGGAAAATATAACATGAACATGAAAATCTGAATTGTTCCCATAAAGAAGAAAAGAGTGAAGGCCTTGAAACATCCTTCACTAGGTAGAAGCCCTGCTCTTATTAAACTCAGATTTTTAAAAGAATACATACAAACCATGAGATATGGGTATGTTGTGTAGGATAATTCAGAGAACATTGAACATTGGTCCCAAAAAAGTATGTTCACGTTCTGATCTCCAGTACCTGCAAATGTGGTTTTATTTGAATATAGGGTCTTTGCAGGCATAATTAATTTAAGGATCTTGAGATGAGATCGTCCCAAATTTAGGGTGGTGCCTAAACCCAATGACCAGTCCTTCTGAGACAAAGGAGAGAGAGAGATTTGACACAGAGACACACAGAAGGGAAGGCCATTTGAAGATGGAGGTGGAGATGGAAATAATGAGGCTACAAGCCAAGAAGTATCAAGGACGGCAGGCGAGCACCAGAGATTAAGAGACGGGCATGGAACACACTCTCTTAGAACCTCCAGAAGGAAGCAACCCTGCTGGCAGCTTGATTTTTAACTGTTTATATCCTGAATTGTGAGGGAATAAATCTCTGTTGTCTTTAAGCCATCCAGTTTGCAGTATTTTGCCACAGCTGCTACAGAAAGCTAATTCAGTACCTTAAACCTCTAAAAAGATGAGAGGTGGAGGTACAAGTCAAGGCTCAGATAAATCTGAGGCCTAAAGAACCGCAAGTAAAGCAAAGGGGTCTTTTAAACAGAATTTGAAACAGAACACAAACAAGGAAAATGGTTTGCCTGCTACTCAGCAGGTTGCTGTCATTTTCACAAGTGACCATAAGAAAACAAATCAGCTCAGCCACCATGGAGGGAACATGAGGCTGAGCTCTGATCCACACCCCAGCATGACGTTTGCCTGCTCCCCATGGGACAGTGGAAGGGCCAGGGGACCTGGGTATATGTGGGGCATGGACAGCATTTACTGTCCCGTGGGTTACTTCATTTCCACTTTCTGTCAGTGATGTTGGGAAAATCATATTTAACTGTTTTTTTTTAACGTAAATACTTAGATGAAAGCTCCATCTATTTTTTCTGTTTTTTCTTTTCCTATCTTTTAAATGACTGTAACAATAGACAGCTATTTAAGATTTCCCCTTCTATTAAAACTGCTTGCTAAGCAAGCTTGTGAAATCAATACACTGTGATTATGTTACAAGCCAAGATAAGTGTTATTTCAAATATTTGATCAAATGGGTGTGTACAACACAGCCCCCATTTTAGGTAGATTATATTTTTTTAGTGATTCTGTTTCCCCTTGTTCACCATGCCCTTGGAAAAATCGAAGCCCCCTCTTCTTGCAGAAGCATAATTTTAGAGCAAGATATGGTGTCCAAATGAAGTAAATGAAACATCCTCAGTTTGCTTTGTATTTCTGAAGATGTTCACAGTTCCTCAGGGGGCAATCTTAGATTTCTAGGACCACCTGGAGGTCTGGACACCAAAGAAACCACACTTAAGAAAAAAGAATTGTCAAAACTGGGCAAATCCCAGTTGTCACACTTAAGAAAAAATAATTGTCTAACTGTAAACTGTTTGACTCCTTAACATGTTGAGACAGTGAGCTAAGGAAATGGAATTTCGCTTCTTTTTGTGGAAGGTTTTTATGACGCCGACATAATTGAGCCCATTGTTGGAGGCAAGCACCATGGATTTTTCAGTGTCATTATTGTATTTGCATCTTTGTGGATTAATTTAAGCGGGTTTTGCCGCTAGGGGTGAGTCACAATAATCGTTATCAAGCTTGGACAGGAAAAAGAAAGAGATCCATTTTCCAGGATCGTGAGGATAAAGTCCTCCTAAAATTACTTTGTGGTGAAAGGCTGATTGGGTCATTTTCACACCCCCAGGCTATGATAGGGTTTATTACAGTTTACAAGAGTTAGAGCATTTACCCTTGAGATGGGATTCAGAATCCCAGTTACCTCAGTGATCTGAAGGAATAAGGCAGGGCAGAGGTGACACAACAAGCCAGTACACTGTGTCTGCCCACTGGCCCTGGAGCCATTCTGTGGACTCTAGAGCTGTGTAGGTGGATGTCCTGGGGCTGCCGCTGGAAAGGTGTAGACAGCTGTGGAGGAGAGGAGGTGCACTGGGGCCAATCCTGAGTGCCCTCGTAAGTGGACCTGACTTATGTGACCATTTCTAGCATTATGTTGCTCATTGTTTCCTCTGCAACTTGACGACTGGAGTAACCTCATCCGTCCTCACCCCTCCTGTCTGTATGGTATTGATGAATCTCTGGAATGAGGATGTCACAGTAGGGTTGCGTGACTTGGCATCCAGCAGGGATCTCTGGTGAGGGTACAGGGCTCTAGGCCAAGGGAACAGCCCCATCAATGGCAGTGTGAGTGCCTTTGGCCATTAGCTGTTTTCTGTTGATTTGTTTAACCTTCTAAACAGGTCTCTAGGGTGGGTATTTTTTTTTTCCTTTCCATCTTTTGTGTTAGGTTCAGGAGGTACATGTGCAGGTTTGTTATGTGGGTAAATTGCATGTCACATGTGTACAGATTATTTTATCACCCAGGTAATAAGCATAGTACCCAATTGGTAGTTTTTTGATCCTCACCCTCCTCCCACCCTCCACCCTCAAGTAGGCCCCAGTGTGTGTTGTTCCCTTCTTTGTGTCCGTGTGTACTCAGTGTTTAGCTCCCACTTATAAGTGAGAACATAGGCTGTTTAGTTTTCTGTTCCTCTGTTAATTCACTCAGGATAATGGCCTCTGGCTCCATCCATGTCACTGCAAAGGAGATAATCTCATTATTTTTTATGGCCGTGTATTATTCCATGGTGTGTGTGTATAGGTTGGGTATTATTATCCCCATTTTACAAATAAGGAAACCTCAGATCAGAGAGGCTTTGCCCCTTAGTAGTTGGATGCTTTTAGGAAAGTACCTCATATCCTGGTGCTATAGTTTCCACTGCTGTAGAATGGAGGAGAACAAGGGATCTAGCCTGCCTTGGAGGTCTGCTGAGGGGGGATAGGAGGTAAAGTAAGCACCACGCCTATACCCCGGGAAGGACCCAGTGAAAGTTTCTCCTCCTCCTCCTCTTCCTCATCATTAATAACTCATGTAGTCATTCTCAAACTTTTCATCCTGACACTTGACAGCTATTTCTCCTCTAAGAACGGAATGTTGCTTAATGTGGCATCATTTTGAAACAGGGTCTTCAGAGGTTAAAAAGAAAAAGTGAACCATCACAGAGCATCCTCAGTGACCCACATTGCTTCAGCCAGTGTACAGGAAATACTTGTTTATTCTCCTTCTTTGTCTTCACCCTTATTTTTTTTCCAACTTTTATTTTATTTTTATTTTTATTGTTGAGACTGAGGCTTGCTCTGTCACCCAGGCTGGAGTGCAGTGGCGCGATCTCGGCTCAACCTCCGCCTCCCAGGTTCAAGCTATTTTCCTGTCTCAGCCTCCCAAGTAGCTGGGACTACAGACGCCCGCCACCACGCCCAGCTAGTTTTTCTATTTTTAGTAGAGATGGGCTTTCACCATGTTGGCCAGGCTGTCCTCGAACTCCTGCCCTCAAGTGATCTGCCCACCTCGGCCTCCCAAAGTGCTGGGATTACAGGTGTGAGCCATCACGCCTGGCTTCAACTTTTATTTTTAACTTCAGGGGTACATGTGCAGGTTTGTTATATAGACACACTTGTGTCATGGGGGTTTGTCGTACAGATTATTTCATCACTTAGGTATTAAGCCTAGTACATATTAGTTATTTTTCCTAATCCCCTCCGTCCTCCAAACCTTCACCCTCTGAAAGGCCCCAGTGTGTGTTGTTCTCCTCTATGTGTCCATGTGTTCTCATCATTTAGCTCCCACTTAATAAGTGAGAACAAGCAGTATTTGGTTTTCTGTTCCTGTATTAGTTTTGCTAAGGATAATGGCCTGCAGTTCCATCCATGTTCCTGCAGAGGACATGGTCTTGTTCTTTTTTATGGCTGCATAGTATTTCATGGTGTATATGTGCCACATTTTCTTATCATTGATGGACATTTAAGTTGATTCCATGTCTTTACTGTTGTGAGTAGTGCAGCACTGAACATATGCATGGGTGTATCTTTATAATAGACTGATTTATACTCCTTTGAGTATATGCCCAGTAATGGGATTGCTGAGTCTAATGGTATTTCTGTCTTTAGGTCTTTGAGGAATCGCTACACTGTCTTCCACAATGGTTGAACTAATTTACACCCCCACCAACAGTGTAAAAGTGTTCCTTTTTCTCCACAACCTCACCAGCATCTGTTACTTTTTGACTTTTTAATAACAGCCATTCTGACTGGTATGAGACAGTATCTCATTGTGGTTTTGATTTGCATTTCTCTAATGATCAGTGATGTTGAGCTTTTTTAAATGTGATTGTTGGCTGCATGTATGCCTTCTTTTGAGAAGTGTCTGTTCATTTCCTTTGTCCACTTTTTAATAGGATTGTTTTTCTTGTAAATTTGTTTAAGTTCCTTATAGATGCTGGATATTAGACTTTTGTCAGATGCATAATTTGCAAAAATTTTCTCCTATTCTGTAGGTTGTCTGTTGACTCTGTTGGTGGTTTCTTTTGCAGAAGCTCTCTGGTTTAATTAGATCCCATTTGTCAATTTTTGCTTTTGTTGCAATTGCTTTTGGTGTCTTTGTCATGAAATATTTGCCTGTGCCTGTGTCCTGAATGGTATTGTCTAGGTTGTATTCCAGGGTTTTTATAGTTTTGGGTTTTACATTTATGTCTTTAAACCATCTTGTCTTAATTTTTGTATACAGTATAAGGAAGAGGTCCAGTTTTAATCTTCTACATATGGCTAGCCAGTTATTCCAGCATCATTTATTGAATAGGGAATCCTTTCCCCATTGCTTGTTTTTGTCAGGTTTGTCAAAGATAAGATAGTTGTAGGCATGCAGTCTTATTTCTTTCCTCTCTATTTGGTTCCATTGGTCTATGTATCTGTTCTCATACCAGTACCACTGCTGTTTTGGTTACTGTAGCCCTGTAGTATAGTTTGAAGTCAGATACTGTGATGCCTCTAGCTTTATTCATTTTGATTAGGGTTGCCTTGGCTATTCAGGCTCTTTTTTAGTTTCATATGAATTTAAAAATAGTTTTTCTAGTTCTGTGAAGAATCTCAACGGTAATTTATTAGGATTAGCATTCAATCTATGAATTGCTTTGGGCAGTATGACCATTTTAACAATATTGATTCTTCTTATCCATGAGCATGGGATGTCTTACATTTGTTTGTGTCATCTCTTATTGCTTGGAGCAGTGGTTTGTAGTTCTCCTTGTAGAGATCTTTCACCTCCCTAGTTAGCTATATTTCTAGGTACTTTATTCTTTTTGTGGCAGTTGTGAATGGGAGTTCATTCATGATTTGGCTTTCAGCTTCACTGTCGTTAGTGTATAGGAATGCTAGTGATATTTTGCACATTGATGTTGTATCCTCAGACTTTGCTGAAATCGTTTATGAGCTTAAGAAGCTTTTGGGCTGGGACTGTGGGGTTTTCCAGGTATAGGATCATGTCATCTGTAAACAGGGATAGTTTGACTTCCTTTCTTCCTATTTGAATGCCCTTTATTTCTTTCTCTTGCCTGATTGCCCTGGCCAGGAATTCCAATATTGTGTTGAATAGGAATTCACCCTTATTTTTTTAAATCACTGCACTGAAGGCAAGGAGTTGTCTTTGGGCTACCATAGGTGAGGAAAAGAGATTTGCTCATGGGATTCCATGGCAGAAGAGCAAATGATTGCCTGGTATCTGGAGAACAACCTTTGTGTTATCCATCTGTATTGGCCTGTTCCCATGCTGGTAATAAAGACATACCTGAGATTGGATAATTTATAAAGGAAAGAGGTTTAACTGACTCACAGTTCCACATGGCTGGGGAGGCCTCACAGTCATGGCAGAAGGCAAAGGAGGAGCAAAGGCACATCTTACATGGTAACATGCAAGAGAGCATATGTAGGGGAGTGCCCCTTTATAAAAAGTCTCAGGTCTCGTGAGACTTATTCGCTATCATAAGAACAGCACAGGAAAGACCTGCCCCACCCCCATGATTCAATTATCTCCTACCAGGTCCCTCCCACAACACATGGGAATTATGGGAGCTGCAATTCAAGATGAGATTTGGGTGGGGACATAGCCAAATCATACCACCATCCATCCATCCTTCCCTCTGTTCCTCTACAAGAGTTTTGGAGCTTCTGCCATGTGCTGGTCAAAGGGTACAGCAGAAGACCAAGAGGCAGTCTGTGCTTTCACAGAGATCACATTCTGCTGAACAGAAGAAGTAGAGAGATTTAGTTATGTAATTTCAATTTATTTATTTTTTTAAGAAAAGCAAACTTCTAATCAGGGACAAGAGAAATGGAATAGGGCTGTGTTGGTGGCTGAGGTGATTACAGTGAGAGAAAATACAGTTTTCCTATTTTTAATGCCGAGTTTTGGCTCCGTAGGGGGAAAAGCAGGAAAATAATGCTAATAAGGTCTCTCTCTGCTTTCTTAAAGAGGATTATGTGATTTTCTCTATGGGATATGTGATATTGAAAGGTACAAATAAAAGGAAGTGTCTTTCAAGTAAGGAACCATCAGTAGAGGCTCCTGGGAGACTAGGAGGGCTCAGGCAGGAGGGGAATCCCCAGCATCTGGACACCCCAGGAGCTAAACGTTTTTGTGGCTATAACTTCCTTCATAGCCTCCTGCAAGATGGAGTACCTTGTGCCAGTATCTGCCAAGCAGCGTGGGATGCCAGGAATTTTATTTCACTTTGGTTTCTAATACACCCCTCTCTCTCTCTTTCTTTTTTACAGACCCTGCAATTGTCAATGGGGTTTATTGGTCTGAATCTCTAAACAAAGTTTTTGTAGATAACTTTGACCGTGACCCATCTCTCATATGGCAGTACTTTGGAAGTGCAAAGGGCTTTTTTAGGCAGTATCCGGGTGAGTATACCTGCATTGACAGTTATGACTCAGATTAATGATAACTGATAATGTGGTATTTTTCTTTAGGGTTCAAGGTTAAAACTTTTCTGCCTTTTCTTAGAAGAAAATGAAAGATGAATTCCAAACCTATTGTCAGGGTGCAGGACAGGAATGGCAAGGTGGCATCCAGATGGGCACGCACACACACAGGACATGATCACAGGAATTCTCTGGACCTGCCCTGTTCTCAATAGAATAATTCACAGAGCTGTCACCAAATGTGAAGAACTGTAGTGTGAACTGTACCTTATTTAATACTTCTGAACAAGAGTTTGGCCTTATTACCAATACTGCTGCTGTTATTGCTATAATTATTATTATTGGGGAAAAGAGCATACTTGGGCAATTAAATTCTCACTAACAGGTATAAGAAATAGAGAATTTGAACCGGATTTGTCCACCCAAGAGCTGACTCCCCTTGCAGGAAGATGTTGAAATGGCCCAGGCGTCGCTGACGGCAAGAACCCCTCCACAGAGGGTGCTCCCAGCACCCTAGCACCCCCAGTACTCCCAGCGGTGCGTATCTCAGAGGCTGTCCATCATGCCTTTGGAACAGGTGTTCCTTCTGGAGCCTTCCCAGGCCTCTGCTTTGTGATAGGATTTTAATTCTGGCTTGGTTTGAATTTTAATTAAAAAGGGAAGTTTTAATTTTGCTTACAAGTTGTGAAAACAGGACTCGGGGCTGCAACTGTGCCAACATCACAGCTGTAGAAATTAACAAGCTCAACCTAAAAGAAGGGGGAGAAAAACCCCACCCTGCATAATCTTGGAGCAATTAAGTGAAGTCTTTCATGTTTTCATTAAGTAAGACTAGGCACCTGATGCCTTCCCACTTTGAGGCACAGACTGCCGGCCTCTGCCTTGCGGAGCTGTTTGCCCCGCGCACAGCATCTGACCCTCGAGAATTGCCTGCTGGGTCTCTGCTTTGCCAGATTACAGAACATTTCCCAAGAGTCATGTTCAGCATGGCACACGTGCTTCCTCCCGGAGCTCACAGAAATGTAAACAATAAGCATCCTATTAAAGATAATGCCATAATAAACAGTGGACGATTAAAGTTCCAGTGCCACCAAATTGCAGTCTGCCTTGATACACTCAACAGAGAGCAAATCTGGTGCAGATATTGCTGAAATCAGAGCCTAGGGGAGAGGTTCCTCTGCTTGGGAAGCCCCTGGGTAGCCAACCGTCTCGCTATGCGGCACTGTGAAGAGGGCAAGACAGATAAGTAGAAACCGCAGATCACCTGTTGTCTCCTCCAACAGGGAGTCCTTAAACTATGGTCACGAGGACATTTGAAAATAAAGGGAATCCTCATAAAGGGTTTGTGTAATAGGGGAGATTAATTTACATACAAGGTTTTTATCAGTCAGAACAATTGGTTCAGCCATGCTTACTGTTCTTTTAGGACTTTTGGGCAGGATGTGGCTCTGTAAAATGCCTGCATAATTTCTGTGTTAGTAAAGACGTGGGCCGCAGTCCACCAAGGTGTTTCAATGCCTTGATAAATGTCATGTGGCCACTCAACTCTGTGCTTGGTTCTGAACACAGAGCATACCTCTTGCCTCCTGGACATGTGACTCAAAGAGTGATCATGAGCATTTTGCGAGGATGTTTTTCTTTTCAGGATGCCTCTTTCCATTGTTAGAGTGGTGTGAATCAGTGGCAAGTGTGCGTGTTCTTAAGCAGAAGGAGTCTTTCTTCAGTCTTACTGAGTTCTGGCTTTGTACCACTATATGAGGCCCTGAGGATAAAATCATGAACTAGACAAAAGAGGTCTCTGCCCTCATCCAGCTCCTTCTTGTGGGGACATGCATTTGTCGTGGATTTTGTTTGCAAGGGACAGAAACACAATTCCAGCTAGCTCCAGCAAGAAGCACACTTACTGGCTCATGTAATTTGAAATCTAGGGAGTGTGCCATTTGGGCGACAGCAATGAGAGACTGGAGCAAAGTCATTTGGAATTTGAATCCTTCCTTTCAGCTCTCATTTCTGCCTTCTTCCATTCTAACCTTGTCTCACTGGCAAGTGATCTCCTCGTAATGGGGAACAGGCCTGGCAGGATTTCTCAGTGGGGGTTCCAGGGGAGGAGACAGCATCTGTCCCAGTAGCTTGGATGAAAGTCCAAGAATTAGCCTGGTCTGAGTTGCTTGCCCACCACTGATGCCTGAAGAACTAGTGGGTAAGGTCAGCCATCCGAAACCCTGGGAACTAGTCAGGATTATTGTGGCTTTGCCTAGACTGCATCCCCAAAGGAGGGGGCATCAGTGACCACCATGGGGAGATAGACAGGCAAACATCATCATGGTACAGTGCGTTTCATGCTAAGCTGAGGGAAATAGAAGGTGCTGGGTGATCACTGAGAAGGATCACCAACTCCAACTCCTGGCGTGAGAGGAAAGAGTCCTGGGAAGGAGAATTTTGGTAAGCATTAGCCTGAAAGCCTTGGCGTGATGATGATGTCCATTTCTGCATGGCTTCACACATAGGCCTTCACCAGTTCAATTTATGTCCTAAGGGCATGTGGTAACTCTCTTGTGTCTCTCAAAAGGACTTTATGAGATGGTGGAAATGTTCTGTATCCTATCTAATATCACTAATGTCACTGGCCACACAGGGGTAGTGAGCACTTGAAGTGTGCTAGGTGAGGCTGAGGAACTGAAATTTAAATGTTATTTAACTTTATTTAAAATTAAAATTAAATGGCCACACGTGGTTAGTAGTCACCATGTTGAATAACATAATGCTGTAGGAAGAGACTTCTGTAGTCTGATACCCCGTTTCCAAGGGACCAGCCTTATCTTTCAGGGCTTGCATTGCAAAAAGGTCTTACTGAACAGATGACTTCATTAGGCTCTATAGTTCTTACTTTATAAAATGGGAACTCTACCCTGAAATCCTGAACCATCAGGCTTTCAACTCCTGTCTCCTCTACTATAATATTTGCCCCTGGGAGGAGTCATTTGTTTTGTCCATTACTCTGTCACTAGCTGCAAGAATAACACATAGTGGGTGCTCAATATGTGTTTGTTGAATGAATGAATCACCCATTAGATCAAACTCCACCAGATCTGTTGTCTCCCATCACACCAGTGGCAGCTGCCCTCTCTCTTCAGACAGAATAGAGCTATTGCCTCTTTGGGGGAGCTGGTCCCCAGCTGCACTCTGGTAGAGACTTGATGACTCAGCAAGGAGCTGGCATAAATGCAGTACAGAGCCATAGTCCCTTTATGTTCTCATTGATCCCTCTCCTCCAAGTCTTCCTAGTACCTGCCCTTTCCACCCCACTGCCCACCATGTCCTGGACACTGGGCATGCCCATCTGTTGGCTATTTCCTTCTGATGCTTTATGACCATCTCATCTAATGAGTAGTGTTCTCCAGGCTCCCCATCTCCCAGGAGGCAGAGGATCAAAGGGCTGCACAGTCATCCCTTTTCCTGTGAGGCTTGACCAGTTCATCTTTTTATAGCCCTCTGTGGGACCCGTTTTCTACCTGGTTATTGGCTGAGGCCACCAGTGACTGATCTATTCTTCCTGTTCTGGCCAATTCTTAGCTTTATTTAAAATGATGTGGCTGGCTGACAGTACCTACCCATGTACTCTTACCTACATAAAGAAAACTGTGTCTATACATCACAGACAGGTCACTGTCTAATCAAACACAGGACATCAGTTAGGTTCATGCATGATTATAAGAAGCCCTGGTCCCTTCCCCAACATCAGACTGTCACCTTTCTATAGCCGTACGCAGGGGAGTTTGTTCCTGTAGAAGGCTTGGTAATTACAAAGGTCAATGATTGTCTTATCCTTGCACTATGATTTGGCTGCCATAGGAAGGTGAAAGCTGGTTCATAGCTACAGCCACGATGAGGGAGCTGAACAGCTAAGTAAAGAGTTCTCCATAAGTTTGGACTCATACATGCTGTTTGCTAGTATCAAGTTCAGGTTCTGTGCACAGCATTACTTTTTGTTTCTTCCCTTCCATGCCTTCCTCACCAGGCTCAGGTTTAGCAATGGGGAGAGTATGATTGATATTAGGGTTTTCTTCCTTGGCTAGCTCAACAGGACTGCCCTAATAAAGATGATCATGGAACACCATAATTTATAATTTTCATAGCAACTGTCTTGCTATATCCTCATATTCATGGTGCGTAATCTCTCAGGAGATTGGCAAGAGAGATGGCATCTAGTTGAATAAAGGAGCTCTTTTTAGAGAAGTGCATAGGCAGCTTCTCAGAAGACATTTTACAGCCAAGTTTGACTGTAGCTTGACTCACATTAGAAGCCAGCATGTATTTTTGATCAGATATTTTAGATCTAAAGTTATCTGGAAGGTATGTGTTTAAACTTTAAATTATGGGCCAAGTACTAAATATTTTTTGAGGAAGGAATTGGGCAGAACTTAGGGATAAACCAATGTCTGCCACCCCTTGATTTTCCTTCTTTCCACATCTTTCTGGACTTTTTGCTTTCAAGTAGGGAAGACAAATGCCATGTTTCAGTAGGATAGGCAGTATCTGTTCAGGTGGAGGTGGTTTTTTGTTTGTTGTTTGTTGTTGTTGTTGTTCTCTGTTTGTTTTTTGAGAAGGAGTCTTACTCTGTCTCCCAGGCTGGAGTGCAGTGGTGCAATCTTGGCTCACTGCAACCTCTGCTGCCCAAGTTCAAGCAATTCTCCTGCCTCAACCTGCCAAGTAGCTGGGATTACAGGCGCCTGCCACCACACCTGGCTAATTGTTGCAGTTTTAGTAGAGATGGGGCTTCACCATTTTGGCCAGGCTGGTCTTTAACTCTTCACCTCATGATCCACCTTGGCCTCCCAAAGTGTTGGGATTACAGGCGTGAGCCACTGTGCCTGGCTGGAGATGGTTTGAATGTCATTGGCAGTGCCAGTGATGTTGTATGGAAAACACTGCGCTTTAAAGACAGGAGAAGGAATGGACGAAGATGCCCTTTCCTGAAGTGGAGAGAAAAGGAGAACATGGAGCAGAAATAAAACCACAGGGCAAAAAGATATTCAGATTTTTATTGTGCTATTTGTTGTAGTCCTTCATAGTTCCATTACACAGTCTCAGACCTCATTGCCACACAGAATTATGTTGGGAACATGTGGCTTGACCTTCAGTCTTGTATCAGTCTCTGTTCCTTTGGCCCTACTGTTTCTTTTCACAAGCTAAAAGAGAACAGGAAGTCATAGGTTGTCTTAAATGAAATTAATTTTCCTCCAATGTTAGTTTGTAATGCCTGTGGGAGAGAACCCGTGGGATATAGCAGTGTTGCACAATGATTCAAATTCACTCAAATTTGAGCGTTTGAATCTGCAGCAGAGATTTGGACATTATTTTCAGTTTTACATAGGGATTTACGTACATTCTGGGGACAGGGGTGGCCGTGGTCTTAAGATCACTCACCACAGTTCAATTCAAGAAACATCCACTGAACACCTCCCGTGGGTCAACACATTTAAAAAACAAAAAATAAAAAATTATCTTTATATCACACTCAAACCAGTTATTTGTGGAATTATAAATTGGAGCATTGCCTAGCCTCACCAGGGATATAACTTCACTGTTTCTCAAGACTGTGCCATCCTAATGGTACCTGGCTTTATGCAAAGCAATGTGTCAGATATTTTTAAATTAATTGCATTCTTGTCCCTTAGTGTGCAACATCATATTAGTTGTATTTTATCTTTATTACCTAATGACCTCCAATTTGGCAGTAGCTTCTTATACTAACATTTTCTGATTTCTTATGGAGAGTGTTTTTAAATTAGACACATGTGCAGTGGGAAATGTAGGTACAAGAAGGACAGAACCCAATATCTCTTTGCATTACAGACTACTGTCTCAAGGTTATCTGTGTGATAATTTGGGGATGTTATCTTCAGCAGATGCCTGTTATTAGCCCATTGTGGTCCTGTAGAAAGCTGGCCATTGTTAATCGGAAAAAAAGAATCTCAATGCCATCAGCTGAGTCAGGATTCTCTCCTGCGAAAACGATATTTCTGTTTTTATTTTCTTATCTCCAAAGTCTCTGTTGCAAATCCTCCATCCCTGAGCAGAACTGATGGTTGAAAACAGTGATTTTCTGTCTTATTTTTAAGCAGCCAATGCCTTTCTTTTCAAATGATATTTTATTCTTAAAAACTAAGTTGGATATATCCTGACTAGGCTGCAAACCACAAGACTAAGGATGTTGGATCTGATTTTACACATGGGGAAAACTCCCCAGGCTTCAGGAGCTGAAATTCAAACTTTATTATGCAGCATAATGAGAGCCATTTTATTTCATTTCAATGTGGAAAGCCAGGCCAAAATTTCTGATTTTAAAAACAGGAGTGAGGAGGGAACAGACCCGTGTATATCCTTAGTTGGAAACATTGTATCTATGCTTTCAACCCCCCTCCTGTAGACATTACATCACCTGGTCCAGGGACGGGCCAGACTCTGCCCAGAGATCTATGGATGATCCCCCCAGGTGCAACAACTTGCTGGACAGTAAGAAATGACTTCGGCTACCTTTATCCCTAGCCAAGGGAAGGAGCTGGAGTCACATACTCTCTCAATGGACAGCACAGTCCTAAAAACATCTCCACTCTCTGCAGGCCTTTGGAGAAGCTGAGCTAGCGCTGTGTTTGCTATAGGGTTATGGCCCAACAGCTCCTTCCTGGATTTGGCGATGGAGCATGTGATGAGCTCTGGGGTTGGTCTTTGCATGTGATTTTTCACCCTGTCCATTCAATCAGCAAAGTAGAGCAGCCTTGAAATGCTATGAATAAATATTTGAAGTTTCTGGGTTTCTCATAACCCCATTTTTCTTCTAGGGATTAAATGGGAACCAGATGAGAATGGAGTCATTGCCTTCGACTGCAGGAACCGAAAATGGTAGGCAGTGGTCAGACCTCTTTGTTATTTCTCAAAGAGATATCTTGAAGAGAAGTGAAGTCAGGATTAATTTTGACTTAATTTTTCCCTTGACCTAGGTACATCCAGGCAGCAACTTCTCCGAAAGACGTGGTCATTTTAGTTGACGTCAGTGGCAGCATGAAAGGACTCCGTCTGACTATCGCGAAGCAAACAGTCTCATCCATTTTGGATACACTTGGGGATGATGACTTCTTCAACATAATTGCTGTGAGTGCACCGTTTTGTGCCTTCTTTGCACTTGGGTTCATTTGATCTTTTGGTAGTGACTGGTTAACATTGCTCTCGCTGTTAGATCCAGAGCATCTAGATGCCAGAACATGAGGCCTGGTTAGTCTCATGAAAGTTGACAGAGTCATGGACAGTGGAAGGCAGTGGAAGGGCTTTTGGAAATGCAGTTGAACACACGTTGCCTGTCTTAACCTACCACACAGCCACACCGCCACACCATCTGAGAGAATGACACACCAGATGTGGTATTCCTGGGGAGCTGACATTTTCAGATTCTTGGAAAACAGACTTAGCAAGATTTTCACCAAACCACTAGAATTTCTCACATGGAAATTAACTTCCAGCTAGGTTAGCCTGATGATATTGACGATGATAATAATTGATAATAATAATAATAATGGCAATGAAGCAACTAAAATATGGAGAGCACTTTATGGCTCACAGAACACTTTATTTCAGCTTCTGGAAAAAAGGTGGCATTTATTAAATGCCTGCTTTTAATAAATGCCTTAATCTTCATATTTTTATTATCTTGGTTTTTCACAGCAAGTCTAGGAGGTAGGGGGTGGTTTGGGCATATTCTCAAATGAAGGTGCTGAGATTGGAAGAGTGTCAGTAACTTGTCCAGGTCACAAGGCTGGCAAATGGGAGATCAGGGAACCAAGCCTGAGACCGGGCAGTCATGTAGCCTGGAAATGACCACTTATTCAGGTGTCCATCTTGTCAATGAAAAGAGGCAAACTCTGCAAAATATTTGAAGAGATTTATTCTGAGCCAAATATGAGTGACCATGGCCTGTGACACAGCCCTCAGGAGGTCCTAAGAACATGCGCCCAAGGTAGTTGGGCACCTGTTCAGCTTGGTTCACTGGTGCAGCTTGTTTTTCTACATTTTAGGGAGACATGAGACTTCAGTCAAATACATTTAAGAAATACATTGGTTTGGTCCGGAAAGGCAGGACAGCTCGAAGCAGGGGCTTCCAGCTTATAGGTAGATTTTAAAATTTTCTGGTTGACAATTGGTTGAGTTTTTCTAAAGAGCTGGGGGTGAATAAAAAGGAATGTCTGGGTTAAGATAAAGGATGGTGGAGGCCCGAGTTCTTATTTGTAGAGGAAGCCTTCACGTCCTAGGCTTCAGAGAGAATAGGTTGTAAAATATTTCTTATCAGACTTAAAGTCTGTGTTGATGTTCATGCCGGAGAGGTGTAAGGAGGCATGTTCGACCCCCATTTCCCATCACGGCCTGAAACAGTCTCTCAGATTAAATTTTAAAAGAGCCTTTGTCTCCTGTGTAGAGGAGGAAGTCCATTCAGATGGTTGGGGGGGGTCTTAGAATTTTATTTTTGGTTTACAATCTCCAGTTCTTTTTCTTCTTCCCACTGATTATTTGGTATGATTTTCATCATGCCCCTTATGTTCCTCCCACTCTCTTACCAAAGGCTCGTCAGAGTGAGCCTGATTTCTTTGAGTCCTTGAGCACTTAACCAAGTGTGTGTGTGTGTGTGTGTGTGTGTGTGTGTGTGTGTGTGTGTGTGGTGGACACTTATTCTTTTGCATGAAAATAACACACATCACATCTATTTGGGAGGTGGAGTAGTTGCTATGGACAATGGAGGCAGCATGGTGATGGGCGCAGAGCCTGGGTTTTGGAGTTGGGCTGTTTTGAATCCCATTCACCACATATGCTGTGTGTCTTGGGCTAATTACTTTAGTCTGGGCATCAGCTACCTCAGCTGTGAAGTAGGTGTGCTCACCTTGCCCACAGGGTTGCTGCTGGGATCATCTGAGTTGATGCACCAGAGTCAAGCTGGTGCACAGGGCTCCTTAGCCAGTGGTGGGATACAAAAGAAGAGGGTGCTCCGAGAATGCTGTTGCTGTGGTCTGCATGGCTCCCCTAAACCCGCAAGGAGAGTATGTTGTCATGGATGGAGCCTTATGACTGGGCTGCCTTCTGCATAGGCGTGACACCCACTTGTGTTCTCCAGGCAGAGGGCCTGGGCCTCTAAGTGACATGGTGGCCGAGGGGATTGCCTGAATTAGTATCCTGCCTATACAGGCCTCTTCTGATCAGACTCTCAGAACAAAAGTTTCTGATTTTAAGAAATCCTAAAGACGAAAGGGAAAAGAAAGAGAATACTAAATTCCTTGGGAGCAGGGGTTAGTCTTGTTCATTCATGGATGTATCCCCAGCACCTAGGCAGTGCTTGGCAAATAGCAGGAGTTTAAATATTTGTTGAATGAATAATAACCACAGCTGCCTTCCACTCACTGTGTGCAAGTCAGTTGCTAAGTGTCCTGTGTGGATTATCTCACTGAATCCTCACCCCAGCTCTGTGCTATGTGGCATGGAGACAGAGGCATGAAGCCGCAGAAGTGACTTTTTGAGTTACACAGCCAGAAAAGGTGGCACGGTGAAGGCTCAGACATTGTCCGGCTTCACCTTGCACCCTTTCCTGAGCAGAAGTGAAGAGGATATAGTTGATCCACTCAGCCATCTTATCATGAAATTATATGGCCTTGAGGCATAGTTCTTTGGAAGAAGACTTTCAGATAGTTAGAACTTTGGGTTTGCTGCCAAGTTACTCTAGTTGCCAGCCTAGTGGTGAGAATGCAAGTGTGGCTTGATCCCCACACATCCTGAAGCATTTATAGATAAGAAGCAGCTAATATGAGACTATCTTTCTTATTAATCTTTAATTACTCATTACAGAAGTATCAGAAATTCACGTAATAAGAAGAGCTAACTAATTACATCCTGCATTCTTTATCAGTCAGGATTTATTGTTCTGTTAACAAAACCAATCGATTGAAATAATCTATGTAAGTTCATTAAGATATACAAACAGTGTCAACTCAATAAAGAAGAGAGGGTGACTAAGATAATTAAAAGTAGGCATGCCAGTTATTATAGAAGAGTTAAGAAAAAAAATTTTTTTACCCCAAATTGTCCCTTTATATAAAGAAACCCATTAAAGATCCCATTAACCCTCACTGTGCATCTGTTTGTTCATTTTCAACATAAATAATCAGCTTCAACACTATTTACATAATTATTTCAACAACTAGAAAGACACTCTGAACTTCTTTATTTGAAGCCTTTATAGTAAAATCATGAACTTTGTTCCTCTAATGGATAAGAGAATGGATCAGATATGTTAGTGAATTTATATTAGAAGGCCAAGGTCATAAAAGAACCATTAATTAATAGTAATGTTTATAGGTTCATTGCTTTTTAATGTAGGCAATGTATGTAATAATTTTAAGCAATTC
Organism: Homo sapiens; assembly: GCF_000001405.40. Taxonomy (NCBI): domain Eukaryota; kingdom Metazoa; phylum Chordata; class Mammalia; order Primates; family Hominidae; genus Homo; species Homo sapiens. Next base: position 54,573,395 of record NC_000003.12, read on the forward strand.
AGTAATGTTCTCATTTCTCTTTCATTTGGCACATATTCTAAATGTTTCTGTGTATATGAGCACACAGTCTTTTCGCAAAAATGGATTCATATTTTACAGAATATTCAGCAACTCTTATTTCAATCAAATGTATTTGAATAACAGAGCATTCCATCACATTTGTTACTCAGAAGTGCTGCAGTGAGTGCAGTGCGTACAGTGCACTGAATGGAATGCATATATTTTTGCAAGGTTGGGTGTGCTTCTATTGAATAAAATCTAGAAGTGAAATTTATGCACCAAAGGGTATACACACAGGCACCTACCAGAATGTCTACCAAACAGGGCATAATGTTTACACAGTTACCAACAGTTTGAGGCTTCTAAATAATAGGAGATTCCTAGCTGGCTAATTTTCATTTGCATTCCCTTGAATTGTCTCTCCCAATCCTAAGTGTGTTCTGCGAATTTTGCCTCGTTGAATTCTTATTCTTTTTTCCTCCATCACCTCCTTCTGTTTCTGCCCTGACATAATTGCTCTAGTAATATGGTGTAGGTTTTCCCTCAGTCTGTTTAAAATGGTCACTTGTCTCCTGTGTAGAGGGCGACCCAACTGCAGGTTCTTAAAGTGCAGGGGAATGGGATATTTGAAACGCCATCCAGAACGCCCTGCAAATCTGTGTGAGTGCATTGTTATCATCGGCTGGATTCCATTTACGAAAGAGGACATTATCATTTCACCCTCCATTACACTGTCAGCCTTCCTTTGCTTGCCGGGTAGATGTTTGTGGAGATAGCTCACTGTTTTAGAGGAAAAGTAAAGAATACAATATTTTCAGTGCCGGAAGCCCTCGTGTACTGTAGGTTTTTGTTTGTGCAAATCTAATTCATCATTGCCTCTTGATTTTCAGTGCCATAATGGAGGTCGGAGGAAAGAGATTTAAATAGTGGGAAAGACTTCCCTTGGCCACTTAAGTTCGTCTTTCGGTTTTGCAGGTTTTATTAAGTTCATTGTGAACTGCATGTTTAATATTATACTGAAAAGTTTCTGATCTTGATCTATCCAGAGTATAAACATAAAGAGATAATGTTAAAAATTGTTTTAGCTCTCATGGGCAAGGTATTACAAGATCTATCTAAAATGGACAAACTAACTGATTGAATTATGAAAGAATAGTTGAAATATGAGAGTAATTTTGTGCAGTTGAAGTTAAAATTTTAAGGTCAAACCACTGGTGCATGAAGAGAGATGTCTCTGACAAGAGAAAAGGCATATTTTTCTGATTCACTTTGAAGTCTAACTTCAAGCCATGCATTAAATTAACAATATTATCATAAAAATGAGGGTGCTAATTCTGTCCGATGTTGAAATTTGAAAAATGACTTTACAGAAGCTTAAGCCATGCATTAAATGAACACAGCATTAACCGGGCCAATATTGTTACATCAATTTAAATGCCTCCTGCAGCCCATATTTGTGCAGACTTGAATTAAGAAGAGCATCATTTGTTAGTTCAAGCAAGAACTTTCTGATGCCCTGGTTTTAATTTGCAGATTTTCTTTAGAACGGTTTCTCCGATGCTTTGCCGCTGTGGATTTGCTTTTTAAAGTAATCGATTCCGTATTAAAAGTATGAGGATAGTATTTTCTTTCAGTGCTCATTTGTTCTGTACTACTAATTGTGTCCAGTTGTGTTTCAAATTACATAAGATGCTTTTGTAATGCAAAAGATCCCTAGGATGGCTTGTGTTGGTCAAAATAATGTGTGTTCATCTGCTTTATTACATAATCCCTACATGTTTTCATTCAAAGGTTATTTAATCAAAAGTGCACCAGTAAAACTGTAAAAATATTTAATGGAGTCCCAGCAATTCTGCATCAGTTTCTTGTATTACATGAGCATGGCAGCATTTAATTCTATGGGTTTTTTTGGCAGAACTTTGGATTCTTTAAAACATAGCCACTTACTTCCTTTACTTTTTGTTTATTTACCTGTTTTTTGAAGGGGGTAGAGATTCTTATCTTATTTTTTGTTTCTGTGCCAATTTTTTTTCTGGCTTTGTTCCTAGTCCTTTCCATCAGTGATCTTCTCTGCAATTTTGCCTTTTTGTTTCTTTGTTCTATCGATTCATTCAACAAATAGTACTGAGTGCTCTGCATTAAGCATTGGGGCTAACTTAAGACAAGCTGTCTGCTCTCAGAGACTTAGGTTTTCTGTGTGTGAGCCTTGTTTGGGGGCTACCAGGAAGCAGGTCTCACAACACAGTGTGGCCAGTGCAGTCTTGGAGAGGGAGTAGTTGGGGGGCTGGGTGTCTAGAGCTGGGTCATGTATCGCCTGGGGCTCTGTGGTGGCTTATCAGAAGAAGTCATGACTAAGTGGACACTTGAAGATAAGTAGGCTAGCCAGGCATAGGCAAACGTGATGGGACAAGGCAGGGAGAGAAGGAGGAAGGAGTCAACAACTGAGGAGGAAAGTGCCATTTGCAGGTGTAAGATCCCCCTACCCCAGCCCCTAAGAAGGAGCTCTTGGTGTGTCTGGATCACATAGGGGGGTGGGTGAATGTGGAGGCAAGTGGATCCGGTGAGTGATGGTGAAATGAATGAGACTGGATGGAGAGAGGCAAGCCAGATCGAACCAGTCTGGTCAGCCAGGTGGAGGAATTGGGACAACCCATGGAGGCAATGGAGACCCACAGAAATGAGTCTCAGCTTCAGGGCAGGGTGTTGAGATGCGCCCCGAAGCCGGTCCCTGCTTAGAGAGGTCTTTCCTCATCCTCTTCTCTAGGTGACTGATAACCTTCTGTTAGGCCTGAAAGCGGAATTGCTTTCATCTCTCAAGTTCAGCTTCTGACATTAGGTGGGTTCCTCACTGTTATCCAGAGCCCAAAGTCAGTTGTCTTTGGCTCTCTGGCTTTTGGACTGTGATTCACCTGAGCCTGTGTATGCTGGGATTCTACACTAATGCAGAAGCTCCTGTGAACCTTGGTGGGAGGGTCTAGCCCATTTGCATTGCTTTTAGATCCTTCCCCAAAACGTTCTGGCCCTTCATTTAATCAAAGTTGTCTTTCCTATCTTAGATCATCATTAAGATTCTCATTGATCACTTTGCTGTGTCTGTAAAAGGGGAGATCTAGGGAATGCTCACAGACATTGGGCAAAAGGAAAGAAAAGGCATATGATGATGTGTCCCTTGCCTTCAGGGCGGAGAGTTTGGAGGTTGGTTGAATGGAGACAGAGGGACAGTTACCTCAGCAAGAGTTGTGCGATGTAGTCTAATACCTGAGGAAGATTGTGGGTTTGTCTCAAGCTTGTTGTTATTTTTGGAGGGACTGTTGCAGCATCACAAATAAGCACTATTTGTTATAAAAAGGAAAGCCAGGGCCAGGTGCAGTGGCTCATGCCTATAATCCTAGTACTTGGGAGGCTGAGGCAGGAGGATTGCTCGAGCCCAGGAGTTCGAGACCAGCCTGGGCAACATAGGGAGACCTTGTTGCTACAAATAATAATAAAAAAATTAGCTGGACGTGGTGGCATGTGCCTGTGGTCCGAACTATTTGGGAAGCTGAGTCAGAAGGACTGCTTGACCCTGGGAGGTGGAGGCTGCAGTGAGCTGTGATCACACCACTGCACTCCAGCCTGGGTGATACGTGAGTGGGACCCGCGTTTCAAAAACAAACAAACAAAAACAAACAAAAGGAAAAAAGGCCTTATGTTCAGATGGAACAAGAGTAAACATACTCTTTTACTAAGAAAAGTAAAAAACGGTTCATTGTCACTCTACAATGATGGTCATAAGCAAACTTAGCCAGTGTTTTATGTCCCCAGCACACAGTAGGTGCTTAGGGTAATATTCAGTGAGCAAATAAAGAAGTGAAGAGTTCTGTGGCAGATGCCTTCCTGCGTGGGGATTTCCCAGTAAGCTGGCTGCACCGTCTTGGCTCCCTATCTGCCAAAGACCCCGGTCCCTGGGAGGATTCAGAGGGTGGCTTAGAGTGGGACAGTGTGTGGCCAGACATCATGGGCTTGTCTTGGGTACATAGATAGTGACATGTGCCTGATGACATGGCATCTTATCCCCAACAAATGCAGATCCATGATCTCCAGAGAAGGCCAAGGACACATGCCCCTGTTCCAAAGAGTGAGTCACTTTGCCGTCACTGACATCACCCTCTTCCTTCATAGCAAGTTCCAGCTCTGGGTGCAGGGTGTCATCTGTTGGCCTTTCCCTTTATGTAGCACACATCACACTCACATATATATTTTCTTTCTTTTTTGTGCATTTGTGCCTGTGCACCTAGATGCCTTTCTCATTCTTACGTGCCAGGTTCTATGTTGACTTATTTCATCCTCACAGTGAGCTCATGAAAGAGGTGCAGTTAGAATACCTGTTTCCCCAACACAAAAGCTGAGGCCAAGCTCACCCAGCTAGTGTGTGGCAGAGTCAGGATTTGAACCCGGGCCTGCCTGCCTCAGTTGCTTTAGCTCTACTGTTCTACCCTTGTGAGAATCAGAAAAGGAAAGCCAACCAGGAAGGAAGCAGAGAGAAGAAAGCCAACAGCATCCGAGTCCCCGTATGCTATGTGGCAGCTTCTAAGCTCTTTAAAGGGTGAAAGCTGTTTGTCCATTTCCTTACCGTGTAGTTGGTGGGCTGGACTGGACCCATTTCCAGGGCAGCCTGGGCCCACTCCTGTCTTCCTAAGAGACTCTTCCCATTTCCCAGAAATTTGCAAGAAGGACTAACCACTTGGGCAGAAAGGGGAAAGTTTAAGTACGTCTTTAGGGTTCAATCCTGGTAGTGCAGGGAAGTAAAAGCAAATTATAGAAGGAAATTGCATCTAGCTGGTGATGATGTACATTGTATCCTTTTCTTCCTTAGACTGTTGATATCAGATTATTTCACTAGGGATCAAGGAGAGCCATTTATAAGGCTGTTGTGTCTTAGGGCAAGAGGTGACCAAATCTTGAGTTGTAAATATATATGGCTCTTCTACAACATCGTTTCACAAAATAGAAATCTAGAGAACATACACAAAAATGCAGAAGCTGAAAGATTTCCAAATAAAGGGCTGCGAGGAGTCTGGAAGCAGTTCCGTGCACAGGGCATCCTTGGGGTCCCCCTCGGGAGGAGCCGTTGGGTAGTGAGAGGAGCGTGCATAGCTAGCAGGCCTTAGTACAGCTGCCTGGTGTGCACAGTTCCCTTACACACATGGCTGAGCCCGGCTCCCTCTGGTGATACAGACCAGATTGCTCAGCATAGCTTTATCCTGATGCAGTCAAGGGAAATTAGTCAACTGCAAGCTTGGATGATGCCACTAACAAGCTGGCTGGGATTCTGAAGAGCGGATTCTTCCACTGAGGCCATAGCACACACAGTGCTGGCAAGCATGGTTTTGATTACTGCACATGTACCTCCCTGATGAGGGCAAGAACTCCTTGGTCTTCTTGACTTTTAAATCCCCTCTGGAGCCCCCACAAGTATAGACTTTTATATTAGCAAGGCAGTTTCAGGTCTGTTGCCTCACTCAATTTCTGCAGGGCCCCCAGAGGGAGACTGAAGGTGAATTAGTGTATTCTTATGCATAAGATTCTGGGATCAGAGAGGCTTAGCAACTTCTCCAAGGCCACACAGTGAGTACACGGTAGAGGCAGGACTTGGACCCAAGTGACCTGACTCCCAGCTCAAACTGTACAACCCCAGGAATCAATTTTGAGAGTGTGTATTAGGTAGAATGTCAATGAAGTGATTCAATTTACCTGGAAAATGGAAGAATGAGAGGAAGTAAAACCACGGTGGGAACCTCAGTTAAGAAAGTTTTGGGCTCTGGTTTATAGAACAGGTGAGGAAAGGTTGGTTCAGCATACAGGCATCTGATAATGTCATGTAAGAAGCCTGGAGGAAGGTGGCTGCAGCTTTTGCACAGTAGCTCAACATTATCTTCAGGGGCCCACACTGGCTCCGTCTTCCTGCTGTGTCTTCCTTGGGCTTTGCATTCCGTTCTTTCTCTTGTAACCTCATAGTTGCAAAATGGCTGCAGCAACTCCACAATAGCATCCCAAGCAGGAAGAAAAGAGTGAGTATAGATGAGTTTTCCCTTAATGGCAGGAAAACGTTTCATTGAAACTGCCCATCAAACTTTCCCTTATGTCATGGTCATTTGACTGCCCCTAGCTGCAGGGCAGCCTATGAAAGGTCGTGTCCAACAACGGGGAACTGGATGGCTGTGACTGGCTAAGACCCTTTGTGCTTCAGGCCTTAGAAATCGGTGTATTGTCACCCTAAACCAAATGAGTCAGCAAGGGAAGTGAAGGAGAGGGGACTGGCTGTTTTCTCAGCAACTTCCAGGGTCAGTCCAACAGAGATTGAGAGCTTTGGAGGAGTTTTCCTTCATATTGAACTCTGCAGTTGCTTCTTGGATCCTGAGCTGATGTTCTGTTTGTTGACTAAAAGTCATACTCCCATTTGTCAGTGGCTAATGTCATAAATATATTTTTTCTCCATGCCTTGTTAGAAGATATTTAAGCCCTCAAATCATTGGGATATAATTTTTCAAATACTTTTTATATGACTAAAAGCAAAGATGAACGAGAGGGCACAAGCCTGACTGATGGGGAGATCTGGAGGTTTGGGGGCCAGAGAGGATAAGTTGGGGGCATTGAGGACCTGTTGTGAGTGGCAGTGAGGTCAGACTGCCTGAATTTGAATCTGGACTCCACCACCCCTCACTTACTCTCTGGTGTCTTTGGGCAAGTCGATCATTTTTGCCGTGCCTCAGTTTCCCCATCTGTAAAGGGTGAGTGATTGGACGTGCTTGCCAAACGGTGCTAAGATAACGTGCAGATGAAGTTTCCCTGCTGCCTAGGTGCAGTAAGTGCTCAATAACAGTTAATTGCCAAGGTCAGTTTGATCACCACTTCTGCTTGCTTAGTGAGGCTCTCTCCATGGGAAACCTGATGCATCCCAGTTGCTCTTGAGCAGCTTTAGGTCTAGCCCCTCTTCGACCTGTCCCTGCGGTGTATCCAGAGGGATTTCCCAAACTCGTATCTTTATTCCACTCACTCCCTTGCTCACAGCCCTGCCTGGTCCTCGCTGACTTTAGTTTTAAAGCACAAACTCCCGAGGCCCTCTTTGCTCAAGAGTTAGCTGGGTCTGGGAGAGATGGTTCTGTTCTCTTCCCTCAGGAGCTCCGGGCCTCTTTGGCTGCTAAAGTAGATATACCATAACGCTGTCATCAATCAAATGGTCCTCAGGCACCTACTGTGGGTCCAGCCCTGTGCTTGCTGCAGAAAATAACACCGAAGGACCAGGCATGGGCCCTAATGGTGTGGTCCCACTTTGTGGTGGGGAATCCGGCCAACAGATAATTAGAATTTACAGGGATTATATGGAAGAGGGACCTAACCCAGTGCCTAGCCTGCACCAGAGCCTGCTTCCCAGAGGAGGTGGGAGTAATCTGACCCAGGAGGTGAACAGGAGTCAGCCAGAGAGAAGAGGTGCCAGAGCGAGAGCTCAAAGCAGGGGTCCCAGCATTGGAGGGACTGAAGGAAAAGAGGAGACATGTCAGAGGACAGCAGGGGAATAATGGCTGGCCAGGATAAGTTTTAGGGGAAGGCTGATGAGTAAAGATGCTAGAGTGTCAGCAGGACCAAGGGTCCAGAGCCTCACAAAGTCCCGGGAACATTCATCTGCACAGCAATGGGAGCTGTGAATAGGATTGACAAGAGGCAACACGATCAGATGTGTAAGGACCGGCCTCCCTGCAGGGCAGAGAAGCAAGCTTGCTGAGAGAAATGATGAGAATACTCACATTTTTGCTACCTGGTTGTGAGCTTCGGGCAAATAAAAAGTGTGGGGGGGTCCTATTCTGGATATTCTGGGATTGAAGTGATGGGAGTGCCGGTGTTGGCAATGTATGGGAAATTGTGCATGGACAGTTTCCTGATCAGCACCCACATACCCTTGCAGAGTGACCAGGGAACATCAAGGCTTATTCTGTCCCCACTTGTGTAAGCCACACATGTGTCCCTTGGTTCCATGAAGCCAAAGACAGTAGCTGGAGCTGTATCCACGCAACTCTGGGGTGCTCTTCAGCTCCCACCAGGACCATGGGCTGTCAGCCATGCCCAGGGAACTGCCAGCGTTTGGAGGCAACCCCAAAGAATGATCAGTTAACAGGGTGCACCCTGAACCCTGCCAGCTACCAGCACATGCTCTAGAAGTTTCTCCTTCAAACAAGAAAAGAATGAAGTCTGTCTGCAGCACATAATCATAGTTGTCTAGAGGGACACCCATGAGAGAGTTCACCTTATGTGAATAAATGGAGCCTGTGATTGTGCCGCTTTTTTGTTTGTGTGCGTACCTCCTTAAATTATTAAGAAGTACCCTTCAATTCCTTAATTAAGTGTTCCTTCTTGACTTTTTTCCTTTGCAGTATAATGAGGAGCTTCACTATGTGGAACCTTGCCTGAATGGAACTTTGGTGCAAGCCGACAGGACAAACAAAGAGGTAGGGGCAGCTCGGGGGAGCATTCCAGTCATGGTACACCCCTGTCTCCCTCATAGTGATTGTTTCACAATAAATCTGTCTTATCAAATGCACTGCCCTTTCATTGAGGCCCTTGGAGCCCCCATGTGTAGAATATTTATTAAGAGCACAAAGAAAATCATGGCACTAAAATAATTACATTGAATTCAAAGGCTTGCTAGTTCTGAAACAATTGCATTCACTTATTGTCCTTGTGCTCTAATAAACACAATGCTATGGTGTGCTTGATGCTTACGTTGACACTCTTGAAAGAATATGGCTCTTGCTAAGATTTCAAAGAAAATTGAACCCACTTGTTATTTCCCTTGTCCTTCTCACGATTGATTAAATGGTCACTGGGGTAACTGTTGGGGTAACTTGTCTGCTATTAAAGGTAAGCTTTTCAAGGATAGGAATGCTGTCTGCTCACTACTGTATCCTCAATGTGCCAAGCATTGCCTGTTCCATTAATATTGTGGAACAAAAGGACGATACGTTAAAGGAGAATCTTACACAATGGGATAGAGGTTTCCCCTCCAGTTTTGGAGTATCCTAGGAAAATTTCTAAAGTAGACTTCTGTAAAATAAATCCTGTTTCCCTTTAGCCACCTTTAAATTTGTCAGTACAGCTACCGCAACCACCACTATACCACCCCTGCAGGGCCAGTTGACAGTTTCACTTGAAGGTATAGCTGTGGCTGCAGCCATGTCACAGCTTCTGGGACTCACAGCTGCCATTGCCCATGTTGATTTTCTGTACCTGACACACAGAGCTGCTCTTCCCCTGGAGAGCAGACCTGCATGAGGTAGCTGGGGGCAATGGCCAAGGCAGGCTTTTGTGAGGCACATTCTATATGCTGGAGAGAATCCCCTGGCTCGTATTGTGTTGGTGCTATCTTAGATGCAGGTAGTAGAAGCACTTAATTTAGGTATGTTTGAGGAAGTGAGCAACAGAGGATTGGGAGAAATTCATTCCAGTTGGAACACAAAGTATAAAGTGAAAAATACACTAGAGTTAATATCTGGGCTTCAGTTTGAGGGGAAAGAAGCAGCATGATAAGCTTCATATTTAGGAGGGAGGAACCAAGTACACTGAAGTTCAAAGAACAGGTGTAACCTGAGAATGCTCATTCATGGTAATTGTTTAGGCTAAGGTAAGAAAAGTGACTTAAGTCTATAGCCGCATTTTTCTAGAGACTTTCCCGTTGTTTGGCCATTGTGTAAGTGAAGATCTCATCCCTATTCCAATATTGTAATATTGTAATATCCTCCAGAGCCTCAAATAGGTGTTCCATCCTGGTGCTTGCAACGTTAAACAGAACAAGCACTTAAATGATCAAAGCCTTCCTTCAGATTGCTTCCCAGAGGAACAAAGGACAGTATGATCTTTGGAAATAGGAAGTTTTATGAATGAAAAAAAGTCATTAGAGGAAATGGGCTAAGAAATTATTCTAAATTGCCTTTGAGTTTATGGATATTGAAGACTGGAATACTTTTGAATATAAAAACTAATCTGGACTTCTTATTCTGCCAATATGGAGTAACCATATTCCAATGAGGTCCTCACCTTTATAACTGAGAAGCCCTAGACATAACGCAACAAACAAGTATAGGTTGAGTATTCCTTATCTAAAATGGTTGGGACTAGAAGTGTTTCTGATTTTTCAGATTTTGGAATATTTGCATTATACTTACGGGTTGAGCATCCCTAATCTGAAAATCTGAAATCCGCAATGCTCCAATGAGCATTTCCTTTGGGTATGACTGTTGAGCATTATATCGGTTCTCAAAAAGTTTCAGATTTTGGAGAATTTCATATTTTGGATCTTGGATTTTTGGATTAGTATGCCTAATCTGTATAAGAAGACTTGAAAAGGAGAAAATGAAATGTCTAGGGGCTTTGGGTCTTAAAGACAAAAGGGAAGTTCCCTGATTTTCCTCTTTGACTCCCATATATCCTGAATAGAGCATTCCAGAATCTCACCTGGACCAACAATAGGCACAGATTAAAAAAAAAAAAAGAAAGTCCCAGAAAATCTTGTTCCTTCTAGCCAAAGGACCACAGAAAACCTTTGTGACAACACTTTTTCTACTCCAGCTGAATATCAACGGAACAACCAATCCTACATGGTTTCAGTGGGGCCAAATAAGAAGTTGATCTTTTGCCCCATGCATACCCCCTTGGCCCTTCTCCTACCGAGAATGACTGCTAAGAGAAAAGATGAAATCGGATCCAGAGTCTCATAATATAAAATCCATAATGCCCAGAATGCAATTAAAATGCCACGAACTGGGAAAATCACAACATGAATGAGAAAAAACAATCAACAGAAGCCAGTATTTACATGAATTGGATGTTGGAATTACAAAATTGTTTTAACAAGCAATTAGGAATTCTCTTGCAACAAATGAAACAGTAGAAAATCTCCCAAAGGAATAGAAGTTATAAAATAGAGCCAAATGGAAATTATTGAACTGAAAAATACAACCACTAAATAAAAGCTCACTGATGAGCTCAATAGAGTGAAGATGACAGCAGATAAAATCAGTGAATTTCAGGACAGATCAATAGCAATTACCCAATTTGAACAACAGCGAGAAAATAGACTGGACCAAAATGAACAGTCTCAGGGACTTGAGGGACAATAACAAAAAAATATAACATTAATTACATCAAAGTCATAGGAGAGGAGAGAGAGAATGGGACTGAAGAGGTATTTAAAGATGTATTGTCTGGAAACTCCCCCAAACTGGGTAAAAGGTGTAAGCATACATATTCAAAAGGTTATGCAAACTCCAAATAGAATAAACCTATGTAAATCCATGCCAAGACACATCATAAATATAATTAGACAAGAAAAAAATCTAGAAACAGCCAGAGAGAAAGGACACATTGCTTATATGGAACAGCAATTTGAATTACATAGATTTCTCATATGAAATCATGAAGACCAGAAGTAAGTAGCATAGCATTTTTCAAATACTGAAAGAAAAGAACTGCCAACCCAGGATTCTATATCCAGTGAAAATATCCATCAGGAATGAAGGAGAAATAAAGGCATTCTCAATGGAAGGAAAACTGTAAAACTGTTGCCTCTAAACCTACCCTTAAATAATGTCTAAAGGGAATTCTCTAAACAGAAAGGAAATAAGGAAAGAAAGCTTGGAAATTCAGAAAGGAGAGAAGAACATTGGAATGAGTAAGAAGATTACAATTAGAGTATCCTAATTCTCAGACAATTCTTAAATTATGTTTGATAGTTGAAGCAAAACTGGCCTAACACCATCTGATGTGATACCCAATGTTTATGGATGGAATACTTAAGACAATTATATTTTAAAAGTGTGAAGGGTAAAGGGACCTAAATAGAAGGTTTCTATACTTCAGTGGAAATGGTAAATACTGATATGAGTAGACAGTAATAAATTACATATTTGTACCATAATACCTACAGCAACCACTAAGAAAACAATACAGAGAGTTATTCTTAAAAAGTAACTCATAGGAAGGTAAGAAATGAGAAACAGAGGAATTAGAAAGAGGATGAATAGGAAAAAAATAAACTGGCAGACTCAAGTTTTAATATATCATTAATCACCTTATGTATTAGTCTGCTCTCTGCTAATAAAGACATACCTGAGACTGGGTAATTTATAAAGAAAAAGAGGTTTAATGGACCCAAGTTCCACGTAGCTGGGGAGGCCTCACAATCATGGCAGAAGGCAAGGAAAGAGCAAAGGCACATCTTACATGGCAGCAGGCAAGAGAGCATGTGCAGAGGAACTGCCCTTTATAAAATCATCAGATCTCATGAAATTTGCTCAGTATCATGAGAACAGCATAGGAAAAACCCACCTTCATGATTCAGTTACCTCCCACTGGGTCCCTCCAATGACACATGGGGATTATGGGAGCTCAAATTCAAGATGAGATTTGGGTGGGACACAGCCAAAATATATCACCTGAAATTTAAGTGTTCTTAAGACCATCAGTGTCAAGGCAGAGATTGTTTGAGTGGATTAAAAAAACACAAACAAACATGATCCAACCGTATGACCATATGCTGACTATAAGAAACTCATTTGAGGCCTGGCACAGTGGTTCATGCCTGTAATCCTAGCACTTTGGGAGGCCGAGGCAGGCAGATCATGGGGTCAGGAAATCGAGACCATCCTGGCTAACATGTTGAAATCCCGTCTCTACTAAAAGTACAAAAAATTAGCTGGGCGTGGTGGCACATGCCTGTAGTCCCAGCTACTTGGGAGGCTGAGGCAGGAGAATCACTTGAACCCGGGAGGTGGAGGTTGCAGTGAGCCGAGATTGCACCACTGCACTCCAGCCTGGGCAATAGAGCGAGATCCATCTCAAAAAAAAAAAAAAAAAAGAAACTCATTTGAAATACAGTGACAGATATGTTGAAAGTAAAAAAATCAGAAAAATATGTACCATGCTAACATTAATTTTAAAGTAAGAGTGATTCTATTAATACCATATAAAGTCTTCAGGGCAAAGAAAATTACTAGAGACAAAGAAAGGGATATTTCATAATGATAAAAGGATCACTTGCATAGAAAAACATTACAATCCTAAGTGTGTTTGGATCAAAATACACAGTTTCAAAATACACAAAGCAGAAACTGTTAGAGCTGAGGATAGAAATAGACAGATTTACAATTATAGTTGGGACTTGTACATTCCACAGTCACCAGTTGATAGGCTACTGTACAAAAAGTCAGCAAGGATATAGAAGAGCTGAACAACACCATCAACCAATGAGATTGAAATGACATTTATAGAGCACTCTATCTAAATAACAGCAGAATACACGTTCTTCTCAAGCACCTATGGAACATTAAGCAAGATAAAACATCCTGGGTCATAGTAGAAACCTTAAAATTAAATCTTTAAAATTGTAGAATATAATTTTTGATGAAAATGGAATAGAACAGGAAATTCATAACAGAAAGACAGCAGAAAAATCCCCAGACACTTAGAAATTAAACAGTATACTATTAAAAAAATACTTGGGTCAAAGAGGAAGTCTTAAAAGAAATTAAAAAAAATACAAATCTGAATGAAAACAAAGATTACATATCACAAGAGGTGGAACAAAGCTATAGCAATGTTAGGGGAGAAATTTATAGCACTATATACTTACATATTTAAGTTCTCTAATAATTGAAGTTTCCACCTCAAGAAATTAGAAAAAATAGTGCAAAATAAAACTAAAGCAAGCAGAAGGGAGAAAATAATAAAGAGCCAAACTCAACTAAATTGAAATAGGAAAACAGTAGAGAAAAATCAATGACACCAAAAGCTGGTTCTTTAAATCAGTAAAACTGATAAACCTCTACCAAGACTGATAAAAATGAAGAGAGGGGCAGGCGCGGTGGCTCAAGCATGTAATCCCAGCACTTTGGGAGGCCGAGGCAGATGGATCACCTGAGGTCAGGAGTTGGAGACCATCCTGGCCAACATTGTGAAACCCTGTCTCTACTAAAAATGCAGAAATTAACTGGGTGTGGTGGCATGTGCCTATAGTCCCAGCTACTCGGTAGGTTGAGGCAGGAGAATCACTTGAACCCGGGAGGCAGAGATTGCAGTAAGCTGAGATGGTGCCACTGCACTCCAGCCTGGCGACAGAGCAAGACTCTGTCTCAAAAAAACAAGTTAAAAAAATTTAAAAAAATAAAAAGAGAGAAGACAAATCAGCAATATCAGGAATGAAACAAGAGACGCCAGTACTGAACCTGCAGTCATTAAAAGGATAATAAAATACTATTGTAAACAACTTTACACTCATGAATTAACGACTTAGAAAAAAATTGATCAAATTCTCAAAGCCGCAAACTTCCAAAATTCAACCAAGATGAAATAGATAGCTAGACTAATCCTATAACTATTAAAGGAATTGAGTTGATAATTTAAAAGCACCCTCTCCCTGCCAAAAAAACCATTTTCAGGTCTGGAGAATGCTTTCACTGGAGAATTCTACCAAACATTTAAAGAAGAATTAATATCAATTTTACACAATCTCTTCCAGAAAAATAGAAGAGTAAGGAAATCACCCCAGCTCATTTTATAAGGCTAGCGTTTCCCTGACAAACCAAAGACAGTGCAGAAAAAGAACAATATTTCTCATGAACTTACATGCAAGAATCCTCAACAAAATTTCAGCACATCAAACCCAATGATGTATATAAAAAATAATATGCTACCTGCAAGCAGGATTATTGAGATATGCAAAGCCAATGTAACATCCATGTCAAATCAATCAATGTAATCTACTATATCAACAAGCTGAAAATGACAACTCATATGATCATATTAATTGACTCAGAAAAGGCATTTGATAAAAAACACCCTTTATAATTTTAAAAATACAAAACTTCTCAGTGCATTGGGAATGGGAAGTAACTTCTCCAAATTGATAGAGACCATCTACAGAAACCTACAGGTAACATCAAACTTAACAGGGAAAGTTTGAAAGCTTTTCCTCTTAAGATCAGGAACAGGTAAGGATGTCCACACTGACATTTGACAAAGTGTTAAGTTTTAGTCAGGCCAGGAAAAGAAGTAAAAGGCATACGGGTTACAAAGGAAGAAGTAAAACTTCCTATTTTCAGATAACATGATTGTGTACATAGAAAATCTCAAAGAATCTACACACAAAAAAATTTCCTAGAACTAATAAGAGAGCTCAGTAAGGTCACATATACAAGATCAACACAAAAACCATCCTATTTCTCTACCTTAATAAAAACAATGAACCTATGGTAACTGAAATTTAAAACATAATACAATTTATAATTGTTCCAAAGAAATAAGCCTAACAAAACATGTGTATATAGGCTGTATTTGCTGAAAATTACAAAATGCTGATGAAGGAAATCAAAGAAGACCTAAATAATTGGAGAGACTTACCATGTTCATGGATGAGAAGTCTCCACAGGGTAAAGGTGTTATTTTTTTTCAAACTGATATGTAGGTTTAATATTTATATATTTAATAGTTATATATTTAATATTAATATGTAGGTTTAATTTAATATGTATGTATAATAATACCAAACTGTGTTTAGGTTTGATACAATTCCTATAGAAATATCTGCAAGATTTGTGTAGAGTATTCTAGAGTTTACCTAGGAAGTCACAGTCCCTAGAATAGTAAGATGATCTTAAAGAAGAATGAAGTAGAAGGAATCAATCTACCCAATGTTAAGGCCTATTATATAGTAACAGTACACAAGAGAATGTGGCATTAGAAGAGAAATAGACATATAGATTAATGGAATAGAATAGAGAACACAAGACATATACCCACATACATACACCCAACTGATTTTAGACAAAGGTGCAGAAACAATTCGATGGAGGAAGGATATCTTTTCAACAAATGGCTCTGGAGCAATTGATCATTCACAGACAAAAACAAACAAAAAACAACAAATTAACCTTGACTCAAACCTCACAACTGAAACAACATTTAACTCAAACGGATCAAAGACTTAAAACTATACAACCATGACATTTTCTGAAAAAAAAAATAGATGTGGGGAGAAAATCTTCAAGATGTAGGGCTAGGCAAAGCGTTCTTAGGCTTTACATCAAAAATATAATTTGTAAAAGGAAAATTTGTTAAAATGGATCTCATTAAAATGAAAAAAAAAGAACCAAACCTTTTGCTATGTGAAAGACTCTGTTAACAGGATGAAAAGATAAGCTACAGATTGAGAGAAGATATTTGCAAAGCAGATGTCCACATGTCCACAAATATATAGAGAATATATAAGTAATTCTTAAAACTCAACAATAAACACAATTGAATTTAAAAATGGGCAAAAGCCATGAATAGACATTTTACTGAAGAGGATATACAGATGGCAAGAAAGTACATGAAAAGATACTCAGTGTTCTTAGCCATGAAGGGAATGAAAATTAAAACCACAGTTAGATATCACTATACCTATCAGAGTAACTAGAATAAAAAATAAAAAGAATAAAAACAGCAAATATTGGGGAGGATGTGGAGAAACAGGATCACTCACACATTGCTGTGGGAATGTAAAATAGCACAGGCACTCTGGAAGACAGTTTGACAGTTTCTTCTAAAACTAAATATGTAACTTCCATATTACTCAGCAATTGCATCCTTGGCATTAATCTCAGAGAAATTAAAATTATGTTCACACAAAAGCCCCATACAGAAATGTTCATAGCATCTTTATTTGTAATAGCCTAGAACTAGAAACAACCCAGATATCCTTCAATGACTGAATGGTTAAACAAACTGTTCTATGTCGCCACTATGGAATATTACTTAGTAATTAAAAAAACAACAGCAATCTATTGATAGATACATCCAAGAATGTAAATGAATCCTTGAATCTTTAGGGAGTCATGCTGAGTGAAAAATAAAAAAGCCAATATCAAAAGAACACATACTTCATGATTCCATTCACATTACTTTCTTGAAATGACAAGTTTAATAGAAAGAGAGAACAGATTAGTGGTTGCCAGGGGTTAGGCATGGGAGTGGGGAGAGGTCATTGTGATTATAAAAGGGTAACATGAGGGCTCCTTGTGGTGGTGGAACTGTTCTGTGTCTTGATCATATCAATGTCAGTATCCCTTGTGATGTTATGCTGTAGTTTGTAACATGTCATTGAAGAATACCAGGTAAAGAATGTGTGGCATTTCTCTTATTATTATTATTATTATTATTTTATTTGTAAGACACGGGGTCTTGCTGTGTTGCCCAGGTTGGACTTGAGCTCCTGGGCTCAAGTGATCCTGCTGTCTCCACCTCCCAAAATGCTGGGATTACAGGCGTGAGCCACCATGCTTGGCCTCTTTATTATTTCACACAGTTACATGTGGATCTATGATTACCTCAAAATAAAAAGTGTAATTAAAAAATAATCTGCAGTAGGTGAGAAATTCTTGAAGAGAAGCTTTATCAAATTAGTGTGAACGGTTGTATAATGCATGTTAGGTTGCTTTAGTTATATAAAAAAGTACTGATTGTGGTTCACTTTTTAATGACAGGAAGTTTTGATGTTCTTACCGTATGTGTCTTTTTATTTGGAGAAAAGCTCAGACGACAAAGCATTTTTTTTATTAGTATTTGGGGATATGTTTAAATAATGCTGAGCTTCATTGCTTGAAACCTTAAACCAGTTTCCATTTTTACCATAAATTCAGTGTTGGGCCATGTTCATTTAGGACTTACTTAATGGCATGTGGCAGACAGTAGCAAATTCATGAAAAGCAAAATAGAAATTTACATCAGCTTCCCTAGCACCAAATTCCTAGGGTGGAAAAGTCAGCACCCAAAACCTTACACTGGATGTTAGGAGTCATCCCCTCTCCCCAGCTATCTCCTCTAGGTGTCTTCCGTGAACTCTGATTGGTTCTGCTAAATCAGGTGCCCATTCTGGAGCCATGATTGAATCTCAAGGGGTGGGGCAGCCTAGTCAGCAGCCTGGTTCAGGTGCCTATACCTGTGGCTGAGAGGCAGGCCTTTGCTGGGCAGACTTGCCTGGTTTTCCGAGGGAAAATGCTCTGGGCAACCATGCCAGTGCCTATGAGATAGATGTTCCATAGAAGCATGAATGAATGAATGAATTTGAGTAGATAAGCCACCTGGGAGAGGACTGTGGTTGAAAAAAGTTTTTTTTTTTTTTTTTTTTCACATCACTAGAACATCCACAAAACACTGAAAACAAAAGCATCAAACTCATTACATTTTAATATAATCAGGGCCATCAGAATGAGATTGTGGGTGAAATTATCTGAGTCCAGGGTTGGCAGTTCTCACTGTCTCATTCTGTCTAAACACCCTGAATGGAGCTTTGAGTCCATTTTCTCACATCCTTTGTGTGATGGGGATGGAGAATTATGACCTTCTGTATAAACCTGTGTAGAACTCGCGGTGTGATCATCGATGCTAGTCTTCTGTCCTGAGTTAAAGGAGTCTGACTAGAATGTGCCAGATCCTTTGGGGTGTATCATTCTTTAATCAAAATATTCATGTGCATGCTGACAAGTTCTTATGACAGCCAAATACCCAAGATTCTTTCCTGCCCGTACCTTTCATCTTAGGACTGTTTTCCTGGTGGCCACTGCAGTGTTAACTTCAAGTTAATGAAAGGGCGTGAAGGGGCTTCTAGAAGGTGACAGCTGGGATTATGATGTTGTGCACTGACAGCCAATTCTGGTTTCACAATACTCGGGTGACCCCCTGAGAAGTCAGAAGTAGATCATTTAAATTATAACAGCCTTTGATAAACTCCATTTAAAAATGTCGAAGAGGTAGTGAGAGGATCTCCATGAGTCTTAAAACAGAGGAAAGGTTAGGGTGAAAGTGCTGGCCTTGATCAAACTGAGTTGTCCTGGAACATAGATTTTCGAGATTTTGCTTGAAATAGCCCACAGCACACCATCCCTGAAGAGGGGGTCTTAAAATTCTGTTAGGTTTTTGGTTTTGTCTTTTAAAGCTATTGTTTACTGTCTGGAGAGAGTTTTGCTTTGCTGTTTTATGTTCCAAATAACTGACTTCTTTTTTCCTTTAAGGAAAAAGAAACCATGACAAATTGGGTGAGCCTGGAGTTCAAATATAGAATTTAAATGAGAAAACTCTCATCCTAATCTACTACAGACCTTCTGAACCATTCATCAGACCTTAAAATGAACCTCCTGTGGTCTGTCTTGGGGGAGTGTAGGGGAAGAGAGTGAGGAAGGAGAATGATATGATTTTTCTCTGGTTTTATAATGAAGATGTCCTGAAATCCACTGAATTTCATGGCTCTGTTTAAGATTCATTTGCAAATATTTGTTGCAAAATCAGCCCACCTTAGAAACCCTTGTAACTTTCATCTTCTTTGGCAGTTTTGATCTTTTCTTGTGGGATCAGAAGTCACTAAAACTTCATAAACTAACAAAAGTACACACCAGAGTTGCTGGATTTTCCCCAGTACTTTTCTTTCAGCCTGAGATTTGTCAATGGAGGCACTCTGGATTCTAAAACTTCCTACCTTCTCTGGCCTTATAGGTATAGAATGTACAGTTTGTGAGTGATACTGGGGTGAGGGGTATGTTATGAATCATAAGCAGAAAGTAGCCCTTCTGCACATGGGCAAATGTTGCCTGCTGAAACACCTAGGGAGACGAAGTTTGCAGAGAGAACAAATACCCACTTTTATTCAATTCAAAACTAATAAAAGATAGTAAGAGTTGCACTGCTTTTTAAATGTCATGAGTACATTAAAAATAACTTACATAGAGAAAAATTGAGAACAACCTACATGTAAATAAATTCTAGATCCAGTATAATTTAACGTAATTTGGCTCTAAATTACAAGAATAAAGTAGGTTTATATATATTACCACAAAAGAGTGATAATCATATATGGTTAGATAAAGAAACACATGTAAATTTCAGAATAGTATGGTTCATGGCTTCTATTTTGTTTGCTTAAAGACAGAAAGAAAGAAGGAGAGGGGAGGACAGTGGAGGGGAGGGGAGGAGAGACGAGGAAAGAAGAGAGGGAAGAATAAAGGAACAGAGGGAGGGAAGGAAGGTGAAGGATTCAGGAGGTACACCTGATATATTTCTCCACTGTTAGCGTGTCTTTACAATGAACCCCAAATCCTTTCACAATCATAAAGAAAATATTTTAAATAAGTAGTTTCCTAATATTGAAATTAATAAAAATATTTAAAAGAAACTATTTTTGTGGGTCTGTAAGTGCCAGTTGTTTTCCTGTGATTGTGAGGATATAACTTCTGCTGATTTCCAGGTATGTTTCTCCCTTTGCACATGAGCTGATTTGTGCTTATCCCTTGATAAGCACAGGCAATAGATACAGCTACATTTTAAATCCATATCACCTTACTGATTTAAATAAATTATAATGCAGCTATTTCACAGTGATTCAAATGATGCATAATGCAAAATAGTTCCTAATTCCTGCATAGCAGCTTTGTAGAGTTAAGGCTACACAAGTGATCTAGGGACTGTTTCTATGCGAGATGTAGTACAGAAACTATGCTCAATTCTTTTTTTATATTATACTATATATTTTTATCAATTTGATGAAATGCATTTGTTTGAAAATAACCAATATACTACTGGGGAACTAACACGATTAGCCAGTATATGCCAATAAATTGTTTGGGTTAAAACCATTAATATGATACAAACATTTTTCATTAATCTCCACTTCATTATAGTGTGCTAATTGTGAATTCTTTGTATGAGCCTAGATAAGATGTTAGCAAAATTTTTTTGTTAAGGGCCTGATAGTAAATATTCTAGGCTTCGTGGGCCATACAATTTCTGCTGTAACTACTCAGCTTTACAATTGTAGCATGAAAGCAGCCATGGGTAATACGTAAATGAGTGGGCATGGTTATGTTCCAATAAAACTTTATTTAAAAAAATAGGTGGCAGGCAAAATATGGCCCTTGAGTCTTAGTTTTCCAATCCCTGGTCTAGACTGTGGACAAGACTAGAAGGAGAAGTCTGTTATTAAATAAATAACATAACATTAGCATCAGGTTAAAATCTTTCTGAAAGGTGAACATGGGAATTGGTAGTTGAGAGCATGACTAGATTGGGTAATATTCCTTTACTCTTCTCATTTCAACTCTTTTGGCAAATGAGGATTTGGGGTGGATCTTTCCTTAGACTGTCTACCTTCAATAAACTTGCCAGTTAACCAATTTCTGATTTCTCTGTTCATCAGTGTTTAACTGGAGGGCAAGAAGACTTGGATATATGTTGTAAATAGAGATAGAGATAAGAAATAATATCAATAATAAATACAGCATTTTGCAATTTAGAAAATACTTCTTATTGGATTCTCATGATTATTACCAGTGTCATTTCCAACTTTTACACCTGGGGTCCTGGGCCCAGATGTATTTGTCAGCTGAGTTGACAGAAGACTAGATAGACGGAGAAGCTGAGAGAGTTTAAGAGACACATGCGGGTATACACAATCAGTAAGTGCGCAACCACATCATGAATACTCATCTGAAGATTTCAAATACTATCCTATTATCTTCACTATCTGAGCAGGTAGAGTTACCTTTCCGGCATGGTTCAACCCTATGTCATTCTTCTAAAGATTTGTTCTATAGAGTAAATTCTAGTTCAGATTTGTGTTTTAAAAGAGTATCACTGAATATGATGTGTTGGGACATTTATGTGATAATGTATCCTTATGGAGCTGTGGTGCCCATCTTAGTAGAAAGGGCACAACTGTTTATATGTATGAAGTGTAAAGTGAAGACTAATACAATAGTTAGTTTGTCATTTATTTCTATCCATCTGGGAATCTCTCGAGGTTGTTTTATCTTGGAATTCTCTGTGGCTGTACATAGACAGGTCTGCTGAAAGCTCTGTGTGTGTGGTGTGTGTGTGTGTGTGTGTGTGTGTGTGTGTGTGTGTGTGTATGGTTGTGGATATGGATGGGTGTCCATACTCATTGGTTCTGCCACTTAGCCAAGGAGACTAATCAAGTGAAAAGCTGGCTTACTGTTGCCTGGCAGTGACCTGGTGGTTGTGCCCCTGCCATTTCTCCCCAGTTCCTACCAAGGAGATGCTATGGAGACTGAGACTGCTGCTTGTAAACCTTGTCCTCTGGTCCCCTGCTTTCAGTGCCCATGCCTTTCTTTGCCTGTGACAACTGCTTGGGTCCCAGCAGCACCCATGCGTCACCTGAGCATCCTGTCGACCACACAGCCTGCCCTCTTCCTGAGGCTTTTTCCCTGGTACCCTGTCTTGATATCAGTTTTGTGGAGCTTTGGGGTAGCACTAGTGAAACAGAGGTAGATATAAGAAATAATATCAATAATAAAGAGCACTAAAACTGATTTGATTGATTTGAAACTGATCAAATCCTGAGACTCAGGGGGAGTAGTATGTTCCCAGATACAGTTATACCTTATCATAAATGTTCACACCTCACATACCCAGAACTCACCCATCCATTCACTACTTGGACTACCACAGAGGAGCAAAGCCATTTACTCTATATAGGGCCCCTTGAATGCCACTCAGAGCCCATTTACTCTTACTTGGCATACAATTTTAACCAATTTGGCTATTAACTATGAAGGGAAAGCAATTAGGTGGGGAGGGCGGGGGAAGAAGTATCCAGAGACAGCTTTCTCTTTCAGCACTCCTCATCCCAGGAATGGTGCCACTGTGGATCCAGATGCCAAAACCTACACCTACAAGCCATTTTAGGTCCCTCCTTCAGTCTCCAAGTCCATTGATTCTCCCTCCCCGGTAATCTCCAGTCCCCGCCCCCCATATCTAGTCTAGCTGGCCCTCCGCAGTTACTGTCATCATTGTCTTCTCCCAGCATCTCAGCCCTGGCCTTGGTGCAGAGTTCCATTCCGCTGGTCCTGACCTCCAGTGCATGTGCTTCCACATGAAGCAGATAGGCCTGTGGAAGCACAGCTGCTTAGAGGACTTCCCTGCTTGCATTTCATCACCTTCCCCTTGTTGTTAACACAATGGCAAACTCCCTATTAGTACCTAGAAGGGGATACATCCCTGTTTGCCCAGGGGTTAGTCTCCATATGTATGGGCTCTCACGGACTAGTTAGTAAAAGCACTGCCCTTCACTGTCAGAAGCGTCCCAGCTTGGATGGTTGGATCATTAGGCCCCCTCGTCAAGCCCTGCATGATACGCCTTTTGCTTGTGGGTTCTCATCTCTTGCTAGTATGACCTCTTCCCACCCCTGGTCTCCACCAGCTTTCTCTCTTCGTCTTTCCTGATCCAGCCAAATCAAAATTCTTCTGTTCTTGACTTCACCATGCACCTTCTTAAAACCAGACCATTGCATATGTTCTTTTCCCTTCTCTGGAACGCGCTGTTTCTCTCCTTCCTGTTCTCCCACACTCCTTCTTCGCCTGGTTAACTCTTTCCCATTTTCTGATCTCAGATAAAATAACATTCCCTTTAGGAAATCTTCCCTTCCCACCTAACAAGGGGCTCAGTGGCCCCTGTGGTCTTCCCATGAGGCCACATGTGACCTAGTTTCTCACTGCCCTCCCCACAGGCCAGCATCTCATGGACAACATTGTGGTCACCACTGTCTCCACGGCACACAGCATAGGGTCAGGCTCTCCATAGATAGCATTGAATGAAGGAAGAAAGAAGCACATCCCAGCCAATCAGTCTCCTGGCCAACCTCATCCCCTACTGCAAGGTTTTCCCTTTCCACCTGAGATAAAATCTAACCTTCTTTCATTAGGGTGAGGCCTTCTTTCATTAGGAGGAGGCCTTGCTGCCTCTCTGTCTACTAGCCAGTCTCTGATCTTTTCCCACTGTGGGCACCCCACACCCTTTCCCACCTCCTTAGGGCCTCAGCACCTTGTGAGATCTCAGCTGCAAGGTCATCTTCCCTACCTCCCCTTCTCCATATCACCTTGCCCTGATTTTTGGGAGCCCTTATAACAGGCATTTCTTTCTTTCTTTTTTTTCCACTTGCTCCTTGACCTCTCTCTCCCACCTTCACCCCTGAAAGTCTCAGTGGGCACTTGTACTCTTGTGTTTTCTCTGCTGCATCTATTAAAAGGGTGTCTAGCCCATCGAATGGGCTTAAATATTACTGACCACATAGGTAAGTGAATGGATAAGGAAATACTAGATTTCTTGTCCTGCTATAGTTTAAAATGGTCTTGAGGGTAAAAGGAAGAGTGATGGGTGGGAAAACTGACAGCTGAAAGAGTAGGAGCTGATCGTGTGGTATTTGGGGAGAAGGTGAAAAATAAAACCATGGATAAAACAACCAAGAAAAATAGGAACCCTAGATCCCGAGTTGTCTAGGGTTTTGCTATGTTATAGCAACACACATATATCCCATTGCAGTTACTGTTCAGCATGACAATTTTTAGTCTTTGGGGTGAATTTAAATTCTGTTTTGGTGGGAGAAGGTAATTTTAGAAATGGAAATGCCTCATGGTTAAGATTTAGGTTACTGCAGCTTTGAGTCTTAGCCATGGTGACCAGCCGTGGGCACTGGTTGTGTCACATCACACCCCTGTGAGCTGCCCTTTCCCATCCATAGAGCGAGGATCAGTACTACCTTGGGGCTGGGCGTGGTGGCTCATGCCTGTAATCCCAGCACTTTGGGAAGCCCAGGTGGGTGGATCACTTGAGGTCAGGAATTTGAGACCAGCCTGGTCAACATGGTGAAACACTATCTCTACTAAAAAAAAAAAATACAACAACAACAAAAAAATTAGCCGGGCATGGCGATGTGTGTCTGTAATTCCAGCTACTTAGGAGACTGAGGCAGGAGAATCGCTTGAACCTGGGAGGCGGAGGTTGCAGTGAGCCGAGATCATGCCACCGCACTCCAGCCTGGGCAACAGCGAGACTCCGTCTCACAAAAAAAAAAAAAAAAAAAAAAAAAGAAGAAAGGAAAAAAAAGAAAAAAGAAAAAAATCTACCTTGGCTTCAGATACATGTCCCAGTGGGGCTCTGTTATTAAATGGGATAAGAGCTTTTAGAACATTTTGCCCAGTGCCCAGCATCTTAACAAATGTAATTATTTACTCAAATAATAATGATGATGAGTGCTTTATTGAGAGGTGTTTACATCCCAGATGGTTCGAATACAGAAAGACAGAGGATATAAAGGATACAGTGCAGTATCAGAACAAGCCTTTCCCAGGACATCTCTCCCAGGAAGATGAGTCCTTCTGTATGGAGTTCTCATGTGCATACCTTAATACCAAGTCCTCTACCTTTCGACATTTTTAATGGAAACACCCAAACCACTAAGTTAGAATGTCCTGTTCATGATTTCACAAATATTTAGCTAATGATAATGGGGATTTTAGAATATGGCACAGAAACAGGTCCACACTTTGATTCACGCTCGTGTCCTTGGCCATTGGTCAACATAGTCTCTGAGTAAAATGCGGTGAAATTACCCAGAGTACCTGGACCACTCTGCAGACCACTCCAGAGACATGTTAGCAAAACACCGTTTGTGATGCTCTGGGTTTTCGTGGCCAGCATCTAATGTCCAAAGAATTCTGGTTTTACACTAAAATTGATGTTATTTTTATGGCAGGTGACAACGATAGGAAGATATGAAAGAAAATGCAACTAGCAAGAGGTCCCACCGTGCATTTTAAAATCGCGCCCTATTGAGTTGCTTGCAGGTGCGGCCGCCTTGGCTGTTATATTTATAACTGACTGGAACATTGTGAATGTGATCAGGACAACAGGAATATAGTCACGCCATCCCCTTAAACTCGGGTTGCCACTCCTGACTTTCCACAGCCTCATCTTGCCTTTCATTTGTTCATCACATACTCTGAGGGAGAGGAAATCAAACCCTTGGATCTTATATTTTATATTAGATGAATCTAGAAAGACTTGCTCAGAATAAAAAGCTACTTGGAGGAACCATATTAAATCGCTATTTTTGTAGATCAAAAAGTGGTCAAATGTCGGCAATTTCATGTGAATACAGCCTGACAACTCAGTGTTTCTGTTAGATGTTGCTATGGTCAGGCCCTTTATTGGACAGTGACCTCAGGTGTAACACATTAACCCACATGCTCCCCAATTTGTATTGTGAATTCCATTAACAGGGAGCTGAGCTTGAGCATACATGAGTTTCTGTTTTTTCTTCCCGGTGCTTCACGTAAATAAATAAAATAACTAATTAATAAGGTGGGGGGGAGGAAAAAACCTCTGGTAGGCAAAACGGTGGTCTTTCACATGCAGATTATCCCATCAATGCGGGGAAAAGCAGCCTTGTTTCCTTTTCCTGCCCTCAAACTTTAATTATTTCTGTGGGATTAAACTGTTGCTTTTGCTAAACCTGGTTAAAATGAGCTTTGAGAAATCACTGAAGCTTTTAGTGCCGCGTGGCTTCACTCTGCTCGTTCCTTAGGTCTGGGTCTCAGTGCCAGGACATCTGAGCCTGCCAGGCACACGGGCAGACCCTTGGGTGGCTGCCAGGGTCTCTGCCTCAGCTGTGATCCCTGAGCCTGGGGAGGACCATCCAGATGCCAGGTCCTATGTTGTGCTGGCCAAGGGACCTGGCGGCATAAGTCTGCTGGCACAGCCTGTGCACGGCCCCGGAGTTTTTATTTTTTTGCCTGAAACACTTTCGGACTGGAGGTTGGAGCTGAAGGCATTTCCCAGGAAGGAGCTGTTGTCTTGCCAGAACGTTGCCAGTTCTGCGGTTTCAAGCAGTGTTCGACGCACCTTCATGGGGTTGGGGGAGATGAAATGGCTTGGGTAGAAGGTCTGAAAAATAGTGGAAGAAACCTCCTGCAGCTTTACTCCCACCTGCCTAAACCCTCTGAGTTTCCCTCACTCTGGGTCATGTTGCTAATTCAGGAGCAGTCTCTTCTCCATTAAATTCATCCACTGCACAAAGCAGAAGGTATTTCTGCTTGTGTAACTGCCTCTTTCTTATCCTTAGAGGGAGAAGATGATCCTCCATCGGTAACACTTAAAAGATTAGCCTTAAGTCTAGCAGCTTTCGTGGGTATTTGCTACAAACTCTTGCTGGGTCAAGCTGGATTGACTTCATTGAACAGCCAGCTGGGTCTTGCAGGAGAACATGCAGCACAGATCAGTATGCCCCGGTTGGAGCTGAGTTCTCATTAGCATTCCACTCAGGGGTCAGGAGCTGAGTTACTGGCTTCTCCTCAAGGACCACTTTGGGGATCTGCAGATTGCTGAGTAACCAAGATAATGCGGTGTGCTGTGAGGCAATGAGGGAACTGACTATTTTTAAATAGAGAGCCTCCTGCTGTACTTGTTTTTGGCTTTTCTTCCTCCCCAGTTGTCATGAGCCTCCTGCGCTCTGGCTTCATTATGTGAGCGTCTAATGAGCCGGGAGTGGAAGCTGTGGGTCTCGCAGGGAGCAAACATTTCACCAGTGCAGCCCGGACCTAGCTTCTGGAGCCATCCCTGTCATGACACTCCCTGAACCTGCACTTGATCTCGTTGCCCAGACATTTCTTCAATTTTGACTCACTTTCATAGATATCAGATGTTTTGTTTTGGGTTTTCTTGTGACGTCCAGATCATGTGCCCAAAGTCTTGCAATCGGAATTGCACGATCCAGAGTGGCTAACCAAGACCACAGTCTTGCCACATTTCCATTGTTAGACACACTATGCTGGAGGAGACTTGGTCGACATTTGACTGTGCATTTTGACTTATTTACTTTCTGAAATCCCATTCTGCTTATCAAGTTGGTGGATGACCAAAACTTGGCTGGGCCTAAGAATCTTAAAGACAACATTGTTTTGTTTTGGTTTTCTTTGTAGAGACAGTATCTCACTGTGTCATTCAGGCTGGAGTGCAGTGGCATGATCATAGCTCACTACAGACTCAAACTCCTGGTCTCAAAGGATCCTCCTACCTCAGTCAGTCTCCTGAGTAGCTAGGACTACAGGTGTTTGCCACCACTCCAGGGTAATTTTTGGATTTTTTATAGAAACGGGGTCCTGCTGTGTTGCCCAAGCTGGTCTGTAACTCCTGGGCTCAAGTGATCCTCCTGCCTCAGCCTCCCTAAGTGCTGGGATTATAGGCATGAGCCACCATGCCCTGGACAAGATTTTTAAAAGTATGATTCCTGGGCCCACCCAAAGCCTGCAGGATCAGAACCTCTCAGCCTGGAGGCCTAGGATGTTTTTAACAAGCTTCCAAGGGAATCAGTCTGTTGCAGTCTGTCCACCGACATAGTATTAGACACTATTGGGATCTAACACAACCCCAAATCTTATACCCCAGTCACTAGTAAGAAACTCTAGCAATTCTGCTTGGATTTGTTTGAATGTCATTACATGAAACTTCATGAGCATGTGCTTCTGGAGTCTGATTTAAATGTTTGACTCATTTTTGGAGTTAAAATATTAAATAATTTCATGGTACGATATGCCTTCTAAACATGTTTATTTTTTGCTGATGTTTGACACTGGCTAATTTTAATAGCTAGCACATCAAACTAATAGTTGTGAAGGACTCTGTGCCCAGTTGCCAGTTAAAGAAAAAAAATACTGTTTTCTTATTTGAGCCTTTGAGGACACTGGGAAATAAAACCAGGCACTGATAAACACTGGTAGGCATTTATGTAGAGAAAAAAATGTCCATAAATGCACACAGTCCTCCACCACAGTGCCTGGTTCCTGTCCCTGTGTCTGCAGCAAGCCATAGTTGCCATCAGGACTGGCTACATAATTTTCAAGATCCAGTACAAAATAAAAATGCAGGGCTTCTTGTTCAAAAATTATTATGAGCTTCAAGATGGCCAATAGCAAGGCCAGGCGTGGTGGCTCATGCCTGTAATCCTAGCATTTTGGGAGGCCGAGGCAGGCGGATCACCTGAAGTCAGGAGTTAGAGACCAGCCTGGCCAACATGGCGAAACTCCATCTCTACAAACAATACAAAAATTAGCTGGGCATGGTGGCAAGCACCTGTAGTCCCAGCTACTCGGGAGGCTGAGGCAGGAGAATCACTTGAACCTGGGAGGTGGAGGTTGCAGTGAGCCGAGATCATGCCACTGCACTCCAGCCTGGGCGACAGAGCGAGATTCCATCTCAAAAAAAAAAAAAAAAAAAAAAAAGGGAAAAAAGAAAAAAGAGAGCAGCAGCAGAGCATTAAACCAAGGGCAGAGGCCGTCTGAGCACAGAGCATATGTGAATTATACAGGTCACACACCCATGAAGCTAACCCTGGATTTGTACTCAAATTTCTTAGCTCTGACGATAAATATGTTCTCTTTTCTACCTGTTTGTGGGGTGCCTTCAAAAGAGTACTGACATAATAAAAGAGTCCTGAATTATGATAGAGATTTTTGAAGTAAGGAGACTGAATTTTAGGGCAGCCTGTCTTTGTTATTTTTTAAACCAGCATTCAATTTGTTTCCACTTCATTTGCAACGGCGTGAAAGTTTATCTGACCACTGGAAGAGGCAACTTCTTTACTCACACTCCTCACATTGCAGAAAGGGCCTGGAATGGGACCCTTTCAAAGCACCCACCTCATAATCTGGGATTCCAAACTCAAGTTGAAGCAGTGCAGTGTCTGCTGTTGTTTAGACATTCTCGTTGTCTAAAGCTGGAGGGTTTTGTGGGTGGTCCCTCTCTGTTCGGTGTCACTATCAACAAATGTGTGGAAAGAAGAAATAACCGGAGATGAGGGCAAGCTTCAATCAGCTATGCCTTAATTGGTGAGTCAGTTGCACTGGACACAGGCAGAATCAATTAGGAAGCTGGACTCAGAGGGCGCTGGCCGTGCAGCCCGCCCGGCAGGAAGAGCCAGTGTGAGGCTCCACAGAAGAGGAAGAAGCGCTGCCCCCCACCACCTCCTCCTCCTAAATAAGGCTCCAGGACTGCTGAGTTGCCCAAAAGTGCTCAACTGTTTTCAGTTCTTGTATTTTCCAAGAATTCCTACTACCTACCAGGCTCTCTCAACCCCATCTATCCAACCCCTTTCTTTCTTTCAAGGGCTACCCCTCTGGGGTATCCTTAGGGGTCTCTCTGGCTCCCAGAAGACAAGTCCTGACTCAACTTCCTTCCTCTGTGACTATGTCTCAGCATCAGTCTAGCTTTCTTGAAGGCAGGATCTATCTTTCGTCCATGTCTTCACTGTTCCTGACCCGGGGAAGGCTGTTCGTTGTATGGTCTAAGCTGGCAAGTTGGATGATGGCTTCAAGGCTAAGATTTCAAAATGTGGAATACTTTCATACAGACATGCTGGGAAGAGGAGCACATCCACAGCAATGACGCTTTGTCTGTGGAATGATGTTTTCTCATGTTTAAAAAGCCCGACAATTTCTTACTACACGAAACAATCAAGAATATGGATAAGCAATAGCAAGAGAATTATAAGTTGCATGTAGTTCATTGTGACAAAGAACCAACTCTAGTATTTTTGTGTTTATCTGCAAGGCCATCATTTTATTAGATATGCATGCTTTAAAAAAAAAAAGTTTAACTTATCTAAATGTCTTTTTAAAATAAGAGTAAATTGGGATAGCCCTTACAGACCCTGAAATATCCTACTGTATTTTAGATGGATACATAGCATTCCAACCTCCTTATTATTGAAAATATAGCTTACTTCTAGGGTCTTTTATTTTTTATTTTTTGCTATTATAAACAATGCTATGATGAGCATCAGTATATTAATATTTGGATTTGTTTAATTCCTTAGGATATGGGCCTGAAATTGAGTTAAATGGTATTTAACTTTTGCCCACATGTAAAACCTTTTATGTGTGTTGATTTGCCCATTGATTCAACAAACATTTGAGTGTCTGCCTTAGGCTAAGCACCATTAGGACTTTAGGGGTATAATGGGGAGCAAGAGTGATGAAGTCCCTTCTCCCATGGAGATACAAGTTCAGGTGGAAGAAGACAGATAATAAAGTATTGTTAGACCCAGACTTTAGACCCCAATGATGCCAGCACTCACACTGCCAACCCTGATCTCAGCCCTGCCTACTCAGGGGTCCTTTGGCATGTTAATCAGGAATGTAAGTTTCTTGTATCGAAAACCAAACTCTTGGCCTTACCTCCCCAAATCACACCTTCTCCTAGTCTTCCTCATCTCAGCAAACAGCAGTCCTCCTTTCCAAGACTCAGACCCCAAATCCTAGCATCATCTTTGTTTCTTCTTCCTGGAACCCACATCCCAGTAGCTAGCAAGTCCTGTCACCTGTGCCTTCAAGAGAGCCAGCCTCTGGCCACGCTTTACCCACTCCACTGCTCTCACCCTGGGCTGAGCCACCATTCTCTGTTTCCTGAATCTTGGCAGTAACCTTCTAATAGGTTGTCCTACCTTTGCCTTCCCCAGCCCCCACTTGATCCCCAGCATCCAGCCTATTCTCCACGCAAGAGACAGAGTGCTGTGCCTTGTTAACATAAACATCAGATCACATCCCTTCTGTAGTCAACATCTCATGAAGGCCGTACTGCTGGAGTAGTTCGCAAGGGCTGCTGTGATGAAGTACCACAAAGTAGGTGGCTTAAAACAGCAGAAATGTATTGTCTCACAGTTCTGGAGGCTGACAGTCTGAAAATCAAATTGTCAGCAGAGCCAAGCTTCCCCTGAAACCTGTAGAGGAATCTTTTTTGGCCTGCTCCTAGTTTTGGTGGTTTTCCTGCAATCTTTGGTGTTCTCTGGCTTGCAGATGTATAATTCCTGTCCTCTGTCTTCACGTGGCATTCTGTGTGTCTATCTTCACCTGGTCATCTTTTCTAAAGACACCAGTCATATTGCATTAGGGGTCCAACCTACTCCAGTGTGACTTCATCTTAAGGCAGCTAATTACATCTGCAGCAACCCTTCTAGGACTGAGGATTAGGGCTTCAGTGTATCTTTTGTGGGGGACACAATTCAACCCAAACACTGGTTGAAACCCACATGCCTAATGATGGTTCTGAGAAGTTTCAAGCTCCTCACCATGCATGATAATGGCCCTTATCCTATTGTGGACTCACCTTCTAACCCCATCCATTCCCAGTCTTTATTATTCACCAGCATTTCAGACATGCAATGACTTTTCCAGCCAAGGACTTGCCTCGAATGCTACCACTCTTAGTGGGACCACCCTGACCACCCAACCACAGCAGCCCATGCTCCCTACTTCACTCTTTCTCACCCAACCCACCATACAGAACACTTGTTTCTTATTGTTACGCTATTTTACCTTAAATATCTTTAAATTTATTTGGTGTCTCTCCCCATTATTGCCCCCACCCACTAGTATGTAAGTTCTATGAGGCCAGAGGCTTTGTCTCATTTTCCAGTATGTAGATCCCAGAAAAGCATGTGCCAGTCCTTCTGGGGACATTACTGTGAATCCTAGTGCACGTCAGAATTAGATAAGTGAGTTTGTACTAAATGCAGACAGGAACTGATTGACAGCTGTGTGGCATGTATAAATAATAATCTATAGGAGAAATCATTTCATATGAATTTGATGATATTTGCTCCAGCTCATTTGAGTGACTTTTCTTCTGTAATGCCTTCAGATTATGGTGCAGACTCCTTTACTAGTAGAATAAATTGAATTTTAATTCTGAGATGAGTACAGAGTCTGATCCATTTCTGTAGCTTAGATTAACTATTCTTCCTTTTTCTTTATTTGAAGGCAGAACATAGCAATGAATCAGGGGAAGGGGGCTTATCAAATTGCATTAGAACCAGGTACTATTTTCACTTGACTATGTAATGTAACTTTATATATATATATATATTTCATTTATGAATCACATAATAACAACCAATGCATTCCTCCTATTGGCTTCTTGTTTTATACTTTTCAGGGGCTGGAGAGCAGCCTTTCTAGGGTTGAAGGAGTTATTTTCAGTACTATAAGAAGGTTGGAATAGTCGATAGAGGAAGTCTCTTTCAGCACAAGGAATAGGCTGGATGCTGGGGAGCAAGTCGGGGCTGGGGAAGGTAGAGGTAGGACAACCAGTTAGAAGGTTACTGCCAAGATTCAGGAAACAGAGGATGGTGGCTCACCCCAGGGTGAGAGTGGTGGAGTGGGTAAAGCGTGGCCAGATGCTGGCTCTCTTGAAGGCACAGGTGACAGGACTTGCTGGCTATTGGGATGTGGGTTCCAGGAAGAAGAGACAAGGATGATGCTAGGATTTGGGGTCTGAGTCTTGGGAGGATTGCCATTTGCCGAGATGAGGAAGACTAGGAGACGCCATTCTGGGAAACAAGGCACATGAAGTGAGTTGAATTCGGAGGCTCCCGCTCGCTCCATTCCAGCCTGCATTTGTGGTGCTGCAGCCCTGCAAATGTAGCCCTGTGCGCACACACTGGAGCACTGGATCCCTGGGTCATGAACAAGAAGACGACGTGGCCTGAAGGCTCTACTTCTTTTCACCCCCTCTCTAATCCCTCTTTGCTCAACTCTGACTATAAAAGTCTAAATTAACATAATCATAGTATCCACAACCTTTTCAGCAAAATGCACCTATCTCCCAGTCCTGTGCTGCAGATATTCGCTTCATGCTTGCCTGCATATTCCTCTGAGTCACTTCAGATCCTCTTCACTACTTCATATGACTTTTTGAGAAACATATTTTTTAATTTGCCTCAGAAGTGAAGTTGAAAATCTTTTCCATGTAGTCCTTCGAGCCAGAGAAGCAGTAAGTGGACAAAAACCCAATTTTAAGGTTTCCATTTCAATAGTATTTTGCCATTGCCACTGAGAATGAACAACATTAAGGGAGCCCCTGGGCAGAGGAATTGGCACTGTGCAAGGGAAGGACATACTTTCTGTATCTCCAGTGGGCATGTTCATGTCCCTCTAGATCTGTTTCTCCCCACCTCCTGTCCCTGAGGTCATGCGGCACTATAGTTTCTGACTGTGGAATGGCTCCCCATGCAGCTGGTTTTTTTGTTTTGTTTTGTTTTTTGAGGCAGAGTCTCACTCTCTGTCACCCAGGCTAGAGTGCAGTGGTGCCATCTTGGCTCACTGCAACCTCCACCTCCTGGGTTCAAGTGATTCTCCTGCCGATGAGGCCGGACTCCCTGCATCATTGCCATCCCCTCATATATCCCCCGGCAAGACTCTCCAAGTGATGAGAAATTCCCACAGTGCCGCTACACACAATAGCCAGAGTAAAAAAAAATACTGACAATACTAAATGCGGGCTAGGACACAGAGCAATTGGATCTCTCATAGGTTGTTGATAGGAACGTAAAATAGTGCAGCCATTCTGGAAAACAGTTTGGCAATTTTCTCATAAATTTAAACATATGGATACTGTATGACTTTACCTATGACCCAGCAATCCCATTCCTGGATATTTACCAAAAGGAATGAAAAATTATGTTTATACAAAGACTTGCACATGAATGCTCCTAGCAGTTTTCATTGTAACCACCCAAACTGGAAACAACCCAAGTTTCCTTCAGCACGGGAATGAATAAACAGACTATGGTACATTCATACAGAAGAACTGCTAAGTTAAAAAAAGCCAGTCTCAAAAAGTTACATACTGTATGATTCCATTTATATGACATTCTCAAAATAAAATTATAGTGATAGAAAATGATCAGTGGTTTCCAGGGACTAGGAGTGGAGGGGAGTATAGGGCGATAAAGGGTTATTGCAAGGGAGTTTCTTTATGGTGATAGAACAGTTCTGAATCCTGATTGTGGTGGTTGTGACACAAGTCTATTCTTGTGATAAAATTTCATAAAATTGTACACACAACAAAAAAATGAATGTGAAAACTGGTGAAATCCAAATGAAGTCTGTAGTTAGGTTAACAGTGTTATACCACTGTCAGTTTCCTGGGTTTGAATATTATACTACAATAAAGATGTTATCATTGGGGGAAGCTGGGTGAAGGGCACAGGAACTTTCTGATACTAGCTTTGCAACTTTTATGTCAGTCTATAATTATTTTTTAAAAGGCTTTAAACATTCCCCTAATAGCAGCTAATAATTCCTGAATATTTGCTAGTTTCCAGCCCTTTGCTCATCTCATTTGACCTTCCCAACAGCCTTGTCTGGTGCATTCTGTTTTGCCCATTTTATGGAGGAAGAGATGTTACGAAAATCACACACACAATAAAGAGTAGTATGGCTAGGTTTTGCATGCACGTGGCCTGGCTCCAGAATTTGTGTGTTTAACCACCGTAAGGTTTTTCCTCCCTTGCCAAGCTTTGAGATAACAAAGACTGGTGTAGACCATGCTGTGTGTAGACCACTTTGCTGGAAATCTCAGTGGTAGTGCTCAAAGATGTGGCTTCATCCTTGCTGCTTGCTATGATGAACATGACTCTTGCAGATTTAAAAATGTCATGGCCAAATTTCTTTGCGCAATAAAGTAATGTGTTTTAAAAGAATGCACAATCTATTGAAGAAATGTATAACTAGGGACCTTCTTGCCATAGAAGAGGCTTGCAGGGGATAGAGGCTAAGTAGTGTGGGGAGGTGAATGGACCCCATGACGTTGAAGCCATTGAGTTGTGATCTGGAGTCTGATACTTGCTAGAGACCTTGAGGAACTTAACCTTTTTCGTCTGTTTTCTTAACTACAACCCAAGAACCTATGCCTCCTGACTGAGCAATTGAGGGGGTGTTATGGACTGAATCATGTCCCCCCAACAACTGTGTGTTTAAGCCCTAATCTTTAATGTGTATTTGGAGATGGGGCCTTTAAAGAGACAGTTAAGGTTAAATGAGGTCATAAGGGTGTGGCTGTGAGCCAATATGGTAGCTGTTCTTATTAGAAAAAGAGGCATCAGTGATACACATGCACAGTGAAAAGGTCACTAAAAGACCTAGTGATAAGGTGGCCATCTGTATACCAAGAAAGGAGGCCTCGGGAGAAGCCAAAACTGCCGACACCTTCACCTTAGACTTCTAACCTCTAAAACTGTAAGAAAATATAGATCTGAGTGGCTTAAGCCACTCAGCCTGTGATGTTTTGTTGTGGCAGCCCTGGCAAATTAATACAGAGGGAAACTCAGATAGACTCTAAACGTGTTTGAAATATCTCAGGTCCTGCTTGCACATCAAGTGACAAGGATGGCTGTGGAAACCTGGCATCTAACCATGTTTCTTAGAAAGAGCAAGTTCATAGCATGCTTCTCCTTTTTTATTGGCAAAGCAGGTGTTTCTCAAAAATGTACTTGAGGAAATAGCAGTTCTATGATGTGATCTTAACACGTCCGCTAATAGGGAACAGAGAGGAGGGGGTTTTGTGGTCAAAGAAAGCTTAAAATGACAAATGAAAAAAATTTTAAATATGCTTCTTCACCACACGACTTCTCAGAGCTTTTAAAATGCTTGTGTATATTGTGACTCTCTCCAAGAGTTAAATAATTTATTTTATGGCATTTCCAAAGCATTTTCTAGGAACACCATTTAATCAAGTAAGTTTTGTAGGTGGTGATTTGGGAAATGTTGTTGTGTACATTTTCTTGGACGGCCATAACAAAGTACCACAAACTTGGTGGCTTAAAATAACAGAAGTATATTGTCTTACAGTTCTGGAGGCTAGAAGTTTGAAACCAAGGTATTGGCAGGTCATGCTTCCTCGGAAGCCTGCAAGGGAGATTCCTTCCTTGCCTCTTCTAGCCTCTGGTGGTGGCTATCGATCCTTGGCCTTCCTTGGCATCTAGATGCATCACTCCAGTCTCTGCCTCCATCTTCATATGGTCATCTTCACCCTGTGTGTGGCTGTGTCTCTTATAAAAACGCTAGATTAGGGGCCCATCCCAGTGACCTCATATTAACTTAATTAATTACGTTAGTAATGGCCCTATCCTAAATAAGATCACATTCTAAGGTACTGGGGTTTGGACTTCAACATGTCTTTTTGCAGGACACAATTTAACCCATAATACCTGCCAAGTACTTTGCAATGATTGGGATACATGCCTTAAAATTTTACTTGGTTACTTTTCGTTTTTGCTTCTTTCAGGCTAAGCTGCTCCTTTTAATTTTACACTCCTTAAAGCAGAGGATTTTAATTTGCAGTGTAGCAGCAGAATCATAATGCTTTTTTTTTTTTAAGTCCGTTTCAATGCCCTACCCACCTCAAGACTGATTCAGTGGGAGCTGGGTGATGGGTGTTAATGCAGGTTTGTTTGAAAACTGAAGCATTTGACAGACTAGATCTGACTGTATCTGGCTTCTATATTTCAGAATTTTCCAGGACCCATGTTTTGGATCTTTTCTTCTTTCCTTTTTTTTTCTTTTTGAGATGGAGTTTCACTCTCGTCACCCAGGCTGGAGTGCAGTGGCATGATCTTGACTCACTGTAACTGTAACCACCGCCTCCCAGATTCAAGTGATTCTTCTGCCTCAGCCTCCCAAGTAGCTGGTATTACAGACATCCGCCACCATGCCCGGCTAATTTTGTATTGTTGGTAGAGATGGGGTTTCACCATGTTGGCCAGGCTGGTCTCGAACTCCTGACCTCAGGTGATCCACCCGCCTTGGCCTCCCAAAATGCTGGGATTACAGGAGTGAGCCACCACACCCTGCCTGGACATTTTTTTTCAAATACCTCTTCTCTAATCCCTGGCTTTTCTTCGCCAAATGTAGCATCGCCCTCTTTGCAAGTTTGTGGACAGCATTCATGTCCCAGTCTTATCCCAGAATCCAGGAAAGAATGTGTCAGTGAGTGCTGTATCTGGAGGTTTGTCCTAATTGAGGGACTCAGCCAAGCCTCGTGCAGAAATAACCTTTGAGAGTTTGTGTCAAAGTCACAACTCCACCTGAGCAAAGTGTGAATACAGCCTAGCTGGATTGAAATACATGTCACACCTAACTGTACTCTGTGCATGTGGTTCTGTGTGTGGGGATGCATGGGGTTTAGCTGTGTTTTTGAGTCACATGTTTCTAATTGTCAACCCTTTCTCAGACGGTATTTCTGCTTCAGGAGGTTATTTGAATCATCTTGGCTAAGCAGCCTTCAAATAACTCTCTCTCAATTTCTGCATGTCAATTTATGTCCCACTTCCAAAGACTCAGACTGTGAATGACTTCTCTCCACAGATAGGGTCACCTTAGCCAGGTGCTCTTTTGTCTTTGTCTTTAAGATCCTTGGTGTGCCACTTATTGATTCAGCAGTGGAATCATTTTTCTTCTAAAATGCTGACTGGAAGGGCCATTTTGTTAATTTAGTGTGCCTGCTTTTGTGCTCAAATGAGTAGTTTCCATAAAATGAGAAACATGGAATGATGAGGCCTGGGGCCCAGGACTATCCAGTCTCTTTGCTGACTTGGTCTCAGAAAGGGGGTGGAGTGCAGAGAAGAATCTTTTCAAACTTGGATAAGAATTGCCATCTTTAATATGTGATACCACCTTGAAAATTATATTCAGATTTTGGCAGGATGTGGAGAGAGAAGAGTGAAAAAAAAAATCAGTGCCTATTCCAGAATCGCATATTGGAGTTATGTGGCATTTTCTGTTTTAAATAAATGAATTCAGCACACATACTGTTAAAGGGATGTTTGTTTTATCTTTCGAAAAGGATCATGCATCATATTAACTTATTCCTGGTGCTGTACACATTTGCACAAGGACTATATTAAAAGGAAGAGATTTAAAGAAAGAATGCCAATGCCCCCATGGTCTGTCCCAGGAGTTGGGATTCACACCAGTTCTGTTCATTCTACTAGTTGGCTGTCCCAGGGTTGGTTTCCTTCCCCTTCCTCTGCTCCCCTTGGGAAGAGGAAGAGGAAGGAAGTGAGGAAGAGAGGGAAGTGAGGGCTTACAGCTGAAAATCAGCAGAGCCAATAAGGTGGGTTCCATAAAGCACACCCTGTTGGAGGAGAATTTCTTTTTCCTAAATGGTCTGGTGTTTCCTGGTCAGACATCTTTGATCTGGGCCGGTTTCAGGGCCTTCTCCTGATTGACTGAGGAAACCCTCTCATGGATTCTCCCTGCTGTTGCACTGACATTAATCATTTTTTTTAGACTCATAATCATAGTCTACCTGGAATCAGAAGCAGCCCAAGGACCGTGAGCAACAGAGAAAAAGGCCAAGTTGGCTTTATGGAAGTAAAGTCAGGGAGGCCCGTGGAAGGCCTGAACCCCAAGTGAAGGACCTTCTCTAGCTCCTGCATTTATTATCTTTGTGAAGAGTATTATCCAGATGTCAGATGATTAGCATATTTTGCTAGTTTCTCTGTGATGGGAATAATGAATTCTTTCTAAATTTCCTTTAATTTCAATTAGAGGTGAGTAGAGATATATTAATTATACTCATGAAATCTACTGCCTACCAGGTCAAAAAGTAGATAAGGTCCAGGGCGCTGGGAAGATGCCCTGATAACTGAGAAAGAGCAAGCTCTGGGAAGGGATAAGACCAGCGGATGAATCTGAGGATGCCTACCTGCTAATCGCCCCATTTAAAACTTAGTTTTTCAGCCAGCTGAAATGACCCACCAGTCTACAGTGGCAGACAAGACTGGACCGCCTTATTACCCCCACAGTCCTACATTGCTGGGATAAGCAGTCTGTGCAGAGGAGGGGCCCCTGTATTTGCTGTGGCTCAGGGATACAGGAAAGGGTTTTGGTGAACTGCTG
The DNA here is from genome assembly GCF_000001405.40 of Homo sapiens. NCBI lineage: Eukaryota > Metazoa > Chordata > Mammalia > Primates > Hominidae > Homo > Homo sapiens. Next base: position 54,612,977 of record NC_000003.12, read on the forward strand.
TGAAAATGGACCACCCCCATGACTAGACATGACAAGCATCCTGGCCACATTCACAGGTGGATACAAACAATAAATGTCATGAGACTGTCTCCACTAAGTGGATCAGAGTCACAGTGGATATTTAGTTGACCTGTGACTTAACGGCCACAGACCTCTTACAGTGTACATTATGTTTATTAATTTGCATTTTTACCTGCCAGGTAGACTGTACATTTGCAAAGAGGTGTTTTGCTTCAGAAAAATGACTTGGATAATTTAACAAGGTATATCTTTGATCTTCCAACAGTGAATTCAAAAAAGAAAAAAGTTTCCTGTATTGGTGTGTCATAAAAGTCTTTGTTGCAGAGATTTCTCTGCTGTTTTGTTTCCCTTGGTAGTGACTGAATCTTAATTTTCTGTAATGGGAGCACTTATTTCATGTCCTGAGGATGAAAATCCATGTTTCCATTTCTTGTGAATTACAGCTGTTTGGTTTTATAGCCTGTGAATGGCCCTGGGCCTCTCTTGCCTTGTTCTTTGAGGTCCACGTTTCTGTTTACTCATGGTCCACTGCTGCTAATCTAAGGGTCGCTGAGAAGGCTTTCTATCCCATATTATGAACCTACAGCATGTCATTCCATCTTACCTCTGAGTCTTAAGGTCTCTTGATCCTTAAACAACCACTGTAGCCAATAACTTAGTGAACACAAACACTGAATGCCTGGAAGTTCCTGCTGAGTCTGGCTCCTTGCTGCATTTCCAGGCTCATGGTGCGCTGTGTTCCTTTTTCCTTTCTTTGCTCTGGATTCCATGACTTTGTTACAATTATTTGTGTATGCTCTGTTTCCTCCTACCCCGGAGCCTTGGTACCTACAAACACTATTTCTCCATCTAAAAATCTCATGCTCTAGCAGCCCTGCCTTTACCTCCAGGCCCTCCTTTAGTGCCTCTGTTTTATACTACGAAATACACTACCAAATCACCATGAGCCTCTCCCTGATGGTACTTGCTACTCCTGCATGTAGCTGTGTGCTTATTGATTGAGATCTCTCTCCACTGGCCTGTGAACTCTGCAGGAAGAGACCAGGTCTCCCCTTGTTCAATTGATCAAGCACAGCATGTTGTACTTGGTGGCTTCTTAATAAACATTTGATGACTCAATGAATGCTGCAAGGATATTGGGATAAAATGTGTACCATGAGGAAAGGGAAGGAGAGTCTTTGGTAGCAAAGATGTGGGGCTAATATAGGCAGACCTCACTTCACTTAGACCAGAGGACGTTGTACCTAATGGGTGTCCTTGGAGGCCCCTTCCATTGCTGAGGATAGAATTTGAATTCTCACTATGGTACTGGCCCAGGGCAGAGCCTGTCTTACTCAAGCATGAAACTCTTGCCTATTTCATCAAATTGTTCTAATGCCAATCTTTCCCTCACCATGTTTCCTGTCCTTGGAGTAAATTCCAGGCCAGGGTCTAGCAAGTGCTTCCCCACTGTATTTACTTGTCACTTTGCCTGTCAGGTTTTTGGAGTAATGTTTGCATCACATTTTGTGCAAGCTTCTCAGATGGCCATGTTACACTTTTCTTCTTTGCCCTTTTACTTGGCCCTCTTCAGTTATTTTTTTCTCTTCCTCCTTCCTTCTCATTCCCCAGGTGTATGCTCAAGGAAAATACAGAGATAATAGAGTGTAAATGGTTAAGAATGGTGAATTTCTTGGTTCCTTAGAGAAATGGCCGATTCTAGGTTAGGGGCAGAAGATGAACAAGATGAGTCTGTAACCTCTTGCTTATTGTGATAGCAGGAAGCTATCAACTACTGTATGGGGCCTTGGTAGCAAGTCTGAAGAGAAGCGGCTCCCACTGGCCAAAGATGGGATAAATTAAATATCCCTCCACCACTCCCCAAAAAAACACACAAAAATCATCAACATTTGGAAACATATAATATATGTTACAACCCATGCTGAGACTAAAATGATGAAGCAGAAAAGCCATTGATGATACTAAAAAAGAAAAAGGGTGTGGGAGATCCTCATTGATCACCTTCGGACCAATCTTTATTTTGAAAACCAGTAAAGAAATGAACGGCAGCTAACATTTATCCAATTTTCTTCTACAAGTGGTTCTTCAGCTGACTTAACAGTGCAAAAGAGGAAGCACTTCTTCGCAGAAATTGGTTATCTAATAAATGAAGAGAGATGATGAAATTAAAATATCACTATGTTGCAGCTTCTGATGAATTAATGAATCTGGGCATTGGTCGTTGATGACTACCATCATCGCAAGGAGACTACTACTCATTTGTTGGAGGGAAGTAAAAAAACATCACGAATGAATAGCAAATAAATAAGTAAATACCAAATAAATAAATAAATATGTAGTCAAATCTGAATCCAATCAAACTGCTCAATCTCACCATCAATTAAAATAGAGGGACAGAAGAACATGTTAAATGACACCTCAGAAATACAGTTAGTAAAATCTGGATTCTGGAATGCTCTTCATGACCAACAAGTTATTTCTTCAACAAAACTTGTGAGAAAAATAATGGAGAGGGAACTCTAGAATAAGAGACTTAAGAGATATCTCAATCAATCACAATGAGTAGATCTTAACATGAATCCTCATTCAAACTGTGTAACTGTGACAAAGTGAAACGTGGTTTGTTTTTAAAATGTTTACAGATGAAATAATATGATATCTGGGATGTGCTTCACAATAATCTAGATGAGTATATTAGTTATCTGCTGTTGTGGAACAAATTACCCCTAAACTTAATAGCTAAAACAGGGGTCCCCAACCCACAGGCCACAGATCAAATACCATACTGGTCTCTGGTCTGTTAGGAACCAGGCTGCACAGCAGGAGGTAAGTAGCGGGTGAGTGAGCAAGCATTACCACCTGAGCTCTACCTCAGATCAGCCAGCAGCATCATTTGATTCTTACAGGAGTGCAAACCTTATTGTGAACTATGCATACAAGGAATCTAGGTTGTGTGCCCCTTATGAGAATCTAAGTAATGCCTGATGATTTGAGGTGGAACAATTTCATCCTTCGCCCTGCCCCGCTACCATCCCGGGCTACCTCCCCATACCCCTGTCCTTGGACAGATTGTCTTCCGTGAAACCAGTCTCTAGTGCCAAAAAGATTGGGGACCATAGGCTTAAAACAACAAACATTTATTATCTCATGTAGTTCCTGGACTCAAGAACCCAGGAGTAGCCTGACTGGGTTGTTCTGGCTCAGGGTCTCTAGTGAGGTTGCATTCAGGATGTAGGCTGGGGGCTGGTCTTCCAAGGGCTGGCTAGGATGGAAGATCCATGTCTAAGCTAATTCATATGGCTCTTGGAAAGAGACTTCAGTTCCCTGACAGCTGTTGGTTGGAAGCTTCAGTTTCTTACTCCATGGCATCTCCCCAGGGCTGCTTCCAGCAAAGCAGTTGGCTTCCTCCAGAGGGAGGTATCCAATAGAGATCAGACGAGCAACTGTGATAGAAGCCATAGTGTTACTTACAACCTAATCTTGCAGGTGGCATACCATCACTTCTATGACATTCTCTTTGTTGCAGACACCAACCCCTGGTGTAATGTAAGAGGGCCCAACACAAGGGTCTGCGTATCAGTGGGTGAGAATCATAGGAGGCCATTTTGGAGGCTGGCTGCCAAAAGGGACGTCGATGTAGATGGTGTCAGGATATTGATAAAACAAGATTGGCTGTGAGTTGATCATTAAAATTTTCTAATATAAAAAGTTTCTGGCAAAAAAACTTTTTTAGAGACCAAATGCTTGGATATAAGCTCCAGCTCTACCATTTATTAGCTGTGAGACCTAGTCAAGTGATGTGAATTCATTCTCTCATTCTTAAAAGGAGGGTAATAAGAGTACCTACCTTCTGTCTGGGGATTGCTGTGAGGATTGAACTCATGAGGACTCAGGGACAAGGCTGGTGTGTAGAGGGCACCCAGAGAATATTAGTTGATGGTAGCAGTCTCTTCTCTTCTGTCTCGGGCATTCTCTTTCTGCTGGGCCTGAAAACATCCCTGGACCACCTATTTTCTAGAAACTCTTTTATCTAACTTTTAAGAAGCATATTGTGATATCCCTGGGAAAAGCTACCATTTTTTCTTTATCTGATCTTCTCACTACATGTATGTCTGCCCCCACATGCTGCTGCAGAGGAAATGAGTGCAGTGAGAGCATGCATGTGGAAGTGCATGTGTTTTGGCACACCTTTGCTACCCTGGCCTGCATCAGTGTGTTTTTCTAGAATATGGACCTTGCTACTGCCACTAAAAGGCTGTACCTCTTCTGAGAAGCTGCTTGTAAGTCGACTGTTCTTATCTGTCCAGCACCTCTCTCTCTCATCCTTTACATGAAATCCCTCTGTCCTTAGAAAACCCATTTGGTGAAGTCAGGTAGGACTTTCCCCATTTCTCCCCACCACACCCTCAAGTTCAGACGTGGTGATGCGATCCAGACCTGAATAAGTCAGAGGTCCCATTCTCTGGCCACCTGATTGGCTCAGGCCCAGACACACATCCTAAGTTGGCCTGATCAGAGTATTTCTGGGGACTTTTCTGATAGCAATATTGCTGAAACTGCTCTTGGGTAAAGTTGCCAGATTTTGCAAAACAAACAAACAGGGCACTCAATTTTAAATATCAGATAACAAAGAATACATTTTTATTATATTCATTGTTATGTATCCAAAATTCAAAGTTAATTGGGCATCCTATATTTATCTGGCAACCATAGCTCTTGCCAGTGGGCAGGCTGAGCTAGGAGGATGTGAGACCACTGATGTAGGCAGCTGTGTGCTCAAGAGCTTGCTGGGGGAATGAAACCAAGTAGAGCCAGGAGATACAATAGAGAAGACAGACTGAGCCCTGAGGCCACCACTGGGTCCCCTGTCCCTCCCTTCACTGAGACAGCTGCACTCCCAGTCTTCTCGTTCTAGGAGCCAGTGACTTTCCTTTTTCTGTATGTAGAGTTTGGGTTTTTTTTTTTTTTAATTGTTGTTGTTTGTTTCTAGAATTTCAACTTGGATACTTTCATAGACTAAAAATACAGTGCCATAAGGGATTGTAAGCCACAGGTGCCCTACTAATAAGATCTAGTGTTTACTGAGTGCCTACTATATGCTGAACTCTGTATGAAGCACTCTGTCTACATTATCTTATTAAGTCCTCACAGTCACTCTGCATGGTATAAATGAAGAAATTATTGACTCAATTCTTTATCTTCCATGAGGTTGTTATAATTATCTTACTACACATATGCACTACAATGTGAGTACAAAGATGTTTACTATAGTAATGTTGAAAACATAAAATACTGAAAATTTAAACTTTCACTAGTAGGGGACTGGTCAAAGTTCAAATTGATGTTGATACATACATATATATATATATATATATATGCACACACACACACACACACACACACACACACACACACAGTGCCTTACAGGGTATTTGTTTATTCACAGACTCAAATAAGAATGGAAGAAATTCAGACAATTAAGTTTAATACCCATATGTAATTAAGCTTGGCAAAATACAGAGATCATTGAAACACATTTTAATTGAATACAAGTTTTATAAAACGCTACAAATCTTCCAAGTGTTCATACAGAAAAAGTCCAAATTTAGGTGTCCCTGGGGTCACATTTCTTTGCTGAGCTTTCCCAGAAATGAATGTAGCCACCACTGCTTGGGGAATATGGCTCCTAACCTGTGTCTTAGCACACGCTGCTCCCCCAATCCTGGGCCATAGCTTTGCATTGAGTGCAAAGAACTGTAGGTGTGACTGCGAGGTGATGGTTTGATGCAGACGAGTGCGCTGGCACCCACAGCACTGGTCAGCATCACATTCCCCCTGGGTGTTGGCTATCAATACGTACCTCTTCTGAGCTGAGGCATCCTCAGAGCTGGCACTGTGTTTGTAATGAATTGAAACTGACTTCAGTCTACCCTGGCACACTGCAGCCACTGAAAGCATTCTTCCTCCAAGAAACGCATTTGAATCAAGTCAAGATTTTCATGAAGTTCATAAAGGATACATGGAGACCTTTGGAAATTTCAGAAAGACGTGAAGGGTGAGGCCTACTGTGTACACACACTGCCATGCCATGCAGAAACACAACACAGGCGTCCTGTCCATGCAGCACTGGGCTTCAGCTTTTCCCAGGCTTTCAGGGGTTCGCAAAGCTTAGTTCCCTGAGATGCACTGACAAGTCCACATGACCTCACAAGAAGGACGATGAGCTCACATAATACGTCTCCTCTTGGAGCTGGCCTTGTTCACAGGCATGGTAATCATCATGTCCCTCCCCCTCAGCAGTTACTTGGAAATGTGCACTGCTTAGGTGGAGGGGCTGTTCCACTTTAGGTATTTCCCAATTGTAGAGAATCACCAATTCTGAGCTCATCACCATCATCCTGCATGAAATAATTAGTGCTTTTGCCATTGAAATGAGGATGTAGCTAATCTGACTACCTGGATGAAATAATGTTCATTGTTCACATCCAGGAGATCTATCTTTTCTCTAATTTGGCACTGGCATTAAACAGCTGCTACCTTCAGACACATCAATTTGTTACACACACGTAAAGGACAAACGGGGAATAGCTCAGATGCCATTCTATCAGTGTCTGTACTGTCTCCCCCAAATTGCAAACAGCTGGGCCTGCCTCCTTCCTACCAGCTTTCTTCAGCCATTCTGTTTTCTTCTTTGAGAAATACCATGTCACTGCTTCCCACGGGAATTAAATGACAGTCTGATTTACAGGAACCTAGGCTTGGTGGTAGCCATGTCACAAGATATGTGCCTTACCTACAAGATAATATTGGCTCTGCACTGCCCTAACATCCCTGAGAGATTTGCCCCAAAGAGGCTGTAAAAGTCAGCCAAGGGAGTTCTCAGACTAAATGGGAATATGAGAGACTCATCCCAGGTTGAGGTTAGGGTTGGGTGTGTGTGTGTTGTCAGGAGGAATTAGATCAAGAGGAAGTGTCCAGATTTACATCAGATAATCTTGTGGTGTAATATCCAAATCAGCGGGGAGGACAGGTGTGGGCACCCTTTGAGCCTCTGAAAAATGGGCTTCTGCACTTTGGGTTTGGAGCACAGTAGTAGTGGGACCACAGAACCCCATGAGCTTATCTGGAAGTCTCACTGAGGAGTTGGGCATCAGAATAGGGTGGACATGGCTGTTGGGACCCTGCTCGTCATTTAGGCTGATAGGAGCCACATCTCTGTTTTAGGAGAAAGCAGGCAATCCTGTGTCTGTTTACTGACAGAACTGAAAATGAAAGAGGCTCTACAGAACACTCTTACCTTTAATGCCTTAATTTTAATTTTCCAGTGAGCTCGAGCTACCTGACAGCCACAGTGCAAAGTGACCTATTAAAGTGAAGTCCATTTGAGGATACCTGCACTGTAGCAGCACACCAGAATTCTGTGCTGCGTGTGAACAGGGCAGCAAGGAGCAGCAGACACCATCTTTTGGGTGTCTCCTCTGCTCACAGGCATGCTCCATTGCTCCACTGGATTTCACGTACAAATCACAGATTCAAAAAATACAATTATAAAGAATTTCAGGACAGTGGTAACAAAGCATTAAACCAAACACTGAGTCCTTCTGAAAATGGGACTCTGGGCCACTGCATATGTCACATCCCCTGGAAACCAGCCCTGCACGGAATCTTAGCTTTGCACACGAACCTAAGTCTCTGCACCCACCTGCATGCTGTAGTTTATCAGGGACGTAGAGAGCTGGGCCCTGGGCGCTGTGAAGGGGCCCTATTGCACAGGGACTCAGCACTTTGAAACCCACTCTGCTGTCTTGACCTTTCTAGTGTCCTCGGCCTACATGTAAAATAAGAATGTAATAGTACCTTTCTTTTAGGGGTGTTAGGAGGATCAAACAAAGTAATGTACAAAAAGCACGTGATGCCTAGCATACAGTTGTCACTTTGCCAGTATTGGCTGCCCTTGGAGGGCTTGGTGACGTGACTTCTGAAGCCTTCCCATGGTGGAGTTGCTGCAACAACCTTTGTCCACTCCTAATGGGTACGAAATTCATGTCTGCAGTACTCGAATGACCCTGATGGGTGTCATTGATAGATGGCTATTAGCCTCCCCTCCAAATAGCGGCTGTACTCCCAGCCAGGACCACCAGCTCTCAAGGGCTTGTTTTGTCCGCTGATGTCCATTTGACACCTTGCTCTTAACAGGAAGGACTCAAACATTTATTATAATTACATAGACAGGAAAAAAAACATGATTGCTGTGATCACAGAGAGTCATCAGTATGATTCAACTAAACTGAATACTGGTGAAGGAGAGGCTTATTTCACCAGGATCCTCTGCTGGCCTCAACGTTGTGGCTGTTTGTCAGAGATAAGCGGATGTGGCCGTGCTGCTGGCATTTGGCACAGGGAGTGGTGGCGCCAGCGTGGGCTCATCTCCCCAGGCATTAAGCTGCACTAATTGCTTTGGAAGCGAGGCTTTTTCCTGGGCAGCAGCATATGCTGCGTGAGTCGCTTGAAGCAAAGATAAAGAGCCACCCTCCTCCTTTATTGAGGTTTAATAATAAAATGGAACTGTCACCATTTCCAATAAATGGTTTATTTTAATTGAGAAAAATAATGAGAACTGGCCACCTTTTGGTACACGGCTGTTCAGCGTCTCCCTGACTTGGGCGATCTGGAGCCTTCTGTTCTGTAGCTGTGCCCTTGAGGCACTCGGGTCCTGGGGTCAGTGAAGTCAGCTACGTGTCTCTATCCATTTGAGAAAACCTGGCCCTCGAAAGGCAAAATAATTCCTTTTCCAAGGTCTATTAGATTATAAAGTTGCAACCCAGGAAGTGGGCATAGAAAGCGTTGGAGATGTAGTCTGTTTTAATTTTCACATGTTGAAGACGGTCCTTTCTTTTAGTGAATATGAAATGAAAGTCTCACTTTTTTTTCTGTCACCAAAATTCTTTCAGATGACTTCTTTTTTCGGGTCCCCCAGGGAGAAGTCAACCCAGTACCACCAAGTATCAGAGAGAAATGAAGGCACAGATAAGGCAGTGTCTTACTCAGGCTTGTAGAGAGGGCGAATGTCAGAACAGGAATTGGAAGGAAGTCCTGCCTGCTGTTCTGAGGCACTGATGCTCTCACTACCCCACCCACTACTCAGGTGCTTTCCCATCCTCATTTCACAGCAGGCAAAATTGAAGCCAGAGAACTAAAGCCACTTGTCTCAGGGGTTCAGTTGGTAAATGGTATAACCAGCACTGGAACTCAGTCTCCTGACCCCCAGTTCAGTTTTTTGTTTGTTTGTTTGTTTTGAAATGGAGTCTCGCTCTTTCGCCCAGGCTGGAGTGCAGTGGTGCAATCTCAGCTCACTGCAAGCTCTGCCTCCCGGGTTCACGCCATTCTTCTGCCTCAGCCTCCCGAGTAGCTGGGACTACAGGCGCCCGCCACCACGTCTGGCTAATTTTTTGTATTGTTAGTAGAGATGGGGTTTCACCATGTTAGCCAGGACGGTTGCGATCTCCTGACCTCGTGATCTGCCTGCCTTGGCCTCCCAAAATGCTGGGATTACAGGCATGAGCCACTGCACCTGGCCAGTTTTTGGTTTTTTTTTTTTTTAAATCAGAGTTCATAGGGCCTGTATACCAATTGCCTCCACACAATAACAATGATATGATGGCATTAAACATAACAATTTCTGGATCTTACAACGACCACAACTGGGAGTAGAGAAAAATAAATCTGTAGTGATGCAGAGGATGCAGGGCAGTCAGCCAGCCCCTTCCTTTGCTTCCAGACACTACCCTTGGGGTGTACATGGTTAGGATTGATCATCAGCAAAATCACAAATCCTCCGTGCCATGGGTCGTCAAAGCACTGGCTGTTAAAGCCTCGAGCACCAAAAGCCTGCTGTGTATAAAGTGCTGTATTCAGTCTAGCACAGGCGCGGTAAACCGATCGCACCATACGATGGCTGTGATTAAGAAGGGGAGGAGGGGCATAGGGGAGAAGAGGAAGATCATTTTAATGCAGGGGAAGCTTTCACGAGGTATGGTCTCCGCAGCCAGGGTCATTGGTTTGGTTGTGGTAATCATAAGGGATCTTTTCAATTAAGTGGCCCACATCAGCTAAAACTGGTTAAGCAGAGGAGCAAAGGTATTGGTTCACTTACCTAAAAGGCCAGGCATGCCCGGATCTAGGGGCTCAAGCCTTGTTGTCCCCATCCTGTCCTGGCTCCTCCATGTGGGCTTTGCTCTCTGCGGCTGTTACCTTCATTCAGGTGTGCACCTCCCGTGCGGTGGCAGGATGATTGCTGGCAGCCCTAGGCTTCCTCTCAGCAATCCTCATGGAAAGAGAGAGTCCTTCCTCCCACGTGCCAGCAGAAGTCCAGGGATTGGCTCAATGCCCGTGCACAACTGTGGCCCTTGGGGTGGAATTCATAGACTAGACAGGTCTGATAAATGGTCCCACTCCTTAATCTGGGAGGGAGGGAGAGAGACATTAGCTTCACTCAAATCATATGAATTATGGGTTGGTGGGAGAAGGAAAATCAGAAGAAGGGGACTTGATGCTGGGCAGGCAAAACTCACACATGTCCCTGGGTCCAGGTCTTAGACCTTCCTCTGACTCACCATTAGTCCATGGCTTGATAGGAAGGAAGGTCCATTTTAACCCCTGTCTCTGGGTCAGTGCTGTCCAGTTGCACTTCCTGCAATGATGGCGATGTTCATTAATTGGCAGTGTCCAGTGCAGTAGCCACTAGCCACATGTGGCTAATGAGCACTTGAAATGAGGTTAGCACTACTGAGGAACTGTATTTTTAATGTTAGGTAATTTTATTAATAATTACATTTAAATGTAAATTCTACATGTGGCTCAAGGCTACCTAACTGGACAGAGCAGCTCTTAGTGGAGGACACATCATGGGAGGTAGTTCCCTGGGAGACAAGAGCTGGTTTTGTGTAGGAGAGTTGGGCAGAGGGCTAAATGAAGCTCCAAAGACCAGGAGGGTGATCTGGGTCAGGGTGTGGAGGAGGAGAAGAGGGAGTTGGACATGAGAGAGAGAGAGGAGGGAGAAACAAACACAGAGAGTCCTTTATTGGTGGCATCATTTGGGAGTCCTTAACTTGAGAAGATAGTTTTTCTGTCTAACATATGGACCAGATATGTACCAGGAAGAAACAAAATCACAACTGACCTTGTTATAAAAGCGAATTAAAGGGAACTCCATAACATGTTGTTACATTTGATCTAAATGTCCAACTGTAAAAAAGCAACCATTGCCTGAAGTGCCACATGAGCTACACAGAGATGAAAAGAAAAATTAAATGTTGTGCAGGTTGTTTAAAAAAATGCTCTGTAGGCTGGGCCCGGTGGCTCATGCCTGTAATCCCAGCACTTTGGGAGGCTGAGGCGGGTGGATCATGAGGTCAGGAGATCGAGACCATCCTGGCTAACACGGTGAAACCCCGTCTCTATTAAAAATACAAAAAATTAGCCAGGCGTGGTGGCGGGCGCCTGTAGTCCCAGCTACTCTGGAGGCTGAGGCAGGAGAATGGCGTGAACCCGGGAGGCGGAGCTTCTGGTGAGCCGAGATCGCACCCACTGCACTCCAGCCTGGGCGACAGAGCGAGACTACTCCGTCTCAAGAAAAAAAAGAAAAAAATGCTGTGTTAACATGTGTGACTGAGTGCAATTAAGGCATTTGGCAGAAATGACATCAGGCAAATAGAATGAACTTGTAAAGGCAGAGTCTGGCCACAGCTTTGTGAATCTAGGGCTGGTTAATGACCAGCCTCTCAGTGAGCTGTGTGATGGGTGTTTCATCATGCTCCGTGTCCCTAGGTGGGTGCAGGAGGGTGTGGGGACCACCATGTGTTGACACTTTCAGAGCCTAAGTCCTCATGGTGGTCACAAGCCTGATTTCCACCGGGGGTGGTTGTTGGTGAAGGCAGACTCCCTTCCTGCCCAACTACAGCTGGGACGCCTGGCTTCCTTGGACTCGGTTAATTGCCTGGATTTGTTCACCAGGCATTCCTGGAGGACCTGCCATGCACTTGGCATCCTGATGGGCCTTGAGAACTGGGCAGAAAGAAAAGAGAGGCACAAAGCTTGGCTCCTGGCCCTGAGACTGCCTAGTTCCCTGGCCCTCAGCATTCCTCTCCCCCATCACTCAAGCCATTTGATCATCCCCTGAAGACTTAGCTCCCACCCAGGAGCAGAGATTAAAGTGAGCATTCTGGAGCCAGACTGCTCAGGTATATGTCAAGCCCATGGCAAGTGCCTGGCATACAAGGTGCTCAAAAAGAAAAAAAAATATTATTTTGCTAATTTAGAGAAACAACAGGTATATAGCAGAAAGAAGAAGGGCATTAGAGTAGGTGTAGCTGACCTGGATTGAAACCTGGGCCAGGCAACTAGGTGGTGTGTGTATTTGGACACAGTTCTCAGTCTATCTGTAAAGTGGGATGATGGAACCTCACATGATTGTCATGAAGACTCAGTTGCACTGTATTTTTTAAGGGCCTAACACCAGGCAGGCTTCAATAATGGTGGCTGCTCTGATGGGCCAGAGGGCAAGGAAGGTTGCTATGACAGTGGAGCGGGCCAGGGAAGAGGGTCTTGTGGGTTGTATATGTGCCCAAGGTGAGCCACCAGTTTTAAATTCAGCCTCGATTCATGTTAGGCCCAGGTGTCATTCAAAGGTTTTTACCATGAAGAACCCACCCAAACTTTGGCGTTCACACTGGCACCATCTTGCCAGCAAATCTTCTGCCCAGCTCAATGACTGGGGGCTCCTACTGCTTCTGAGGGGACCCAAGGAGAGGCAGAGCAGCATCTTAAAACAATCAGCATGCCCTAAGATTTGTCTCTACGATCCATTTTGATTCCGTGATCATTTTGGGGGTCCTAAGCAGTGTGGCCAATTAGACACATCATGAATGGGTTTCACCATCTGAGTGCTGATGGCATGCCTGGGGCGTTGTTGGGTGTTAGGGCGTGGTAAGAGAAAGAAAGCCACTCCTTAGCAAGGAAATCATGGGTGGATATTTTCCATGAGCTCATTCTTCCTGTTCCTCTCCCTCCTGGTGACTCCCCCTGCCAGTTTCCCCAGCGGACAAAAGTGGGGATGCCTTTGGGGAGAAAATAATCCATTTCAATAGAAAAAGCAAGGGGAGTCTCACGATAACTGCGCAGGCGCGGACCAGAGAGCTCTTTTCTGAGGATCCGGCAAGATGGCAGAAGTAGAGCAGAAGAAGCAGACCTTCCGCAGGTTCACCTACCGTGGCGTGGACCTGGACCAGCTGCTGGACATGTCCTACAAGCGGCTGATGCCGCTGTACAGTGCGCGCCAGCAGCGGCGGCTGAACCGGGGCCTGCGGCGGAAGCAGCACTCCCTGCTGAAGTGCCTGCGCAAGGCCAAGAAGGAGGCGCTGCCCATGGAGAAGCCGGAAGTGGTGAAGACGCACCTGCGTGACGTGATCATCCTGCCCGAGATGGTGGGCAGCATGGTGGGCGTCTACAACGGCAAGACCTTCAACCAGGTGGAGATCAAGCCCGAGATGATCGACCACTACCTGGGCGAGTTCTCCATCACCTACAAGCCCATAAAGCACGGCGGGCCCGGCATCGGGGCCAGCCACTCCTCCCGCTTCATCCCTCTCAAGCAGTGGCTCAGCTAATAAAGGCGCACATGGTTCCAGTCAAAAAAAAAAAAAAAAAAAAAAAAAGAAAGAAAAAGAAAGGGGTTCGGAATGCAGTGACTGGAAAGCAAAGCGAGGCCGTGGTGCCACCATGGGTGTGGGCTTTTGGGTCACTCATACATGCATGTGTTCCTGGACATGCATTGTGTGCACTGACCTGTTCCTGGGCATGAGCCTGAATTCGCTCTTGCCCCTTTGTTGGGAAGCAGAAACGTGTGGGGTTTCGCAGTTACTTTCTTTAGTCCCCTTTAATCTCTAGCTAATGCTGAGCTTCTGCAGAGCCAGAAGGGTCTTAGGGCCTACTCTGGAAGAGCCTCACTCCCATTCTCCTTATTCCCTGGAGCTCTTCTGGATTTCTAGCCTGTGTCTGTCTTGTTATAATCACAGTTTTCATGTTGTGATCCAGTCTTTATCCTTGCTCCTTAGAGCTATCTACTGAGCCCCTTCTGTGTGTATTACGCATGTGGTAGACATGAAGACAGAGTAATGCCGTATCTTAAGAAATGTCACAGTCTTAGGTGGGGACAGAGTTTAATTATGCAGTGCTCAGTGAAAGGTGGATCTGAGTACCTGATGGCAGCATGGAGTCACAAAGGAAGCATTCTAGGCTAGTCTTAGAGGCTGGTGCTCTGAGAATACGTCATGCGGTGGGAAGAGGGTTATGCCCATATGAGATGTGAAAAGTGGGTGGGAGAGGGCGTGGCAGGAGAGCCAGGGAATGGATTGAGAGTGGGTTCCCAGTGGAGGGGTGCATATGCAGAGTCCTAAATGTGATCAGGAGCGGGAGAGTAGGGGTAGGAGAGGAAAAGAGTCACCAATGATGAAACGGGAGAGGAAAGTGGCAATTTTAGATGAATTAAATGCTTTTCACCAGAGTTCAACTGATTTTCTTCCTAAACTGTAACTGAAGCTAAACCATGAATATTGAAGGTAAGTTTTACATTGAGTAAGTTCTTATGTTTTGAATGTAGAAGGAAAAAGTAAATTATGACCGGTTGGATCTGACAATCATTGGTCTTGCCATGGCGTACATCTAATTCATTCAAGGTTGGTGTTTCACATAACAGGACAGACACTAATGGATTTTCTGCTTTGCTGTTTCAGCACTTCAGGGAGCATCTGGACAAACTTTTCGCCAAAGGAATTGGAATGTTGGATATAGCTCTGAATGAGGCCTTCAACATTCTGAGTGATGTAAGTTCCTCTTTGATTTGCCTTTCTCATCCCTTGGAGAATAGATGGGTGTTGTTTTAGAAAATTGTGGGCCAGGCTGGGCGCTGTGGTTCAGACCTTTAATCCCAGCCCTTTGGGAGGCCGAGATGGGCGGATCATGAGGTCAGGAGATCCAGACCATCCTGGCTAACACGGTGAAACCCCATCTCTACTAAAAATACAAAAAATTAGCCAGGCATGGTGGCGGGTGCCTGTAGTCCCAGCTACTCGGGAGGTGGAGGCAGGAGAATGGTGTTAACCCGGGAGGTGGAGCTTGAAGTGAGCCGAGATTGTGCACTCCAGCCTGGGTGACAGAGCGAGACTCCGTCTCAAAAAAAAATAGAAAAAGAAAAAAATTGTGGGCCAGCTCTGGCTGACACTGAGCAGATCTATAGGCATGGGACGGGAGAGTGAGACTGGCTGGCCATTTAAGTCATCTAGGGAACCAGATGCCAGCCAGTGAGGTCAAACCAGAGCACAGTGGGGAAGAGAGAATGCTAGGGAATGAGACCATGGAAGCAGCAGGAGCCAAATTGAGTAGCGTCATAGAGACACTAATGAGGGCTTTGACTGTGGAGTGGAAAGCCATTGGAGGGTCTAGGCAGAGAACTACATGGTCTTGAACTCAACAGCATTTTTCTGGCTGCTGTATTTAGAAGCAACCCTAGGAGGGCAAGGACAATAACAGGGAGGCCATTAAGTTATCTGGGTAAGATAATGGTGACTTGGACTAGGGAGATAGCAGTGAAGATGTTAAGAAGCAGAAAAATAAAAACCACTCTAGGTATTTTAAATAGTAGGAGTTTAATTCGGGCAATTGATGGCATAAGGGATGGAAAAGCTGAGAAACCAGAGAATGAAGCAATCCACAGATTAGCATCAGCAGGAGGCATCTCCTCTCTAGGGCAGGGGGTACAACAGGCAGGAGGGGTGACATCAGCGCCGAGTCACTGTGGCCATTCAGATGGGCCATTCAGAAGTGTGGAGGAGGCTACCCAAGAAGAACTGTGACTATGGAGGGAAGGACCTGTCCTGTGGAAGTTGGAACTATGGAGGAGACACAGTCACGGCCAGAAAATGCCTATCCCCTGAGAGCGTAGAGAAATTGCTTAGAAAGACCTTGATTCTTTCCTTGCTTCCTTTCCCCTTTGTATGATCCTTGTCAAACTGTTGGGGAGCTTGAGAGCTGTGGTTTGCAGGAAGAAGGCATGGGATAGTCTGAGAACAAACAGGCACTAAATGGAGCAACATCATCTTGAGGTGTCAAGCAGGAGCTGGGAGACCAGCAGAGACTCCCAAGGCCTTGCTGCTGTTGGTCTGCAGGCAGCTCTGTAGGGCAGGCTGTTGTCATTTTGCAGGTGAGCAAGCAGAAGCCCAGGCAGGTGAGTCATTCACTCCACAGTTCATAACTTGGATTGTGGGTTAGTTACACCTGACTCCAAAACTTGACTTTTTACTACTCAGCTATACTGGCCTCTCAAGAAAGGCTAGGCCCTAATTTCCAGACTCTCTTTTACCAATAATACCTGTTGCCACGAAGATGACTGTTTAGATCTCAGTCCTGAGCCAGTGTCATGACTGCAGAGGAGAAGAGAAAAATAAGGAGAGAAGGTGCCAAGTCAACTTCCTCAGTACAAATCCAAAGCCCCGGTCACCTAATGAGCTCCAAGGGGCTGTTGGCTACAGGATGTAAACATTTATGTAAGAGTCCGTGTTTTGGACAGTACATCTCTGTTGACAGCAAAGTAATAGTTTTAGTGACACAGCCGGCGAGGACAGAGGACTAGGCTGCTGGGCAGGTGCCTTCTTAGGGCTTGGGTCTCTGCATCTCAGCAGGCTCTTTCCAGGTGGTGATATTGAAAAGACCTGTTACAGTTTGAAAATTCCCTCTCGTTTTATCTCAAAAACCTAGTGGCCAGAGCAGGGGGAGACTTCTCTGAGCTGTGGAGTCCCTTGTTTGGAAGTCTTCCCTGCAGTGAATTTCTCTTTCCCTGTTCTCTGGCCTAAGTGGCGAAGGAGAAAGGGTTAGGAGATTGTTGTATGGTTAAGTCTGTGGCCCCTGGAGTAAGGCAGATTGGGGCTGAGAAGCCTGACTCAGCCAGAGTTTACAGGGTTTCTTGTTCACAGTTATTGAGAATTTTAAGGTAATGGTAGCAAAGCCTTGAACCAAGTGCGGAGCTTTCTTAGTGTAATCTTGTGCAGCTGTGCATGTCACACACCCGTGAGGTGGTCCTGGTGGTCCCTTTCTCGTGGGGTTGAGATTCAGCCTGATGAGGCAGGACCTGGCTCCCTTTCAGCAGTGCTGGGCTGGGTGAGAAGTGCCACCTCTGTGACCACTGAGAACCCAGGTCTCTAGACACAGCTCCCACTACAAATGCTTTGGTTCTCTTTGCCCAAGTCATTAGGAGTGTCTGCTCCCCTTCCTCTATTTTCTGTTCCTTTCCCTGGTACCCTTTCTCTGTCCATCCCTTCCATCTGTCACCTTTGTTCTCAGACCCTCCTAAGACACTATTTCCCATAGCATGCGCAGTTTAATGCCGGCCTGCCAAGGTACTCCCACATGGGGGTTGTGGTCAAGGTGAGGAGATGCCATCCTCCTCTTGCAGACTCACAAGGTACTTGCGCATATCAAAGGCCTTGAGAAGTCCTGCAGTGAACAAACCTTTAAAAATGTGTTTAACCACACTTACTAACCCAGGAACACTTTATATCATACCATCATCTCCGTATTAGCATCTTGTAGAAGTTACAGCTCACCAACCACATTTTGGGGCATAATATTGTATGCTCCAAGAAGGTGTATTCACACTTTCACAGGGCCTACTAAGACCCAGAGAAATCACCAACACATGGTGGACTTTTTTATCCTGAATCTTTGTGAGGGAAGCATTTTTGAACAGGAAAACCCTCCATACCCCTGTAAAAATACCTCTGGAGTCTGGTCAGTCAGATAACCACATGAGCTGAATATAGATCTTGGAAAGCAAAAAGCCGAATAAATGTTTTTTAAAAAAACACAATGATAGGCCAGGCACGGTGGCTCACACCTGTAATCCCAGCACTTTGGGAGGGCGAGGTGGGCGGATCACCAGAGGTCCGGGGTTCGAGACCAGCCTGACCAACATGGTGAAATCCCGTCTCTACTAAAAATACAGAAAAATTAGTCAGGCATGGTGGTAGGCGCCTGTAATCCCAGCTATTCGGGAGGCTGAGGCAGGAGAATCGCTTGAACCCAGGAGGGAGAGGATGCAGTGAGCTGAGATTGCACCACTGCACTTCAGCCTGGGTGACAGAGCGAGACTCCATCAAACACACACACACACACACACACACACACACACAAAGATAAATGTTACAAAATGTCCCAGCTTGAGATTGGTTGGCGATTAACACTATATTTGTTTGAGTGCACATTTATCTCATAGGGAGAAACATTTCATATCATCTATTGCCAGTGAGCTTTTAAATAGCTAAACTCTTTGACAAACACAGAGGTGGTTAATCTCCCATGAAAATGAAGCTTTGTCTATTAATATTTTCTACTTCATCAATATGACCTTTAAGTGATATTATTATCTTCCTGTGTATTATGCCTGCCTTTACAAGTCAATATGAAATAAAAAGTTATTTCTTGAACACACACATATACACGCACACACACACGTGCTTAAAATTGTGATCGTGGCTGGAGCTTAGAATGGTTCAGAGGTTACTATAATTGAATGGAGTTTATTCTGTTTTACAGTTACCTGCATTTCAGTTTTGGTATTTGCTCAGATGACTTAAAGGCTTGCAGTTCTTGATACAAATGGCTTTGAAAGGAGCATTCAAATAAACTTCTAAGCCCCTTCAAGCTCTTGATCTCTGCTGCATTCATTAGATTCTGTAAGAACACAGAGCAAGTTTGCTACAGTAGTTAGCATCTACCTTGTCATGTGACAACTGCAATTATCATTTTTGGCGATGAATGTGATCTTTGCAGTGATTACCTTTTAAAATTTTTTCTTAGCCAATTAAATAAAATTCGGTGACATTTCAAAGACTGTTAATCACAACCAAATGCTCTAAATGTCAGGATGCATTGAAAATTTCACTGCTAACTGATGAATCACTGAGCTAATTGTAGTTCATCATCAGGCCCTTGTCATTGTTATTATTATGGAAAACACTTTCATCACTCTCGCTATTCAATAAAGAAAAGTTTTAGACAAATATGAAGAGAAAAGATATTACTCATCAAACCATTTGAATTTAATTGCATTCTTCAAAATTCTACAGCTACAGATTGCAGCAGAGAATACCAGGGACTCAGCCAGAGAAGAAAGTACTGTTTTTAAATAAACAGCTCCTGGCAGCTCTTTATTCTAGTCCACATTATTCAGATATCTTCTTTTTTCCTCTCTTTCTTTCCATGTGTTTGGGAAAATTTTTCCAGGATGTTTTCAGATGAGTTTGTGAACAATGGCCCTAGAGTATTCTGTTTTTTTCCCCTTGAAGCTTCTGTGACCTGAAGCATAGATTACTTTTATGCATTGGCTTGTTGCTGAGTTTATTCAATGGTGCGAAGCTGTGTTTAATGCAGTCTCCCCAGAACATCTCCAGAACAACCTGTTGAGAAGACCAGGGTACAAGGCTGTTTTTTCTTCTGCAGTAAGGACAGAGTCTTAGCAGCTTCCCAGAGTTGGAAGGACAATGTCCAGATATTTATTGAGACTTAAGTTTGGTTGAAGATGGACCCTTTAATGGGAGATGAGGGAGGGGGCTTGGCTAGGATCAGGTAAGAATCCTAATATTTCTGTTGAGGTTGGTGAACATAGCAAGGGAAAGATTTTGAGGTCAGGGGTTCAGTCTTAGGGTGTAAATTGTCCTTTGATGCTTTCTATTGAAGAATTGATGGGTCTTTCAAGAAGTTCCTGGAATAAGCAATGAGGTTATTTCCGAGTTTGACCTTCCTGGGCAAGCATTTTCTGGAATAGTAAGTTATATTGATAAAGACAGTAGAATAGTGGTCGCGTGGAAAGCTTTGTGGTGTGATAGCGGAGTTTCCAGGTGTTTCTACCTACTAACGTGACAGTGTCAGGGGCTGCGTCTGCTCATTAACTCAGTTGCACATGTGCAGTCGGAGTTGCAGGAGTGGCTGCCAGGGCCAGGACTAAGATGAGGAAAGTGTCTGGGGCACCACATGTAAGGAGCACTCACCCTCAGGATCACAGCCCTGGTGACTGCCCTGTGACCCTGAAACCCTAAAAGGGATGGAGGAAGTAGAGGCAGGAGGAGGAGATTAATACTTTTGGAGCCCTACCACCTATCCATTTGCTTACTGATCTTCCTGAATTACTGAAAGGCCATATTGTGTGCTCAATTGGAGAGTAGATTCTAGAGCTTGATGGTCTGGATTCAAATCCCAGCTATGTCAGATAGTAGCTGTGTGACCTGGGGCAAGTTAGCTAATCTCTCTGTGCCTTAGTTTCCTACCTGTAAAATAAAGATAATGATAGCGTTGGAAGACTTTTCCTTAGCTCAGCTAAAGACAGGATCCTCGTCACATGGCCACGAAAGTTTAGGCTTGCAGAAGTTTGAAGAGTAAGAAAAATCGGATTTATTGGGCAAAAAGGGAAAAAAGGGAAACAGGTACTAGTCCTGCTAGTACATGCTTCTTCCCACCTCACAGATTGAATTCCAGGTTCCTCACAGGAAGAGGAGGGACCAGGCTCCTCCCCACTGCAAACGACACAAACTTCTATGGCTCCATCCCAGTGCACATTCCTCCCAGTGTACAGGCTGGTTGGAGTTTTGCCAAGGAGTCCTTCCCACCTGGCTGTCTCAGTAGTACCTACCTCAGAGGCCTGTAAGGATTAAGTAAATTCGTATTAATACACGTAGCCTGGCATATAACAAACATTGAACATTTAACCTGTGGTGTACCAACCACTTAAGGATGTTATTCTTATCTTGTCTGTGGAAGAATGAAAGCTCCGGAAGGAAACTTATCCCAGGCACACAGCTGTGTTGCTGAGATGACATCGAGTGCTTTCCCCTATGCCATGGTACCCCGTGCGTGATTCGAGTTGGCTTTGCTGTGTCTCAGTATGGCCATAAGGCAATTCCATTCATCCATTTATCTATCTATGCATCTATCCAGTTATGTATGGTCTTCTCTCAAGTTACTGCAACTTCAGACTCCACATCAGATGTCTAAGTGCCTGAAGACTAGGCATTAATATCTTTAATTTGAATGCTTTATTACGTCTCTCATTCACCAGTGGCCAGCCAGCAAAGCCAAGAGTAGCCACCATCCCTCCCCAGTGTCATGGTTCAATAGATTGAACCTGCCAGGCACACTCCCACTCAGTGCCTTTGCACTTAACGTTTGCCCTTCCTGGAATATCTTTCCCTCAGATACTCACATCTCTCAGGTATAACTCAAATGTCACCTTCTCAGTGAGGTCTTCCCTGACTATGGTTTCTAGAATTGCCCCCTCCCATTTCTTATCCTTCTTTGCTTTCTTCTTTCCCCACCCTTAACATCACCATTATCAAACATATAACGTAGTTTACTTATTTACCTTGTTTTTGTATGTCTTCCCTTTCATGCGCGTCTGTGTGAAGAGACCACCAAACAGGCTTTGTGTGAGCAACAAGGCTGTTTATTTCACCTGGGTGCAGGCGGGCTGAGTCGGAAAAGAGAGTCAGCGAAGGGAGATAAGGGTGGGGCCGTTTTATAGGATTTGGGTAGGTAAAGGAAAATTACAGTCAAAGGGGGTTTGTTCTCTGGCGGGTAGGAGCGGGGGTCGCAAGGTGCTCAGTGGGGGTGCTTTTTGAGCCAGGATGAGCCAGGAAAAGGACTTTCACAAGGTAATGTCATCAGTTAAGGCAAGGACTGGCCATTTACACTTCTTTTGTGGTGGAATGTCATCAGTTAAGGTGGGGCAGGGCATATTCACTTCTTTTGTGATTCTTTAGTTACTTCAGGCCATCTGGGCATATACATGCAGGTCACAGGGGATGCAATGGCTTGGCTTGGGCTCAGAGGCCTGACATTCCTGCCTTCTTAATAAGAAAAATAAAACAAGATAGTGTTGAAGTGTTGGGGCGGGGAAAATTTTTGTGGAGTGGTATGGAGAGAGAGTGGACGATGTTTCTCAGGGCTGCTTCAAGCGGGATTAGGGGCGGTGTGGGAACCTAGAGTCGGAGAGATTAAGCTGAAAGGAGATCTTATGGTAAGGGGTGATATTGTGGGGTTGTTAGAAGAAACATTTGTTGTATAGAATGATTGGTGATGGCCTGGATACGGTTTTGTATGAACTGAAAAACTAAATGGAATAAGAAGGAGAAAAACAGGTATAAAAGGTCTAAGAATTGGGAGGACCTAGGGCATCTGATTAGAGAGTGCCTAAGGAAATTCAGCATAGTCCTGCCAGCAAAGATTATTTATTTACTTCAAGAGTTAAGAGTGGCGGTTTGGGGATAGCACCAGGAGATATCAGCTATGATGGCTTGGAGAAACAGTGTAAACCGGCAGTGTAAACAAGAGCAGGGCATGTATGAGTAGTTGAGAATGGAAAATAGGAGTATGACTAGACAGAAAATAGTAGGGATGACAAGTTTTTTTGGGGGCACAGTCTAAGTTGGTCCGGTGTCTGGAATGAGACTGGGGCCTAATAAAAAGGAGCATCTATACAGGAGCTTAAATGGGCTGTACCTTGTAGCATTCCGAGGACAGGCCTGAATTCTGAGAAGGGAAAGTGATAAAAGTATTGTCCAGTCCTTTTTGGTGGCTGAGCTTGGTGAGGTGTGTTTTTAAAAGACCTTCAGTCCATTCTACCTTTCTTGAAGATGGAGGACTGTAAGGGATATAAAGGTTTCACTGAATACTAAGAGCCTGAAAAACTGCTTGGCTGATTTGACTAATAAAGACTCATCTGTTATCAGACTGTATTGAGGTGGGAAGGCTAAAATGAGGAATTATGTCTGACAGAACGGAAGAAATGACTGGTGGCCTTCTCAGACCCTGTAGGAAACGCCTTTACTTATTCAGTGAAAGTGTCTATTTAGACTAAGAGGTATTTTAGTTTCCTGACTCGGGCATGTTAAGTAAAGCTAATTTGCCAGTCCTGGGTGGGGGCAAATCCCTGAGCTTGATGTGTAGGGAAGGGAGGGGGCCTGAATAATCCCTGAGGAGTAGTAGAATAGCAGATGGAACACTGAGAAGTTATTTCCTTGAGGATAGATTTCCACGATGGAAAGGAAATGAGAGGTTCTGAGAGGCAGGCTAGTGGCTAGTACTATAGCATAGCCTGCCTTTGCTGGTATGTGGCGATTAGGCCTGGTGGAACTACCATCAATAAATCAAGCGTGATCAGGGTGAGGAACAGGAAAGAAGGAAATATGGGAAAATGGGGTGAATATCAGGTGGATCAGAGAGACACAGTCGTGGGGGTCAGGTGTGGTATCAAGAATAATGTGGGAGGCCGGATTGAAGTCCGGGCCAGGAACAATGGTAATTGTGGGACTTAACAAAGAGTGAGTACAGCTGAAGGAGCCAGGGAGCAGAAAGCATATGCGTCAGGTATGAGGAAGAAAATAGATTTTGGAAGTTATGAGAAATGTAGAGAGTGAGTTGAGCATAGTTTGTGATTTTTAGGGCCTCTAAAAGTATTAAAGCAGCGGCAGCCTCTGCACGCAGACATGAGGGCTAGGCTAAAACAGTAAGGTCAAGTTGTTTGGACAGAAAGGCTACAGGGTGTGGTCCTGGCTCTTGTGTAAGAATTCTGACTGCACTATAACCATGCCTAGGAAGGAAAGGAGTTGTTGTTTTGTAAGGGATTGAGGTTTGGGAGATTAATCGGACACGATCAGCAGGGAAAGCACGTGTGTTTTTATGAGAATTATGCCGAGATAGGTAACAGATGAGGATGAAATTTGGGCTTGACTGAAGTAATGGGGGCTGTCTGTGAAGCCTTGTGGCAGTACAGCCCAGGTAATTTGCTGAGCCTAATCAGTGTCAGGGTGAGTCTAAGTGAAAGCAAAGAGAGGCTGGGATGAAGGGTGCAAAGGAATAGTAAAGAAAGCATGTTTGAGTTCTAGAACAGACTAATGGGTAGTAGAGGGAGGTATTGAGGATAGGAGAGTATACGGGTTTGGCACCACGGGGTGGATAGGCAAAACAATTTGGTTGATAAGGCACAGATCCTGAACTAACTTGTAAGGCTTGTCCGGTTTTAGGACAGGTAAAATGGGGGAATTGTAAGGGGAGTTTATAGGCTTTAAAAGGCCATGCTGTAGCAGACGAGTGATAACAGGCTTTAACCTTTTTAAAGTGTGCTGCGGGATGGGATATTGGCGTTGAGTAGGGTAAGGGTGATTAGGTTTTAATGAGATGGTAAGGGGTGCATGATCGGTCACCAAGGAGGGAGTAGACGTATCTTATACTTGTGGGTTAAGGTGGGGGGATACAAGAGGAGGACGCAAAGGAGGCTTTTGATTGGGAAGAAGGGCGGCAATGAGATATAGCTGTAGTCCAGGAATAGTCAGGGAAGCAGACAATTTAGTTAAAGTGTCTCAGCCTAATAAGGGAACTGGGCAGGTGGGGATAACTAAAAAGGAGTGCTTTAAAGAGTATTGTCTAAGTTGGCACCAGAGTTGGGGAGTTTTAAGAGGTTTAGAAGCCTGGCTGTCAATACTCACAACAGTTATGGAGGCAAGGGAAACAGACCCTTGAAAAGAAGGTAATGTGGAGTGGGTAGCCTCCGTATTGATTAAGAAGGGGACGGACTTACCCTCCACTGTGAGTTACCTAAAGCTCGGCGTCCATGATGGTCTGCGGGGCTTCTGAGGCGATCAGGCAGCGTCAGTCTTCAGCCAGTAAGCCAAGAAGGAGTCAGTCAGAGAACCTTGGGCCAGAGTTCCAGGAGCTCTGGGAGTGGCTGCCAGGTGAGTTGAACAGTCCGATTTTCAGTGGGGTCCCACACAGATGGGACGCGGCTTAGGAGGAATCCCGGGCTGCGGGCGTTCCTTGGCCCAGTGGCCAGATTTCCGGCATGTGTAGCAAGTTCCTGGGGGAGGAGGTTCTGGAGAAACGTCTGGCTGCTACAGTTCAGGCGTTTGGAAGTTCTTGTGTGCTGGAGATGTGGCTGGGGTTTGTCTCACAGTGGAGGCAAGGAATTGCAACTTTTTTCTGTTATTTCACACCTTGAAGGTGAGGTTAATTAAGTCCTGTTGTGGGGTTTGAGGGCCAGATTCCAGTTTTTGGAGTTTTATTTAATGTCGGGAGCAGATTGGGTAATAAAATGTATATTGAGAATAAGATGGCCTTTTGACCTTTTAGGGGCTAGGGCTGTAAAGTGTCTTAGGGTTGCTGCCAAACGAGCCATGAACTGGGCTAGATTTTTATATTTGATGAAAAAGAGCCTAAACACTATCTGATTTGGGATAAAGAAAAAGGAGCATTAACCTTGACTATGCGTTTAGCTCCAGCCACCTTTTTAAGAATAAATTGCTGGGCAGGTCGGGGAGGGCTAGTCACGGAATGAAACTGTAAGCCGGAGCAGGTGTGAGGAGGGGAGGTGATAAAAAGATTATAGGGTGGAGGAGCAGAGGCTGAGGAAGAATTGGGACCTAGCTCGGCCTGGCAAGGAGCAGCCTGGGGAGGAAGGGAGAGGTCAGATGGGTCTGTAGAAAAGGAAGATTAGAAAGACTCAGTGACGCTTGGGGTTGGTACTGAGGGGACAGGCGGGAGGGAAAGAAGGAAGATTTGGGACGAGTTGCACTGGGCACAGAGACTAGGAAGGGACTGATGTGTAAAAGAATGCCTGGACGTCAGGCACCTCACACCATTTGCCCATTTTACGCCAAGAATTATTTAGATCTTGTAGGGTGGAAAAATTGAAAGTGCCATTTTCTGGCTATTTGGAACTACTGTTGAGTTTGTATTGGGGTCAAGTGGCATTGCAGAAGAAAATAAGACGCTTAGATTTTAGGTCAGGTGAGAATTGAAGAGATTTTAAGTTCTTAAGAATACATGCTAAGGGAGAAGAAAGGAATGGAAGGTGGAAGCTTGCCCATAGTGAAGGAGGCAAGCCCAGAGAAAAGAGTAGAGACACGGAGAAGGGGTGGGGGTTTCTTCCCCTCCAGAAAAGCAGAGAAAGGGTTGGGGCGCGGAAATAAGGGATTGGGGCGCAGAGATAAGAGATTGGGGCGTGGAAATAAGGGATTGGGGCACAGAGATAAGAGGTTGGGGCGTGAAAATAAGCGATTGGGGGGTTCTTGCCCCCTAGGAAAGCGGGACTTGCTGCTAAGGGTGAAGGAGAAGGGGTTGAGGGGTACTTGCCCCTGCCCCAGAAAAGCGGGACTTGCCGCTAAGGGTGAAGGAGAAGGGGTTGAGGGGTACTTGCCCCTGCCCCAGGAAAGCGGGACTTGCCGCTAAGGGTGAAGGACCAAGGCAGGCATCCCTGCGTGGTCTGAAACGTGAAATCAGAGAGGCGTCCCTGCAATGATTAAACACCAAGGGAAGACTGCCT
The DNA here is from genome assembly GCF_000001405.40 of Homo sapiens. NCBI lineage: Eukaryota > Metazoa > Chordata > Mammalia > Primates > Hominidae > Homo > Homo sapiens. The sequence goes on from NC_000003.12 coordinate 54,639,414, forward strand.
TCCCAGTCCGTGACCGGCGCCGGAGTTTTGGGTTCACGGATAAAACATGTCTCTTTTGTCTCTACCAGAGAATGAAAGGAATTGAAATTAAGAGAAGGGAGAGATTGAAGTGTGGCGCCAAGATTGAAAGGAGAAAGAGGTTGAGGGATAGTGAGGGAGGTTGGAGAACAGAGTAAAAAGAGGCCGCTTACCGGATTTGAAATTGGTGAGATGTTTCTTGGGCTGGTTGGTCTGAGGACCTGAGGTCGTAGGTGGATCTTTCTCACGGAGCAAAGAGCAGGAGGACAGGGGATTGATCTCCCAAGGGAGGTCCCCCGATCCGAGTCACGGCACCAAATTTCATGCGCGTCCGTGTGAAGAGACCACCAAACAGGCTTTGTGTGAGCAACGAGGCTGTTTATTTCACCTGGGTGCAGGCGGGCTGAGTCCGAAAAGAGAGTCAGCGAAGGGAGATAAGGGTGGGGCCGTTTTATAGGATTTGGTTAGGTAAAGGAAAATTACAGTCAAAGGGGGTTTGTTCTCTGGCGGGTAGGAGCGGGGGGTCGCAAGGTGCTCAGTGGGGGTGCTTTTTGAGCCAGGATGAGCCAGGAAAAGGACTTTCACAAGGTAATGTCATCAGTTAAGGCAAGGACTGGCCATTTACACTTCTTTTGTGGTGGAATGTCATCAGTTAAGGTGGGGCAGGGCATATTCACTTCTTTTGTGATTCTTCAGTTACTTCAGGCCATCTGGGCGTGTACGTGCATGTCATAGGGGATGCGATGGCTTGGCTTGGGCTCAGAGGCCTGACATTCCCAAAGAGAATACGAAGCTAAGTGAGGGAAGAGATTTTTTTATGTTTCATTCCTAGTGCTGTGTGGGCACTTAGCAAATAATTTTAGAACAAATGAATACACTTTGCAGATTTTAATAGAGAAGGTTTTTACTTACTGAAGGTTGAAGATTTTGTATGTGTTTCCCATCTCGCAGCATTGACATGTAATTGTAGGGATTTTAAAGGACATGGTATTACTTTCAATTGCATCATTAATAGCATTAATTAAGGGAATTTTTCACCCCGATTCCAGGGAAGGACATTCTGCTCTGGCAACCATATTCAGTCACTCTAGCTGCCTACCACTCACAAAGGCTGAGAGCTGCTAAAATCTTACATAAAGCTGAAAGTTGAAGAAGTCTAGGGTTTTACATACCAGTGAGCGCAATCTTAGAACTTCAGCATGCCATACATGCTAACGTATAAACTAATATGTAAGTTTACATGCCAACAATATAAATTTGAAATGAACCCTTATTAAGAAAATACTTGGGCTTCTCAAGTGAATTGTCATGTTACTGACTTTCTCCCTATATGCCTAAAACCTCCTTGATTTTATTATATGCTGCATTCTGTACTCATCAGATCCACCCGAACTAGCCTCATTTAGATTTTGAAAGAGATATTGTCTCTCAAGTAGCCCATTGTTTGTATAATGTGTTCCTAAAACATTTCTGTGCCAACTCCTTTGGGCTTATTTCCTAAAACACAGTCCATACCTGAAGGTAAGAGAGGTTGTGCAATCCTAGACTCTTCCTTCCCACCTCTTGTGTATTTTTTGAAATCCCCCTGTGATCTGTATTTGGATCTATTGGAAAAAAAAAAAAAAGCCAAGCTCGATGAAGTATTTAAAGATATTTATTCTGAGCCAAATATGAATGACTGTGTCCTGGGGTGCAGCCTCAAGGGGTCCTGAGAGCATATGCCTAAGTTGTGGTCATGTTACAGCTTGGTTTTATACATTTAAGGGAGACTGAAGTTACAGGCAAAGACATAATACATGTAAGGTATACATTGGTTTAGCCTGGAAAGGCAAGACATTTCAAAGGGATAGGGGACACTTACAGGTCACAGGTGGATTCAAAGATTTCTGACTGGCAGTTGGTTGAAAGAATTAAGCTTTGCATGAAGAGTTGAAGTCAGCAGAAAGAAATCCTTGAGTTAAGAGGGGTGTGGAAGCCAGGGTTTTGTTATGTAGATGAAGCCTCTAAGTGGCAGGCTTCAGAGAGAATAGATGGCAAATATCTCTTTTCAGACCTGAAAAGATGTCAAAGTCTTAGTTGAATCTCTCCTGGATTAGGAAAAGACCTAGAAAGGGAAGGAAATTCTCTAGCGAATGCAAATATCCCCCACAGGAGAAGACTTTATATGACCATTTCCAAATAAATAAATATATTTTGGAGTAAAATACCTTGATTTCCTTCAGGGCCTACTATCTGCCTTTCAGTGCTATGCCAGAGTCAGGTTGGAATTTTGTATATTATTGCTACAAAGAGTCTGTTTTGTCAGTCTTATGATTGTGGTTTTAACATTAGTGCTGATCAGTTCTCCCAAAACTCCAAAGGGAGGGGGTATAACCAGGTATGTCTGACCCTTCCCCCACTTCCTGGCATGGCCTGAAGTACTTTTTCAGATTTCTTTGGGATTCCCTTGGCCAACAGTAAGGTCTGTTCGGTTGGTTGGAGGGCTTAGAATTTTATTTTTGGCTTAAAGATCCAATTTGTCAGAGCAAATGTGGTGATCTGTGTGGAAAGACTTTTTGTATAGGTTGTTTTGGTGGTGGACAGTGTGCTGTCATTTTAAAAGGCTTCCTTAGTCCCAGGTCTCATGTCTCTGATTTTTCACTGATACACAGAATTCTCTGATATGTATACTATTTTGAACTTATTTCTTTCCCTAGTTCAACCACACGGGACAAGGAAGTATCTGCAGTCAGGCCATCATGCTCATAACTGATGGGGCGGTGGACACCTATGATACAATCTTTGCAAAATACAATTGGCCAGATCGAAAGGTAAGTTGATGCTGATCCCGTCTGTGCGGTGGACTCCTTGAGAATCTTTACTGTAATCTCCAGCTTGTCCATGAGTAAGTGCCTCATGTAGACTTAATCTCATAATGATCTGTGGTTTCTCAGCCTTGTGTTTTTTGGTTGACCAAAACTGAAGACCGGCTTTTCTTGTTTTCAAAAAATGAAACTTTTGGAGGAGAGAAGAAACTTGTAAAGACATAGTGGACGTATTCTGTGAAAAGATTCATTGTGAAGTGTGCTTCATCCATATTGGGTTGTGCTTTTCTTTATTTTTATTTGCCCTTGAGGCAGAGCTGCATGTTGGGCCCAGCATCTATACAATGGTGAAATCAGTCATGGTAGCCCTGCAGGCCTCTCCTTTACATATTGTGTTTGTATAGTTCCTCCCACGGCCCCCATTACCACCCAGAAACTTCTCTCTATCTCCCACTGCTGTTCTTCACCATTGTCAGAACTTGTCTGTTCTCTATTCTGATCCTGCCTTTGCTTTCCACGTTGACAGTTATTAACCTTTTGAGGCCATTGTGAGGTTATTAATTGACTGATACTAATATTTTTGGTGTATTCTGAGTGCCTGAACTCAGAGGTTTCTCAAGCTGTTATCTTGCCTGAGTTCCCTGGGGAGATCTTTAAAATTATGTGTATCCTACCCCACCCCTCCAGCAGCAAAATCTCTGGGGATGTGGTTCAGTAATCCATGTTTTTAACAAGTTTCTCAGTGGGCACCAGCCAGTAGACTGACAATTGGTGGTCACTGTCTCACCTAAATGGTGGAATTTTAGCAGGGAAAAGACATCAAAGTGGGTGCTCTTCTGGGGGTATCACAAAGGTGTTTTTCTACTGCATGTGCCAGTAGTGTTATCCTGACTGTCTATAGGTACACGAGTCAGTCCAGGCCAAGTCCTTACTGCTTTATCTGTTTTGCATACTTAATTTCTGGGAATTAAACACACTGGTAAAAAGAAACGGGAGACAAATGACAGCTGTGTCCTCAACTCTATCTAGGGAGCACATACTCTGAACATGAGATGGGAGGTGTCTTTCTATATTCCCTTAGTCACTGTTGGTCCACACCTATCACTGCCATCTCACCTCACCAAGTGTGAGCCTGGTCTTTAAGACTACGTACATTTTGTGCAACATGGTCCCCAAATGGGTGCCAACTCCTTCCCCTGCTATCCAGTCTTGAAAAGAGCCATCACCTCTGAAGCTGGAGAAAAAGCTGGCGGTGCTGAGCTGACTATGTGGGATTCTGAGATGTCTCCTGCCCAGAGGATATCCAGGAATAAATTTGATCAACCATAAACACTGAGTTCAGTCCAACCCTTGAAGTAGATGGAGGTTCACTCTTAGACAGGGTTATATTAGATGTCAGCAGTAGTTCATGTGGTAACTTCCAGAGACAGGTAGAGGCCAGAATTAGTTCATAATAAACATACATGATGTGAAAGGAGGAGACTGCTTGACACAGTTGCACCTCTGTAGCACACGGCCCAGTGCTGAGCGTCTGGCAGGGCCTAATGCACAGCCCTGCCAGGTGGCTGAGTGACTGAGGGTGCTAAGAGGGAGGCTCCAGTATAAGTAAACATGAGTAGGGCCATGGACATTTTGCAGCCAAATAGAATGTTCACAGATGTCATGACATCTCAAATGATGGTGAAGGATATTTTGCATTATTTAGAGCCATTTATAAAAGCAGAAGAAAGTGAAGGGGAGTTTTAATAAGCAGCTCTATGAACAGCAAGTGTTTTTTCATGTGAGTCTCACATGTTGTATCACATGAATCTTTCCCACTTGGTGACATTCAATGAATAGCATTTACCCAAGAATATTGATATTTAAATGCCCTGTCCTTACTTGTAGAGGCATAGGATGAGGGCTGCAAAGTCCTAATTCTCCAGACAAAACACAAATTTCAGTGTATCTTTCCAAATGAATAGTATTCATTTTAGGCCAGATGCGTTCTTGGATTAATTGAAACCAGAATTCTGGAAATTTCAACATTACTTAAAGCAGTTTCATCTACTTATCAAGTATTATCAAGCAGAAGTGGATTTTCTTTCTGTAGCAAAAGGGTCTTCTTTTATGATTACAAGTTAACTGCAGTCTTTCTTTCCCTCTGCCCTATTCTGGAGAGTTCCACGACATTTTTATACATATACATTCTCTTCTTTATGAACTTCCATGTGAAGGTGCAGGTAATCAACTCGCATAAAAACCGAATACGATTCAGCATTGTGTTAAAGTGAGATGATGAGCAATGTCTGAGCAGTCATCTTTCTCCATTATTTTGAATGTTAGCTATTCAGTAGAGAGTTGTGCCATGTTGTAATTGACAATCTTCAAGATTGTAAAAATGGGAAATGGGTTCAGGACAGAAAAAAATGATCTCAAGGCTGGAATGTGATTCCCATAAAACAGTAGTTCTCAAACTTGAGTGAGCTTCGGGATCACCCGAGGGCTTGTTCCTCTACAACTTCTGATGCAGTAGATCTGAGTGAGGCTGAGAGTTTGCATTTCTAACTAGTTCCTGAGTGCTGCGGAGGCTGCTGGTGGGGAACCACACTTGTGGAACTACTGCCACAAGAAATAGCCTGAAGAATAGGGTTTAGATACTCTGCAGGCTTTGCCATATTGCTGCCGTCTATTGACTTTTACAAGGACTCATTTCCTCAGTTGAATTCACTGCACAGGTTTGTGTTTCTTGGTTCATATTCTGTCTTAAAAACTGTCAATTACCAATCAACATTAAAAGTCAAGATATTTGTATTAGTCCATTTTCACACTGCTATAAAGAACTGCCTGAGAGTGGGTAATTTATAAAGAAAAGAGGTTTAATTGACTCACAATTGTGCATGGCTGGGAGGCCTCAGGAAACTTACAATCATGGCAGAAGGGGAAGCAGGCACATCTTACATGGCGGCAGGTAAGAGAGTGAGTGAAGGGGAAAGAGCCTCTTATGAAACCATTAAATCTCATGAGAACTCATTCACTATCATGAGAACTGCATGGGGGAGACCACTCCCATAATCCAATCACCTCCCACCAGGTAGCTCCCTCAACATCTGGGGATTACAATTCAAGATGAGATTTGGGTGGGGACACAGAGCCAAACCATATCGTTATTCTATAAAATTTTAGAGTTGTAGTTTCTCTCATAATAGGTTACACCTGGCAGTTTGGGTCCAACATTCCTATATGACAAGGCCGCTGCTGGCGCTGAGCAGCAGCTGTCCCCATTAGGCAGCAAATGCATGCTTCCTTTGGACATGACCCTCATCACCACTCTTCATTTCCTCTCAGCCCACTTCACTCATATGGTTTCCCTCCCACAGGTGTGGAGTTCCTGACCACTGCTCTAGGGGAACAGGTACTTGCTGTTCCCCAGCCTCCGGGGATTTGTTCCCTTCTCTTAGGTTTGCCCGGAGCCTTCCCTCTTCTTCTCCAGCCAGAGGCCATTTGTCCTTGCCTGAGCCCTAAACTCAAAACTCCCTAGGAACTGTCTTAAGGAAGTATAGCTTTGTGTCCAATACAAATATTGTTTCTGGACCTGTCTTTCATCTTCATTCTTTGGTGAGTCCAAGAGAGCAGGTTCTCTACTTCTGAGCAATCCTACTGCCTTTCACTATATCCCATCCTGCCAAGAAGTGTGGTGTAGAGGGCCTAGGGTACCTGCCTGAGCCCTTCCCCCTAGTGTTTATGTCCTGTGTAATCTCTTTACCTTCTGTGTGGGCAGGACCTGTGGCTTGCTTTTAACCAATGGAATCTCGTATAGGTGAAGGGTTTTGTTTCAAGTCAGTTGATTTTTGAGTTAATCAGAAGGGATATCCTGGGTGGGCAGGTTTTCCTTCCTTCCTTCCTTCCTTTCTTCCTTCCTTCCTTCCTTCCTTCCCTCCCTCCCTCCCTCCCTCCCTCCCTCCCTCCCTCCTTCCTTGCTTCCTTCCTTCCTTCCTTCCTTCCTTCCTTCCTTCCTTCCTTCCTTCCTTCCTCTCTCTCTCTCAATCTTTTAAGTTCTGGGATATATGTGCAGGTTGTGCAGGTTTTTTACATAGGTAAACATGTGCCATGGTGGTTTACTGCACAGATCATTCTGTTACCCAGGTATTAAGCCCAGCATCCATTAGCTATTCTTCCTGATGCTCTCTCACCCCACAAAGGTGCCCCAGTATGTGTTGTTTGCCCCCATGTGTCCATGTGTTCTCATCATTTAGGTCCCACTTATAAGTGGGAACATGTGGTTTGGTTTTCTGTTCCTGCATTAGTTTGCTGAGGATAATGGCTTCCAACTCTAACCATGTCCCTCCAAAGGACATGATCTTTTTCCTTTTTATGGCTGCACAGTGGTATATGTGGTATGTGTGGTATATGTACCACATTTTCTGTATCCAGTCTATCACTGATGGGCATTTAGGTCAATTCCATGACTTTGCTATTGTAAATAGTGCTGCAGTGAACATACACATGCATGTTATCTTTATAATAGAATGATTTATATTCCTTTGGGCATATACCCAGTAATGGGATTGCTGGGTCAAATGGTATTTCTGCCTCTCTAGCTCCTTGAGGAATAACCACACGGTCTTCCACAATGGTTGAACTAATTTACACTCCTGGGTGGGCCTTATTTAATTGAGAATCCTGGAAAGAGGGACTGGACCCTCCACAAGGGCAGAGAGACTCTCCCTGATGGTGTGATGAAGCCTTTATGGCCAGAAACTACAGGCAGCCTTGAATGTGAGAGTGGCTTCCAGCTGACAGCCAGAAAAAGGCTGGACCCTCAGTCTTACAGCAAAAAGAAATGAATTCTGCCAACAATCTAGGTGAGCTTGGAGGCAGATTCTTCCCCAGTCAAGCCTGCAGATGAAAACACAGCCCAGTTAGCACCTCGATTGTAGACTTGTAGGATCATGAGCAGAGGACCCAGCTTGTTTGTGCCCCAACTCCTGACCCACAAAAACTGTGAGATAATAATAACTGTTCTGTTTTAAGCCACTACATTTATGATCATTTGTTATGTAGCAGTAGAAAACTAACACAAGAAGCAAGGAGAAGGGAGAAAGGGAAGGAAATTACTTACCTAGCAATGCTATAAAGCATCCGCAAGCCTAGTGGCTTAAAATAACAATAATTTATTATTTCTTGTGATTCTATGGGTTAACTAGGTGGTGGTTCTGTTTCACATGGTATCAGGTGGGGTCCCTGGTGAAGCTAGGAGCTTGACTGTCTGCCTCAGTTCTCCTCTCCATGGGCTTTCTCTCCACGTGGTGTCTCATCTTCCAAGGCAACCCTGTGTGTCCACTGTCCTCAGTACAGTAGCCTGGATTACCTTACAGTGTAGCAGCTGGGTTCCAAGAAAGGGAAAGCAGAAGGAAGTTGGGGAACAGACCAGGGGGGGCATTTGTGAGTGTCATTTGTAAAAGCTGCCTACCATCCAACAGGGCCTTGCTCCAAGCAACTGCTTAATAAAGCATTTTAGAGTGAGTTGGAAGAAGGAATGCATTATTGGTGATTTTAACTGTGAGCCTATGAAGGCAGCATCATGATTGCTTATGCAATGTGTCCCTTGCCAGTATTTCATTTCTGAGAGCAGAAATGAGGAGCTATTTATTCATTTATTGGATGCCATTTACTTTTGCCTAATATCCATTGGTTATGACTTAACAGCAGCTCTTACACACTTGGAATAAAATATGAACTCCAATATGAGAGGAACTCATTCCAGGACCTGCTCAGGAAATAAAGCTGCATTCACTTTATGTAGCTGCTTTTCCAAGTGAACTAAAAAAAAGGAAAAGTCATGGAATTATTTATCATTACCTCCCCCTTGTTGCACAAGACAGAGAAGCAATGGCTGGATAGGTAAGAAAATGATTAGCCAGGTTATTTAAAGGAGAGGTTGACAAACTGTGGTCCATGTGCCAAATCTGGCCCATTGCCTGCTTTTGCAGCTTATGAGTTACGAATGATTTTCACATTTTTAAATGTTCAAAGAAACAGTATTTCATGGCATGAGAACATTATATAGAATTCAAATTTCAGTGTCCACAAGTAAGGTATTATTTTGACATAGCCACACCCATTTGTTTACTATTGTCTATGGCTGATGGCAGAATTCAGTAGTTGTGACAAAGACCAGATGGCCCGTGAAGCCTGAAAAATTTACTATCAAGCCCTTTAAGAATATGGTTTCCCACCACTAATCTAAAGGAACCTTTTAAAAATTTAGACCAACCAGCATATTGCTGAAAGTCATTGAGATACCCTCAGAATTTCATGGCTCTGCTGAATTCAACAGAAGATGGTAATGACGGTTTTTCCCTATTTTTCCACTGCTTTTTTCTACTTGAATACATGATTGTGTTAGTCCATTCTGCGTTAGCATAAAGGAACACCTGCGGTTGGGTAATTTATAAAGAAAAGAGGTGTATATGGCACGTGGATCTGCTGGATGTACAAGAAATATGGTGCCAGCACCTGCTCTGCTTCTGTTGAGGGCCTCATGCTGTTTCCACTAATGGCAGAAGGTGAAGGAGGAGCAGGTATGTCACATGGTGAGAGAGGAGGAGGTAAGAGAGAGAAAAGGGGTAGGGCCAGGCTGTTTTTAGTGATCGGCTCTCACATGAACTATTAGAATGATAACTCAGTCATTACCATGGGGCAGCACCAAGCCAATCATGGAGGATCCAACCCCATGACCCAAACACCTCCCACCAGGTCCCACGTCCAACATTGGTGGTCAAATTCCAACATGAGATTTGTAGGGGCAAACATCCAAACTATATCAGTTACACTAGCCAGATAATAAATGGTGGAGGGCTGGGAGACTTGATGCCGAATACTCCTTTTCATGCTGGAGCTTCTCTTACCAAAATGTTTAGCGGCCCTTTCTCCTTTTCCCTCTCTCCTTGCTTCTTCATCAGTGCTACCATCAAGACTGGGATATCTTACATGGTAATGGGGTTGCTTAGAGGTAGAGTAGGCTGCCAGGCTGCCCAGCCTTGGCCTGGAATGTTGAAATGTAGGGTCTTTATAAATGCTAGACTTGACTGCCCCTTGAACCTGGTTTTGGTGGTGACATGGACACAGGACAGAATTTCACAGCTTTCAGGTCACTGTGGTAACAGGGAACAAACACCCTGGAGAGAAATTAGGCTCCCTCTACAGAGGCTCGGGAAATCAGAGACTCCCTATCTCAGTCAGCTTGCGCTGCTATGACAAAATATCAATGACTGGGTGGCTTATAAACAACAGGAATTTATTGCTCACAGTCCTGGAGGCTGGAAGTCTGAGATCAGGGTGCCAGCATGGTACAGTTCTTTTTGAGGCCCCTCTTTTGGGTTGTAAACTGCTGCCTTCTCTTGGTATCCTCACCTGGCATTGAGTCAAATGAGGAAGCAAGCTCTCTCATGAGTCTTATAAGGACACTAATCCCATTCATGAGGGCTCCACCCTTATGACCTCATCTAATCCTAATTACTTCCCAAAGGCCCCAACTCCTAATACCATAACAATGCAGGCTAGGATTTCAACATAAGAATCTTTGGGAGACACATTCAGTCCATAACACTGTCTGTTCCTGTGGGGGCAGAGTTGACCTATCCATAAATTAACAACCCTTATTTTGCCTTGTGTTACACTTTAGGGAGTGAGGATTTGGCCTGTAACTGTCAAATAACAGAGCCCATCCTAACTGCTTCTACTGTGGGTAAAATAATGACATACTGCCTAGGTGTGCAGGTGGATGGTGACCCATCTACACCTGTTAGATGTCACTGCATGAACTGACCCTCACCTGGTTGTGTTTTGAGCCACAGAAGCAGTACTAGAATGTTCTACTTCGTCTTCATTTCCCTGAACCTGAATTTTCCTCAGTGAGCTAATTTTTTTTTTTAGGGTGATATTTCAAACAATTGTAGGGTAGCTTGTTTTTTTGTTTTTTGTTTTTGTTTGTTTGTTTGAGACGGAGTCTTGCTCTGTCACCCAGGCTGGAGTGCAGTGGTGTGATCTTGGCTAACTGCAACCTCCGCCTCCCGGGTTCAAGTGGTTACTCATGCCTCAGCCTCCCGAGTAGCTAGGATTACAGTCAGGCACCACCACACCTGGCTAATTTTCTTTATTTTTAAACAGAGTCTTGCTGTGTTGCCCAGGCTGGAGTGTAGTGGTGCATGTTCTTGACTCACTGCAACCTCCGCCTCCTGGGTTCAAGTGATTCTTCTGCCTCAGCCTCCCCAGTAGCTGGGATTACACGTGTGTGCCACCACACCCAGCTAATTTTTATATTTTTTAGTAGAGATGAGGTTTCACCATATTAGCCAGGCTGGTCTTGAACTTCTGACGTCAAGTGATCCACCTGCCTCGGCCTCCCAAAGTGCTACAATTATAGGTGTGAACTACCGTGCCAGGCCTACTTTTTGTATTTTTTATAGAGCTGGGGTTTCACCTTGTTGGCCAGGCTGGTTTCGAACTCCTGGCCTCAAGTGTTCTACCTGCCTCAGTCTCCCAAAGTGCTGGGATTACAGGCCTGAGCCACTGTGCCTGGCCCTCAGTGAGAGAATGTTTTAAACCAATTTCTTATACCCCAATTTATAAACCAATACTAATGATAGCTAATTCCTACTGAATGCTGAGTGTCAGAGACTGTTCTAAATGCTCCGTGTGTATCTAATTCTCACAGAAACCTCATGAGAAGTATACTATCGTTATCCCCTTTCACAGTTGAGGAAACTGAGGCATGAAGAGGCTACATTCAGGATTCCCTGACTAGCATTTGGTGGACCTGAAATGACCACTCCAGCACTCAAATGCTGAGCCTAGACCCTTAACCAGGATGCAGACATCTTGAGAACAAAACAAGGTAAAATGACCATAGGTCAGAGGAAGAGCTGTCCACACTCTATACATTGTCATCGGGACAGTAAGTCCTTTTCCTTGGCCTCCTGCCCCCAAGTACAGGAGGGTCTGCAGAATGTCAGGAACTCGTTGATCTTAGATTAGAACCCACTGGGGCTACAGTCAGAGAGCAGGAGAACAGCAAATTGTGGGGCCTCAGGATGAGGCTCTCTAGATGTGATTAAATGATTTTCCTCTTCTAAAAGGACAGGAGAACTTCAAGATGAGTGCGATTTCCGTGCTGTGTACTGTGCGTTTTATCTTCAGTTATCTCGAGAAAAAAAAAAAAAAAAGCAAGGATGGTAGCTTTGAGGCCATGTGAGAGGCTCAGGGCTGCTGGAGGATCCTTGGTAGCCTGGTGAGGACTGCAAGGAGGGCAGAAGCAGCTCTTGGTTTGAGGGTAAAGGGATGCCCTTGATCATGGAATGGCTTAGGGGACCTGGCTCAGGGCACTTTTGGAACTCTGTTGGAAGTGACTGTCCTTTGGGCTGGTGTCACATGCATCTTCGAGGAGGGGCTGGCTTGGGGATTTTGTGCCCCAAGCCTCCCCCGTGCTATAACTTGGAGGATAAAGCCTCAAGCCAGCCTTGCCCCAGTGGCCTCCGGGGTGCTGAAAGGCTTAGCTTTACCGTGGCGCCTCTGAGGGGGTTTTGTAAAGCTCAGGAATCCCCTCTTCTCCTGATAGTTCTGTGGGGCATGTGCCATTCTGAGGGCCAGAGTTCCTGAGCTGATTCAGGGATTATTCTTTTAAGAACCCAACCCTTCACTCATCTTAAGCAATTTGGAAGGGATGTTTTGTTCTTTCTTCCCCACTAAACTGCATTGTTCTCTTCTCTGACTTTAAAATCATTTTACAAAGCATTTTCTTTGCCTCCCTTTGACTGGTTGAGAGGAGAAGGGATTTGCCCAACTCCACAGGCAACTTGGAAAGGCGTTAAGATCATACTGTGCCCAGAGAAGCCTCACAAAATAAATGCTCCACCCACCCCCTAGCCTCCACACGACCGTCACTCTGGCTGTCTGTATTCTTCATCCCATAGGACTGGATTAATAAGGGATGTTGAAGGTGGCAAACGTTGCTGGCAGCGGAAAAAAAGGGAAGGAGGTAGCTGTCTTAGGGTAATGCATTCATGCAACAGGTATTTATTGAGGGCCCGCTGTGTCTCGCAGTCCATTGTAATGGAGCCCAGGAGTAGGGGGCTAAGACACCTCCAATGAGATCACATAGAGCAGATAACAGATCACAGGTAACCAGCAAATGAAAAGACCAAATCATTTAATCATAAGTCTTCTGAACAAGACAAACAAGAACCTGAGACAGAGAATGGGTAATGGCAGCTCTCCTAGACAGGGTGGCCAAGACGAGCCTCTTGGAGGAGAGCATGTGTGAGGGAGAGGAGCTGGGTGGGGAAGGCATTCATGGCAGAGGGAACAGTACTTCAGAAGCCCTGGGTAGGAAAAGGTGGATGTGTATGAGGAGCAGGAGGAAGTGCAGGTGGCTGGAGCCCAGTGGACATGGGAACAGGGTGATAGGAAGGCTGGCAGCACAGGCAGCAGCCAACTTCTCTGGGCTTCAGTGGGCACAGTGAGATGTTGGGATGTGATCCAAGGGGTTGGTGAGGAGCCATGGGAGGCTTTTTTTTTTTTTTTTTGAGACCGAGTTTCGCTGTGTCACCCGGGCTGGAGTGTAGTTGCGTAATCATGGCTCACTGTAACCTCCGCCTCCTGGATTCAAGTGATTCTCCTGTCTCAGCCTCCCAAGTAGCTGGGATGATAGGCGCACACCACCACACCCGGCTAATTTTTGTATTTTTAGTAGAGATGGGGTTTCATCATGTTGGTCAGGCTGGTCTTGAACTCCTGACCTCAAGTGATCCACCTGCCTTGGTCTCCCAAAGTGCTGAGATTACAGGCATGAGCCACCGTGCCGGACATATGGGAGGCTTTTGAATGGAGAGGAGTGAACTGACTGTTTTCAGAAGGGCTCTCTGGCAACTGTATAGGGAATTGTCCTAGGAGACATGGACTTGGGCTGCATGTACCGATGGTATTAACTCTCCTCATCACACCTGATTAAAAAGGGTGGGGAGTGTAGGTAGTAGACCTTTTCACTTCTGTGAATGCTCCAAGATGCTCCTATTTCTCACTGCTGTTTCATTCCAGGGGTCTCTTGGGTGCTGACATTTCTCTCTTCTCTTTTTCCCTCCTTTCCTCTTTCTCTTTCTTTCTCCTTCCCTGGCTGAAGTCACATTTGGTCCAAAAGTTTTGAGTGAGTTTGAGTCATTGCTGTGTTTCTTCAAGGGTGATAAATCCTAAAGCTATCTCAGGAAAATAGGAACACTCATTTCTCATGGTCAGTCAACAGCATGACAGGAAAAGGCATTTTCAGTCACTGGGGTGAGAGCTCACGCAGGCCCTCCCTGCAGCTGAAGGGAGAGTTGAGATGGTTCATTGTCTCTGGTTTAATTACTTCTGCTGGTATTAGACATCTTGTGACTCCAGCAAGAAGAACATGACAAGACAAGTTAGGAACGAAGCCACTGATGCACGGCTGCTGCCAGCCATTGAAAAATCACTTCATGTCAGGGGCCCACGACAGATGCATGGTACTTCCCCTGTGGTGGAAACTGTGGTTTCTCTTCCTGGGTGTGGCACTGGGGCCTTGGGCTCCATCCAGGTGCTGCGGACCTCAGAAAGCAGGTGGGAGGACAGTGTACATTCTCTCCAGGTGACCTCCACCATCCTCTAGTAAATGGCTATCTAGGTAGCCACTCTTAAGGGAATCCTCTCCTCTGCTGGTGTTGGGGAAGAGTCAAACTGTTACCTTAGTTCACTGTGTAATGCTTAGCCCCACCCAATGGGGAGCACTTCTAGTAGCATTCTTATTTTGCAGGTGAGAGAGCTCAGAGGATTTAAGTCCCTTGCCACTGAGCCCACAGCAATGAAACTGGAAGTCTCCAGTTTCAACCCATATCCAGCTGTCTCCATATCTACTACTCTTAAATTGTAGCACATTGGAGTCACCGAGGGGTTGGCAGTGGGGGGTCTTGCCAAAAGTGATTCGTGGGCTCCATTTTCTGCAGGCAGAACCCCAGAATCTGTGTTCATAGGTGGCTCATAGATCATATTTTGGGGTTTTGAGGGGGTTAGGGTGCCCTCCGGGGCTTGGCAAAGAGTGTTTCTGCAAGCCAGAGCATGTCCAGAAGTGCCACTCAGTGTGGTTGTATTCCCAGTGAATTGGACAGGAATCAGGGACAGGCATCTACCAGTTATTTGAACAGAGAGAATTTAATGTTAAAAATTGCAAATCTAGTATTGATGAGATGAAAGGACAAAAGATAACTCTAGGTTTTCTTGGAAGTAGCAACTGCAGGCAACAGCCACCACCTCAATAGTTCGTATGGGAGGAGGGGCAGAGGAAAGAAAGAGGTTACTAAAATTTAGAAGCTTGGGGGAGAAGCTCTATCAGGCTGGGACCCGGACCTCTGGCAAGGGCATGCCGGCGGGCAAGTGCTAAGGTCTCTGAGCTCACAGGAGGGTCCTGTGGGGATGCGAATCAGACTTTTTAGGAGGGAGTTCTGGGGTCTCTGAAGGAGATGCAATGAGACTGATTCTGTGAATGCTGGCGAGCTACCACCTAGGTTAATTTACTGCTACTGGAATGAGCTGTCCTTGCTGGAGTGAAGAAACCCTGCTAGGATGAAGGCGTTGGGAATGAGAATCCAATGGGAAGCAAACAGGAAGATCCCTCTCCCTCCTCCATGGATGCAACATCCTCCTATTGACCTTATTGGCCAGACCAGGCAGACCCTAGCCAGGAATAGCTGACAAAGCAGAAACGTGGTTTGCAGAGCCCCAGCGCCAGTCCCAAGCTGGGGGCCCAGCCTCACAGAGCCCAATCCAACGTGTGCTTGGTGCTGGACATGTTAGCTTATTGGCTGGAATACCCAGTAATGACTGGAAGCTTGCTGCATGAATTCTGTATTATTTGCAATCTACTGATATGTCAAGTTCTTATTTCCTAGGTTTTTATTTCTCTTGGACTATTGAGTAGGGCTCTTGGGGGTGTGGGTGGGAGCGCAGTGCTGCCTAATGGAAAAAGGGTAGTGTCTGGATGCTGACAACTCAATTTCTCCATCTGTAAAATGGGGCTAATTATACATATCTGGCAGTATTATTAAGAATTAAACAAAATGTTGCGCTCCCAAGCTCAGTGCTGGGCACACAGCAGGCACAGTACACAATGGCTATATCATTATCATCGTTACCATAATTTTCAACCACTCGCATTGTTAAAATCCGTCTGCTGTAGTTAAAACATAGTTGTACTGGATGGATTTGGATGTGGGAAATAGAAAGTGCTCTTTTATCCTGAATATGGATTAATCTTGTGTGCTGTTGTGGTTGACTTAGAAGAAGATTAAAGTATTCTACTGCATTTCCAAAACATACCCAGGTTTTTCTTTATCACCTATTTCACGAATAAATATATGTGCATTATCCATTTTACCTGAACTCCTGGTATCTATCAAAATATACTGAGAAATATTTGACCAGTTGGTATCATTAATTAATGATAAGTAGTAGCTAATGTTCATCAATTCAAATGAGATGAGTTTCAAGAAACAAGAGCCTGTCTGTATTAGTGAAATATAAAAAGGAGGTTTGAAAAGTAGTGTCACTTTTATATTATTTGTCCATTTTCTAGAGTAGTGGTCAAGGCTCAGACTACCTGGGTGGGTATCTAGGCTTTACTGTTTCTGATCTGAGTGACTTCAGGCAAGTGATTTCCTCTCCTTGTGCTGTGGTTCCCTCATTTAGAAAATAGGAGACAAGAACCATGTCCCCATCTTGCAGGGTTGTTTTTGGGCAGATTAGTAGTGCCCAGTGTCTACTGAGTCCTTGAGGGGAGGCAAGTGCACAGTGAACATTAGCAATGGAGAAGATTATGGTCCATGGGACCCTGGACCAGGATCAGCAGGTGCCTCTGAGTAGGCATCCTTAGGCAGCCTGTGCTGCTATGAACACAGAGAGGATACAGACTTGGCATGGTAGATTTGGGAATGTGTATGGCCTGATGATTGGTTTTCAAAGCACTTAATTCTCCGAAGTGACCTTGCATTATTTTCTTATCTCATTCACTCCCTTGGCAAAACTCTCCCAGTAAGTGGTTGGATGGGAAGTCTCCCAGCAGCCTGTTTGTGAGAGACCATAGACTGTGAACTGGCTGGGACCCCAGTGAATGGCGGTCCCCTCCAACAGAGGCTGCTGGTCTCTGGCAGTCAGAAACTGCCCAGTGGCATCCCAGGAGAGCCAGCCTGGCTGAGCCCCATCCTGCCTGTCCATGAACTCATCGGGCGAGCTGTGCCCACTTTCCTGCCATTTCCTTTGTAGGATAGGCCAAGAAGGGGAGCTGAGCAGCACTGAGAAGAGAGCAGGGCAGCCTCTCCCAGCTAGGAAAAGTGCCCAGTGTGCAGAAAATTAGGGGCCCACAGGCCTGGCAGCCAGCTGTGCTTCCCCACTCCCTGACACCCTGCTACCTGCACACAAGGTGCAATCAAATCGCATGACTTCCCAATTCTCAGATGGATTTGTTTTACCAGAAGCAGGCAGGCACCCTGGCCTGTTCTCCACACAGCAGCAGAGTAACCCTTCCCCCTTCCCCAGTTAGAATTGGTACACAAAAATTGCACATAATTATACAGTTGGTGCATGCGGATGTATGTATATGCTCATGTTATGATCACAGTTTCATGCGCGTCCGTGTGAAGAAACCACCAAACAGGCTTTGTGTGAGCAACATGGCTGTTTATTTCACCTGGGTGCAGGTGGGCTGAGTCCGAAAAGAGTCAGCCAAGGGAGATAGGGGTGGGGCTGTTTTATAGGATTTGGGTAGGTAAAGGAAAAAGGGGGGTTGTTCTCTGGCGGGCAGGAGTGGGGGGTCACAGGGTACTCAGTGGGGGAGCTTTTGAGCCAGGATGAGCCAGGAGAAGGAATTTCACAAGACAATGTCTTCAGTTAAGGCAGGAATAGGCCATTTTCACTTTTGTGGTGGAATGTCATCAGTTAAGGCAGGAACCCGCGGTCTGGATGTGTACGTGCAGGTCACAGGGGATATGATGGCTTAGCTTGGGCTCAGAGGCCTGACACACAGCCCAGGTGATAAACATATTTATCACCTCCAAACATTTCCTTGTGTCCCTTCTTTTTTGTTTTGTTTTTGTGATTAGAACACTTAACGTGAGATCTAATCTCTTACCAATTTTTTGGGTGCATAGTACCATATTGTTAACTATAGGCACAATGTTATACAGCAGATCACTGGAACTTTCTCATCTTGTATAACGGTAACTTTATACACATTCAACAACAGCTCCCATGATCTCTCTCCCTGCCGGCCCCTAGTAGCCACCATTTTGTTATCTACTTGTATACCTCTGACTATTTTAGATGCCAGGTAGATGAGAAATTCATCACAGTATTTGTCCTGTGACTAACTTATTTCACTTTGCATAATGTCTTCCAGGTCCATCCATGTTGTAAATGGTAGGATTTCCTTCTTTCCAAGGCTGGGTAAGATTCCATTGTATGTATATAAGGTCAGGTGCAGTGGCTCACACCTGTAATCCCAGCACTTTGGGAGGCCGAGGCAGGTGGATCATTTGAGGTCAGGAGTTTGAGACCAGCCTAGCCAACATGGTGAAACCCCGTCTCTACTAAAAATACAAAAATTAGCCTGGCATGGTGGCACATGCCTGTAATCCCAGCTACTCAGGAGACTCAAGCGGGAGACTGGGAGGTGGAAGTTGCAATGAGCTGAGATTGCACCACTGCTTTCCTGCCTGAGCAACAGAGTGAGTGAGACTCTGTCTCAAAAAAGAAAAAAGAAATTATATTGTATGTGTACACTACATTTTCTTTATCCATTCAGTTGCCAATGGACATTGCATTGTTTCCATATCTGGGCTGTTGTGAATAGTGCTGCAGTGAACATGGGTATACAGATAACCTCTTTGAGACAGTGATTTTATTTTCTTTGGACATATACCAAGAAGTGGGATTGCTGGATTATATGGCAGTTTTATTTTTTAATGTTTTGAGGAATCTCCATACTGTTTTCATAATGGCTGTACCAACTTATATTTCACCAACAGGGCACAAGTGTTCTTCCTTTTTCTCATCAACACTTGTTATATTTTGTCTTTTTGGTAATAGCCATCCTAACAGGTGTCAGATGGTATCTCATTGTGGTTTTGATTTGCATTTCCCTGATGATGAACAATGTTGAGCAGCTTTCCATTTACCTGTTGACCATTTGTATATCTTCTCTGGAGAAATGCCTATTCAGGTTCTTTGCCCATTTTTAAAATCAGGTTATTTGTTTGCTATTTTTAGGAATCTCTTATGTTTTGGAAATTAAACCCGTATCAGATAAATGGTTTATAAATGATTTCTTGGAGATGACACCAGAAGCATAAGCAACAAAAACAAAAAATAGATAAATGGGACTACACCAAACTAAGAAGCTTCTGCACAGCAACGGATACAATCAGCAGAGTAAAGAGGAAACCTATGGGATGGGAGAAAGACACTTTGAAAACTGGAGGCTTCTGGTACCAAAGATCCCCCCAAACCTCCACTCACTCCCCGCTCAGTGCAGAGTTTAAGCCAATGTCTTGGTGGGAGTCAGCAAGGCCTGGTGTGATGGGTGCCTGTTCCCTGCCTTCCTCTCAACTGCTGCCCCCTCATGCCCTCTGCGCAGCCCACTGTTCTCAGGCATGCAAGATACACAACTACTTTGGGGTCTTTGTGCTTCCTGTTCCCTCTCTCTGGGGCACTTTGCCCCCAGATTGCCACATTGACTTACTCTAACTTCCTTCATGTCTTTTGCTTAGGTACTACTTTTTCAATGAGCTCTATCCTACTAGATTTAAAGTTGTCCCCTGTCCCCTGATCTCCAGCTATCTTAGTCAGTGCTTTTCTTTTACTGATAGCACCTTTCATCTTGTAAAAAATTAGATAAATAACACAAGGAAGTAAATTTTTGTTATGTCATCTGCTAGAAGCAGAACACTTTGTGAGCTGGGCACTGCGTTTGTTTTCTCCGAAGTGCCCAGAGTGGTGCCTGGCACACAGTGTGCGTTCAGGGAGCCTTTGGCAGGAGGGTGTGAATGCCTGCTGAGCACTTTGCTGCATTTCCTATGAGCATCACTTCATTGATACTCCCAGCACTTTTATGATACAGATATTTATAGTATATCCCTTTTGTAAGTGAGAAAACTGAGTTGAGAGCAGGTTAAGTAACTTGACTCCAAAGCCCATACCTTTCACCTGATCCCCAGTTCCTCCTCCTCCTCTGAATCTCTGGGGGTAGACAGAGATCATATAAGTCTGCCTACGGCTTCCCTGTTGAGCTTCCTTGGGAATGCAGAGAGCATCCAGGGACCTGGGGAGTGTTGCCAAGAAGCGTGTCCTGAATTTTGAATGGTGCTGGATGAACTTTCAGGAAAACTGCCACGGGGACAGAGAGAGTGACCTTGGACAGGAAAGGCTTTCAGGTGGTAGAATTTCCTTGCACCTTGAACATCTTTGTAGTACGTAAAGCAGTGGTGATGATTGCTGTCATTTATCTCTGCGGTGTTTGTCTTCTTTAGTAAACAACAAGATCAGTTCCTGTTTTGTTCTCCCCCAGAGCTTAGTGCCTGGCACAGTGCTAGATGCCTAGGTGGTGCTCAGTAAACATTTGTGGAAGAAGATCAGAACAAGCAGATTTAGGCCAAAGCATGGTGTCTGCATCCTCCCTGCAAATCCCCAACTGCTTTGTGTATTTAATGGCATAGGCAGACAAAATAATGACTTACCCTTTGAAGTCAATCCTGACAACCCAAAGGGAATGATTCCCAACTCAAAACCTGACCGTGAGCCTTGCATCTCCTAGTACTGAATACTTTTTCCATGTCATTGGGTCCTCATCAGAGAGGAGCCTTTTGGTTTCTTTTTTTTTTTTTCTTTTTATTTTTTTTTATTTTTGAGACAGAGTCTTGCTCTGTCGCCCAGGCTGGAGTGCAGTGGCACCATCTTGGCTCACTGCAAGCTCCGCCTCCCAAGTTCAGGCCATTCTTCTGCCTCAGCCTCCTGAGTAGCTGGGACTACAGGCGCCCACCACCATGCCCGGCTAATTTTTTGTATTTTTAGTAGAGACGGGGTTTCACCGTATTAGCCAGGGTGGTCTCGATCTCCTGACCTTGTGATCCACCCGCCTCGGCCTCCCAAAGTGCTGGGATTACAGGCGTGAGCCACCGCACCCGGCTGCTTTCTAAGCTAACTTTATTGGTAGAGAAATCACCTTTACACCTCATAAATGAAGCTCCTTCTTCCTGTAGATTTTGGGAAATCCTGTATTCTCAGTAGGCTGGCCCTTACATTCTCTCTTCAAACATCTGGAGATAAAACCTGAGGCTCCCAATGCCAAATGGTTTTGGCCATCAACAGATTATCTGCCCTACTTACCTTACCTTAATCATTTCCATAAAAATATGAAGGGAGGAGATTTATAGGGCTTAGTGAACATGTTCCATTACTGCAGCCCAGCACGCCAGGCCCTGGCTCCTCTCAGACCCTTCTCTCGGCCCAGAGCCTCCCACAAGAGCCTTTGTGCTCCCTCCCTCCCAAGATCTCCACGTGAAAGTGGAGCTCGGTTCATTGTTTGCTCATTCCTAATGTAAAAATAGATTTTGTTCTATTCTGCTCACTCCTCGGGGATTCCTATCTAGAAAAGAAAACAGCTGAGGTTGGTGACTGATGGGCCTCTTTGGGGGAGGCTTGTAAGAGCTGCATGTTAACTGTCCAGAGTGAATCCTGCTGCCTGCCGCTTGCCGAGCCTTATTGGGAAGCAAAGAGGCCCATGTGGAAATCTGTGCTGGAATGCGAACTGAAAGTAAGATGTCGAGGGAGGATTAGCCAAATGGCCAGGAAGGCTTCTGAGGCCCCACCAGAACCCTGGAACAGATTTCCAAGGTGCACTTGGATCTGGAGAGGGTCAGCCTGGCTGGGGGACAAGTGTCTAGAGCCTTCTAGGTCAAAGCCTGAATTTTTAGCCCTTTCAACCCTTACTTCTATGAATCGGACCCTCAAAGCCCATGGAAACTTTAGGGTTTTTAAGATTTGGATCACTTTAATTTTGCTTTCAGATGATGTGTTTCTATGCCTCAATGGGACAGAAACAAAAACTAACGGTTTTAGAATTTCAAAGAAGACTGTTCTGGTTCAGAACTCCAAATGTCTGTGTGAGCCAAGGACATACTTATTGAAATGTGTTTCGTCTCCACAGAATAATTACCTTAACCCTCCTAAAGTACTGACTCTTTCCCTTCCTCTTGACTTAGGAAAGGGGCTATATGCTCTCTTCATTAAACAAAACTACAGGTACATTAAAAAAATCCAGAGAGAGTCATCTTAAGCTAGGGATTGACAGCTGGCTCACTAACATCAGGAAAAAGGGGTGGGGTGCAGATGCTGGGGTGTGGATCTCTGCTTCCACCTCTTGTAAGCAGAACACTTAAAGATTCCCAGTTTCCTCTTGCTGCAATAGATTCACCAGAGGTGGTAAAAGGCTGACTTAGCAGTCTCTCCAGGCTCTCAAGAAAATCCCAGAGGAACAGCCCTATGGTTCACACAGACATCTCAGGGATGTGTGTATGTGTGTGTGTGTGTGTGTGTGTGTGTGTGTGTGTGTGTGTGTGTTAAAAAGATAACTCCACATCTTCAGTGAAATATCCCCCCTGGATCACCACTTCTTTTCCTGCTACAGGCTTTCATAGTACCTGCTGTTAATATTTTCCTTAATGACACCATCTTATAGTTAAAATTAGATATTATTTTGGGGTTTCTCTGTATTAACTCTATGCATCATAAATTACATAAGGGCAGATATCATGTTCCTCTGGGTCACCAGTGGATGCCCAATGCTCAGTTCGTTAGCACATAGTAGCTGCCTGATAGGAAGTTCCTTCTGTGTGTGCGTTTGTGTGTATGTGTGTGTGTTTTTTATAGATGGATTGGCGAGGGTGCTGGGAGCCTCTATGCTACTGAGGACTGAACACAAAGCATGTGCTTGCAGGGTAGAAATAACTCAAACTTTCATGGATGGAGCCTGACACTCCCTGGACTCGCCTACCTGTGATCCCTGGAAGGCTAGCCTTGTTGACCACAACAAGGGAGAGTCTAAAGTGACTAATCTATTAGGACTAGCCACAGTCCTAATAGATTAAATACTGTGCATGGCATTCAGTCCAGCAGGTTTAGGCACCAAGTGCCTGACTTTGAAGGCTGTGAAGGGTTTAGGAAGACCTCTTGGACAGGAACAGCCAAGAATTCCCTGTTTCTCTGCTGTTGGTGGCCCCGTCCATAGGTCGTCCTCCAGAGGCCCTCACCTTCTCCATATCCAAGCCCCTGCCTCCTCCCTCAGCCTCAGGCCAGCAAGTGCGTCTGCTGGGCTTGCCTCATGGTCTCAAGGCAAGGATTTTGCTGCGCTTGCTTCTCTCCTGGATTCCAGGGCTGTTCAGGTCCACCTGGCTGGTGCTGTTGGTGGAAAGTGTAAGTGTACTTAGAAGAGTCAGGAAAGGGAAATATCTTCTCAGTGTTAATGTGGAAGCGGAAATTCAGTAGGAGTAACCAGGAGTTAGAGTCTTACATTTGAAGGTCAGAGAAGCTGAGTTTGATGACCAACTTAGGCTTGTACTATGTGATCTCAAACAAGCCACTGAATTTCTCTGGGCTTCTAATTTGTAAAACAGCCTTGCTGATAGTGGCTCCTTCTCAGTTTTGTGACAGGAACCAAATGAGCAATAGCATGTGGCAATATCTTTCGGTCCAGGAACCAATGAGGGAAATGGGATAAAATTATTGAGGAGAAAGAACAAGGTGAATGAGTCAGAACACCCGCAAAAAGACCTTGATGGGACATGAGGCCTCAGAATGTGAAAGTGCTTCAGAAGAACCCTCCAGAGCTTTCTGGAAGGAACCCTCTCTGTCCTTGCTGCGGCTGATGTTTTCAATGACTTAGTTGTAGAATTTATAGCCAGAACTGACTAGCCTCTCTCTAGCTGTGTGGGAAGATCTGTGGATGTTGGTGTCTTTGAGCCAGAGAGGGGGTTTGGCTTGTTTTAGAGGCAGTGTGGCACCTCCTGTTGTCTTCAGCCCTTCTGGACTCCAGGGGCAGTGTGAGCCGAGGTGTCCACCCCTCATGCCTTCATGGCCCTGGGCCTCTCAGTTATGTATGTGATGACTTGGCCTTCCAGGCACCAAGACTTTGATCAACCTGAGTCAGGAGGTTTGTGTGAAACCCTTCCTGGTTTTCTTTTTTAAAACACAAATGGGGTCTGGAATTGATCCCAGATAAGACATCTGCCTCTTAATTTCACTTCAGAGAGGCAGGATGACAAGAAAGGCGATGAAGACAACTAAATGCATTTATGATTTATGCCCCCTGTGATAAATCAGTGGATGATTTCTCCCCAAAATGTGGTCACTGCCTGACTAACTCATACCAGCTGACACATCTGTGAGATGCACCAGCAGATGGGGGCTGAGCCCCTTCCTTGCCATGTGCACACCAGTCCTGGAACCCAGCACCCTGAGGACTGGGGCTTGGATGTGTGAGAGAGGGGGTCATCTGCATGCAGTGTGGAAGATGGCCACTTCACTGCCACCCTCTCCTGCCTGTGTTTTCCCTTCTTGCGTCCTGATGGTGTAGTCATGTTCAGCCTGTCCTTGGTTCATCTCCAGCATTCCTTTCTGCGCTCGCCTTCATGTGTGGTGAGTTAGATTTTTCCATTCCCTAAAGGTGATTTGAGCAGGCCCAGTTCTCACCAGAGTCCCTCAAAGCAAGTGTGGAGAGTGGAAAATCACATTAACTCTTTCATTAACTCCAGCTGTGCTGAGCCGAATCGGCGATGGCAAAGAGGTTGCATCCCCAAGGGCCAGCTTCAGGCCTTCTGGGGTAGCTTTCTGGAATGCTATCTTGGATAGGCTTTTTAGGGCCAGTCTGGCCAGTAAAGGGACCAGTGAGCATAACCTGCCCTGCACAACAAGGCCAGTGGTGTCCCCGTGCCATGGGTAAGGCCAGTAGTGGCCCTTGGACAGTGGGTTTACCACCCGTTTCCCCAAGGTCTCCTTGTATCCTGGATGCTTGACCTTGCATTTCTGAACTCAGAAAGCCATATCTACATGTTCCAAAATACTCTGTCATTTGAAATTTTCAGAAATCTGTTGAACCCTATTTTGGCTGCTTGGCAGCTACACAGCAGCTGGATTGCTTACTCCTCACCGCCACCTCCCCCTTTCAGCATCATCTGAAGCTAATTTATCCAGGAGTAACTTGGTCTTTGTGGGGAAATGTCACATTTTATTTTATAAGTTAACTGCAAATGAAACCGCCTGGTTGTACCTCTCATTTTCCTCTTGTTGAAAAATGTCTTTGTTCCATCATATTTTTCCCTTTCTTTTCACAAACTTGAGAAAGTCTTTGGCAGGTGCCAAGGCCATTTCGTGGGCCTAAGACTGGGTGGTGAGACCTCCTGTAGATGGGAAAGGGCTGAGCAGGGGGACTCAGAGGCTGGTGCTTTCTCTAGGAAGTAAGCAAGGTTGCAGGAGCTCAGCAAGGAGGGAGCATGGGGCAAACCCGTGGCTGGAGGTGGAGGCTCTGGCTGTGTGTTGGTACATATGGGGCTTTAGCTGGAACCCCTGACTCTGGGACCAGATTGCCCTGCTCCATGCAGGCTATGTAGAGAAGGAAAAATGAGCCAGCTAGTAAAGGTTCATTTGATGTCTCTGCTTTTCCTTTGTATTACCATTGTTCCAGCCAGAAATAATATACCTGCAGCTGTGTTTCTGTAGGACAATGGGGACATCTAATAATATATCGGGCTGACCTAAGCTGCCTTTTCTCCAGCAGTGCCCCAAGGGGAAGATATATACTCCACCTTTATGTTATCCAGTGGTACTAATCAGAAACCATTGCTGTGGAAACGACATGTCCTGTTTGGTTCCTTTCTAGCAGGGAATCGTAAAATTAAAAGGGAGCTTGATAGATTCCGCTTAATGCCAAAATGAAATCCTGACATACTTTGCTGGATATTACATAATTAGTTGACTTCTCAAAGGAGTTCTAATTATGCCTATGGAATAAGCTCAAGATAATGAAATGCATTCATCTCTCTGGCAAAGCGGTCTGTCGCATAGCATGGAGTGCCGAGTCAGTCCTCCAGGGTTCGCCTTCTTGCTCAATGAACAAAGCTTTATTTACAGCCACAGAACTTGGAAATGAAATACAAAGTTATTTTATAGTGTACTTATTTTTTATTTCCATTAAGAAAATCAGTTTTCCTCAGCTCCATATACTACTGTGTAAATGACCACATGTACAGTAACTGCACTAATCCCAAAACATAAAGATTTCTGCTCCTGAATGCATTAGACGGCTCATAATACCACAAAACCTGCCAGAGATAGGAAGAGACTACTGACAGGGGCCAAAGGGAAAGAGTTCTTTGGCCCCAAATTTTATGAACTGTAACATTAATAGTAAGGGTTGTAGCGATGGGTGGGTGGGTACATGGATGGGTGAGACAGAGGATGGTTATTTTTTTTTTTTTTTTTGAGACAGGGTTTGCTCTGCCACCCAGGTTCCGCCACCCAGGCTGGATTTGCACTGCACAATCATGGCTCACTGCAGCCTCAACCTCTCAGGTTCAAGCGATACTCCTACCTCAGCCTCCTGAGTAGCTGAGACTACAGGGATGTGCCACCATGCCCAGCTAATTTTTTTGTAGGGATGGAGTCTCACCATGTTGCCCAGGCTGAGAATGAGTATTTGGATGGATGGATGAATAATCAGGGAGGGGTATAGATGGAATAGAACTAACTCAGAAAAATCTACCTTTAGATATATTATCCAGTATTTGATTGCTAGAGAACATGATGAGGAATAAGAGGGTTTGCCTCCTAATAATTCCTTATTTATAAAAGGGAAACTCAAGAATCTTTTAGTTTCTCAACAGACAACTTTAAAAGGTAACAGCAAAGAGATGTAGGAAAAGTTGACTTGGAGGGAAATAGAAGAAATGTCTTCAAAGATAGTCATATTCTAACAGCTTAAAATATAAGATAAAATACAAAATAAAAATATATTCTTTACAAATATGTCATTGGTGACCTAACAAAGTTGGAACAAAGCTCTGCCTAGGTTTCTCTTAGCAGTAGATTGTTCCCTAACATGTTAGTGAATGGAACCCAAGCCAAGAAGGAACCATTCAGAATGGCATTCATTGGAGCGTTACTGCCTCAGTTTCTATATTTAAAAATGAAGATGCTCTGTGTGCAGAGATCTATCCAATGCCATTGCTGACATAGTGATAAAGAAAAGTCAGGGATGCCTATTAGTTTTCTTCCTCCAATATAAGGACTCATTAATCTCCTCTGATGTCTGCAGGTACCAAAGACATTTTTTGCTGTGAAGTCACCTCCTCTCCCAACTTGTCCTTTAAAATATATGTATAGAAAGAAAGGCCTTAAAAGGCGTTAAACCACGTTTTTCTAAGACAAAAGATCAGTCTTATTTTGTGACATGTGATTCAGGGTGACTGGGGGATTACCTGGTAGTACGAGGGGAACTTGGACCTGTATTGTCAACCTCGCATGGTTGGAAGTACTTTGTGCTATCAAATTCCTCTGTCTGGCTCGTCACCTGGGGCAGCAGAATCCTTTCAAGACTCTGCCCAGGTGGATGGCTGCTGAATTCTAGTGGAACATTTGAGGGCAGTTCTCTGGCTCTAGCGGTCGATTTTCCTCCTGTCAGAAGAGCCATTCATGAACTCTGTTGACCAAAAAGTTAATTCCTTCATGTTTTTAGCAGAAGCAGCTCATTCCAGCTTAAATTCCCAAAGATCAGGTCTTCTCATGTTAATTACTCATCTATATTCTGGCTGGCACAGTATAACTGGTACATGAACACTGTTTTAAAACTCTGCTGATTGGATCATTTATGAGACATTCATGTAAAAAGGACCCTACCTTGAACTATTTTTTTTCAAATATAATGTTGGAACCCTAGGACCTCAGGATTAGAAGAAAACAAAGAGTGAACTGTATGAATTGGTTTTCAAGACTAACTTATGACACCTGCGGGCCAGTTTTGTTTTGTGCATGTTGGATCCATAATCTGTAACCACCCTCCAAGGCAGAGGCTGGAAGGAGGTGGCAAGAAGAAGGTCAGATGCCATTTGTAGTGGATGCATCTGCTTGCCATGGTTAGATAAAGAGGTTTTCATTTTATTCCTGTTCCATCAGAGACAATATCCCTACCATCACTCAAGCCAGGGTATTGAACCTTGAAAACTGATGCATTGCCTGTCATCACACAGACCACTTTCTGCTGAGTTAAAGAAAAGACACAGTCTAGTTTGTTGGAAAATGGTGATGAATATTTGGACCAGATATTAAAAGAGTCAAAATAAGGTCAGGTGCCGTGGCTCACGCCTGTAATCCTAGCATTTTGGGAAACTGAGCTAAGGGAATTGCTTGAGCCCAGGACTTCAAGATCAACCTGTGTAACATAGGGAGACCCAGTCCCTAAAAATAATTTTTTTTAAAAAGCCAGGCATGGTGGTGCATGCCTGTTCTCCCAGCTACTTGAGAGGCTAAAGCAGGAGGATCACCTGAGCCTGGGAGGTCAAGGCTGCAGTGAGCCGTAATTACGTGACTGCACTCCAGCCTGGGCGACAGAATGAGACCCCCATCTCAAAAAAAAAAAAAAGTCAAAATAGATATTTTTATATTAGAATTTTATATCAACATGAAATGGCAAGCAGAATTGAGAAAAAGAATTTTCTTATTCCGAAATTCAGAAGGCTATTTATTATAACCTTGCTGTGTTTAAGAAAAACTATTTTAAGAGCAAATATCATCAGTAGGCCTTGGGATACAAGACTAAAATAAAAAAGCAAATCCTCTGAGCATGGGAGAGAATGCCTTAAATATTAGTAAGAAGTTAGACCTAATTTTAAAAATTGGGTTAATCAGACATACAGTGCCTTGAGTTTTTTCTCTTTTCTCCACCCTGAGTCATTAGTGTGTCTGAGAGGGAAAAGACCTGAGCCTTCATTCTCCATTTGTACAATAACATTTAATCAAGTGCAAACAGCCCTGCAGAGTTCAGGAGTGCTGCTGGAGCTAGGATGATGGGTCTAATACTCTAGGGACCAAGAACAATGAAGCTGACATGTGGGTTCACCTCCGCCATTGTTCAAGGAAGCATCCGTGGCCTTTTGCTGTGTTTAATTACAGTGGCAAAATCTCAGTCACTGTTTACACAGGCTTATTGCTCAGGTGTGGAAATGCACTCTAGGCTCACTTTTGGCATTTGCTTTGTATCGGGGAGTTCTTAGTCTCTTGAATTAAAAATACATTCATCCATTCCTTCTGGTGTTACAAATGTAAATATCTTCACCAACCCTGCAGGGATTGCCGTAGTGGTAGATGGGTTTGTTACTTCAGCCACTTCACACAGGAGACAGGGAACCTGTGGGAACCAGTCAATTCTGTGGTTTCTGCAAGTGTTCCTTCAAGATGGCAGTGGTCATGCAGCCTGGAAGGCCGTACAGTGTCCAGGCATCTAGTCTCTGTCAGGGCTTACCTCAAATGTGGGCTTTTCCTGCTCCAAGGCACAAGTGCCTTCTGTGAGATAGCATTTTTAGATGCTGTTCCACCTCCCACAAAGTTCCTATTACTCAGTGGAACACATACACCTTCCAGATTTCAATAGCCTAGGTCATGTTCCTTTTTCATGTTTTCACATGGGATTATATTCCTTTTCTTCTTGGCATTTATCTCTGATTCTTACATTCTCATTAGAGATGTCTTATTGTTTGGCTCCTTCCTGAAACTGTGAACTCCACAACTGAAGAGTCAGGGCTAGCTTCATGAGCATGCTACTGTACAGTTAAACACGGTTCCACATTCAGAAGGGCCCCATGCTTGGCTTAATGCTCTGCTATTTTCATCTTGAAATCCTTAATACTTTTCACAATTTCATTTTGCAAACCACATAGTCAGTCCTGGGTTGGGGCCATGTCCATTTCTGTTGGATCTCCAGCACATGGTGTGTGCTCAAGGAGCATTGTGTAAAGGAATGTTTCAGTGACAAAAGATGATCTCTTTTCATGAGGGCATGAAGCATAAAATCTCTAATACCTAATATCGAGTCAGGATGTTTCATATTTTCCTGGTGGTTCACAACTTAATCTCATTGTTTTCATAAAGTTTGGCAAATGCAGCCAAAATTGAATTAAAGAGACTTGTGTATTATGATCTAAGAAAAAGAATTGGTTGCAAACTGTAGGAAGTATAAAAGTGGACTGGTCTGTTGTTAATTTTTTGTTCTATATTTAGAACCTAAAGGATGATGTTTAGAGATCAAAAATGTTAATCGTCTTGCAAAGAGTGCTAGACACTAATGAGCTGGGGCAAATACTGCATTAGAGAAAGTATCCTTCAGATGATAGAGGAAGTTGGGACAATGACTGGGGCTCTTTAAAAAAAAAAACTTTTAATTTTATTTTTAAATTTTAATCTATTTATTTGTTTTGAGACCAGGTTATGAGACTGGCTAATTTTTACATTTTTGGTAGAGATGGGGTTTCACTGTGTTCCCAGGCTGGTCTTGAACTCCTGGGCTCAAGCTATCTACCCTCCTCAGCCTCCCAAAGTGCTGGGATGACAGGCATGAGCCACTGCACCCATCCTGGTGACTGGGGCTCTTCTGAAATGCAAAATGTGTTTTCCATTGTATTAATTCAGGACCAAGGAAACACTGAAACAACAAAATGTCCAGTTTGATTTCCCCATCATATAGCTGGGGAAACCTTGCTCTCCCCCACAGGAAGCTTGGCGAAAATTCTGCTGTAGAGTTCATGGAGGAATTGCAAGGCTTCACAGTTCTGTGCAGCATGCCCATACGTTTTCTGTCACTTGTCTGATTTGGACATACATTTTCCTATTCTCTCCTGCCCACCCAAAAGGTGACTGCCACAGATTGTGAAGTTGGCAGGATTTTCCAGGCTGTGTCGGCACAAGCTGTTAATAAATTAGGTGCACAGACGTGTGCTGGCAAGGCGTTTCCTCCTGGAGTTCATAGGCCTTCCAGAACATTTATGTCTCATTACAGCCCATACAGCAGTTTATGCCCTAATAAATCAGAGAAGCTTTGCGGAGATGGGCTGGACCATAATGAATCTTTCTGTTGGCATTTTCCCTTTACAGGCGCAAATAATGGAGCAAAACCGCCCCATCTGGCCACTCTGTAAGAGAGAACTCACAGTGGGAAGTTGTTTTCTCAAGCATGACAAAAGGTCATCCCAGGTAGCAGGAGTGAGGGGAGGCAGCTAGGGCTGTGAGTGACAAGGTGGAATGAAGCCATTTATGAGCCTTTATCACTGCGATTATAGGCATTAGCTGGACTGTCAGGGTCCTGTTCTTTCTTCCTGTGATAGGTCTTGGTCTTTGCTGATTTTTCACATTTAATTTTCAGACCTGTTTGTTGTCTTGCAAATAGCACAAGCAGACACACACCCTCAGCCTGGGGTGTGGACCTGCTTACTTTGATTTATGTTTTATTACCTTGATGAGATGCATTCCTGGCTCACTGGGAATGGCTACTGAGCAGAGTGAAGGGAATCTGCCCATCAACCCCAGATCAGCTTCTCTCTCCCTGCCTTCCTTCACCCATGTGACGGCATGTGAGATGAAAGCCAAGTTAATATGGAAATTATTATTAATAATCTGGTGGTGGACAGAAATGTATTTTTTGAGCTAGGAAATCAACTTGTCTAGTGGAGGTTTACCAGTTGTAAACAAACAAACAAAAAACATAAATCATTTTAAAAACCACACCTAGAAAGAAGCAAAAATTTGTTTTTGGTACTTCACGCATTTTCACAAGAAGGCCCATCCTCCATTTTGGAAGTTAACATATATTAATCATTTCCTTTGTATCTAGTAGCTGGGGTCTCATTTCATTGGAGAAAAATTTGGATCTCATTAAGTCAAAGAAACTGTCTGATTGTTTCCCTCCATTTCCAGTCTAGTTGGTCTGTACTCCTACCCTTTGCAGGGCTGAAGGGGAGCTTCAGAGACACCTGGGCTGCTTGGTTGTGCTCACAGAGAGGCTCTTGGGAGCCTGTGAGAGTGTAATATATACAGCAGGACCTATTTCTATTCTATTCTGTAAAGGCTTGGCTGGTGCCTCTTCAGTAATCACTTTGCTGTTGGGAAGGCAGAGGAGAAAGTAAGTGAGGGAGTACATGATTTATCAAAAGTGACAAGGAGAACAGAGCTCCTCTATCAGCCCTCAGCTACCCTCCTATTTATATAACACCTTTCCTTCCAGTGTTTCCCCCAGCAGATGGCCAGGTGAGGTTCGTGGTCTCTGCACGGAAATACAGCTGCTCCAGGGCAGGAATGGGGGATCTTTTGGGCTCTCTCCCAGCAGAATTATGCAATAGTCCATGGAGGGAGGGGACAAAGTCATTCCCTAGCTGAAGCAGCCCTGGAAATGTAGACTTAAAGCCAAGTGCTGCTTGCAAATTGGGAGGTTGCCAAGACCTAGCACCCTAAGACTCAGGGGTTAAAGTAAAATCCTGGAGGAGTTAAGTAATTGACCACAAGTGGGTCTGCCCCCATCTGCCCCTGCATAATGAGAAAGTCAGTGAGACTTGATGGGGTCACAAAAGCACAGCAATGTGTTGACTGAGATGACTGTGCTCTGCCAAGGGAAAGAGTCTGCCCTTCAAAGGGATTCTCCAGGTGTACTCTGAAAGTTTCCCCATTGTCCTGTTTTATCAAGATCCAAGAACCAAAGGAGGTCCTTGTCCTGCTTGAGATTTTTGCTCTGGGGTTGAGCATGTGAGTATCAGGAGACCTCATTTGGTACAGGATGTTGAACACACACAGCTGCTTTTTTAAGGTTTCCATTTGCAACTGGTTGAGCCGTAACAGGTAATTAGCACCTTTGCTGTTGGACCAAGCGGTGCTTTTATTGGTTGGAGTTTCTTAATTAGGCTGGCTGCTTTGCAGTTTTGGGGAAGAGAATTTAGAGGGAAAGCAGGAATGCTGTGTGTCTCAGAGGATGAGGCCAAGCTGAGAAAACAGCCAGAGGGTCTGAGTTCAGTGCCCCAGCCCTTCAGTGCCATATTCTAATCCTACCCTGCAAGTTCTAACCTCCCGTTGGCCTTTTTCTGAGATCATGGGTAGACCTCAGAAATGGTTCTTGTATCCACACTTCTCTGAAGTGTGCTGATGAGGACTCTGGCCTCATTTTAGGGGTTGTTTCCAGAATGAAAACTAAAGATGAAATGGATTTGTTGGGAATAGTATGTGCTATTGTGGACCTGAACACGTTGGTTGTTTAACTCAGCATCACATCTATGGATTAGTCAGGACTGAGGAAATGTCCTGGGAGCAACTTGTTTGGCTTTGCCAAGATGTCAGCTAAGGCACTTTCAAATTAGGTGACCTTGTGCAAGACACATAAGGGATCTGTGCTTCGGCTGTCCCGTGTGTGAGTTAGGAATGGTCGTGTTCACTCTCTCCTAGAGTGGTCGCAAGGATTAAAGGAGATAGTGCCTGTAAGCCCATAGCATGGTGGCTGGCACGAGTAAATCCTCAAGAGATGACAGTGTGATACCAATGACAACGATTGTGATGATGATAATGACGATGACATTGTTACTTTAGAAACCCAGAGTCCAAACACGTGGAAGCCAGTTTAGGAATGACAAGTAAATTTACTCTCACATGCCAGCTTCTGTTGATGGGGTGACTGTGTTTTACAAGATTCTGAGACTACACATGGGCTTAGGGAGAGAGAGCTGAAGTCCTTTAGGGATATTTGTCTTTGGAGATGGAATCAAGGGTGATGCCACACATACTTCTGTCTTTAACAGCTGTGTAATCTGGGGTAAATTCACCTCTCTTAGAGTCTAGTTTTAAAAATCCATATAATGGGAAATTTGGACCACATCAGTTTTCTTGGAAGTATTCAGCCAAATGTTAAAAGGTGTTTGGGGTGGGTGTAGAAAAGATTATTTGAGTAGGTTTTGGAAATGCTGTGTGTAACAGAACAAGTTAAGGCAGGTTTCTTCATTACTGGACTTCTCAGCACCTTTAGTGTGCTTGAAAATTCCAAGAGGAGAATATGTCATTCTTCCCAAACTTATCTGATCAGGAAAACATTTGTTTTGCAAAACGCAACTCATGAGACTAGTGTTGCACAGAATGGATTTGGAGAAATTACATGATTTTCAGGATCCATTTTTCTCTCCAAATTAGTGAAATCTGTAAGTCTCAAAAACTTAGATGAGTTAATGACTGCACTGCCTCACCATGAACTTTTCACATGTTATCAAAAATGAAACTCCTTTCAGGGCACACTTAAATGACAATCTTTTGTTCTTTGAAATAACTTTGAAAAATATCAAAGGTAATATCTGGTAGGACATTAATCCTTAACATCTATAAACCATCCTGAATCTCAGCTTCAAGTGCAAATTATGCTGATGGGTTTGGCACACCCTTTGGCTAAAAAGCTTCTTTCTCAATATTTGACCTTCCTCTCTGGACTAGGGTGCAGTGAGGACCTGTGAGGTGAAAGGCCCTTCACTCTCTCCTCTCCACCCTGGAATCCAGCTGCCCCTTCACCTGCCAGCCTGCCTAAGAGGCAGAAGAAAGCCTCATGTGTCTCTAGACTTAAACCGCCGGCAGCTGTGTCTTCCATGGCTGATGAAGCAGAGCAAGGGAGGCAGCCAGAATAGCCTAGGAAATCTCCAGGTTTCTGTTGATTTCTCATTTGTCATTAATAGTAATAGATAACTTTTTACTTTGCATGGCATTTGTCAGCTGTCATCCCTGAAGGCTGTTGAAACTATTTGGGAGCAGTAATAACACTCTAGAATAACTTTGGGTAATTGTTCTCTTTTAGCCAGCAAAAGCTTTGAAGATGCTTGGAACATAAATGTGGTCCCCAGGGTTCCTTTATTCTGCTGATGATACAGAGCATTATTTTTTCAAAGGGGAGCCACAGAGCCTGAGCCTCATTCATTCATTCATTCATTCATCCATTCATTTGTGAGGGAGTTAAAGAGGGGAGGGTGTTGGAAGTTAGAGTGAGTGAGAAGGGGAAGGAGGATGGAAGTTTGAGGAGAGAAACAGGTATAATTGTTGCCTTAGGAGAGTTGGGAAGATAATTGAGCAGGGAAAAGTAGAAGGATGACCGGCAGTGGGGAGGAGCCCCTGGAGATTTTTAATTATAAATTTAAAGTGGGACTGGCCAACAGGGTTGTGTGTTTTTCTCCAGCCATATTTAGCTGCTTGGGTGCAGGTACAAAGGAAGTAGAAAGTTGGGTTTAAAGGGTTGGGGTTCAAGTTGGTTGGAAGGATAGTTAATAGAATTGAGTGTAGATTCAAAAGGAGTGAGCCTTGGAATCTGAGGTGGGTAAAAAGGAAGTGAGGATAAGAGAGAGGTGGTAGACAGTGGAGGATCAACTATTTTGAGGTCCCAACATATGGGAAGTGAGCTGATGGTCTGATAGCTGAGTTCAGAAAGTTAAGATTTTGTAGGGAATGCAGTATTGACAATGACAATGCCTTGGCTATAACCATGGGAGTAGGCAGTAGAAGTCGGGTAGAAGACACCATTATTGAGAGAGATGGTGTTAAGGAGCTCAGAGGCTAGGATTTTAATATCACTAAGAATGACAACAGGAAGAGACTAGAGAGAGCCAGTGAGCCCAATGCTGAAGTATTCATGAGTGATTAGGCAGTCAGGAGACAGCAGCAACAAGAGGGCCATGGTTAGTCTAGCCTGACAAAAAGCGCACCACAGGATCTGGGCTTTTTCAGAGGAGGAGGGGGACATTTTTGGATTTGGCAATACCTAGCAGAGAAGATACTCCCTTGAATTTACAGGCTGCATGGTATGCAGGGTTTGGGAGACAGGGCCATCACTTGATAGGAATGGAGGAAGCAGAATTTTCCAAGGACAGACAGACTTGGACAGCCAGATGGAGCATGAAGGTGAAGATGAAGTTGAGGGTAGGGGTGGAAGATATGGTGGATTTTGCTGATGCTGAACCAGGAATGACAGAGGACACACACAAGGAGTTTGGGACAACAAAGGAACGGCTGGACAGAGGCAGTCATGTGGGGATAAGGATCTAGGTGTTGAGGGCTGACCTGAAGGGCCTGACCTTTTCTGTTGACAGAGGAAAAAAGTGGTGAAAGCCTCTCCTGGCCCCTGGGGAAAGGTGGTCAGTCAGTCCTCTTCATCTTCTCTCCCTGAAGTTCATGGCTTAGGCAGTGGGCAGGGATGAGTCTAGGACTCATTTCTGCTTAGTACAGTGCTGAAGTAGAGGGAGGAGACGCAGAGGATGAAGGCCATCATGCTGCTGTGCATTCCTGGGGTGCCACTCATATTTCAGTCTTGTAAATGCACCTCCATAGTTGTGCTTGAGGCAAACTATGAGTAAAAAGTCTCAACAGTCAAAGAAGTTTCGGAGATACTGCTTCTAGTGCACCCCTCTGAAGAGTGACGAAAGTAAAGGCTCTGAGAGACCTACAACAGGCAGGCCTGTTCAGCTTTGTTTGCCTCAGCATTTCCCAAACCTGACCTCTCCATTCCTGAACACCATCCCTTCCAAGATGGTGTCCTCCACACCACTTCCACCGCCTACTCCCATGGTTATATCCTTGTCTTGGGATCGTTTTGTCTTCCCTAAAATCCCTTTGATATTCTGCAGAAATGGCCTTCTTTGAAACATGCTTGTGTAAGTGCTGGGTTTTCATTTCAGTGCAATCACGAGCTGACCACCCCTTACTTCCCTGAGCCTCCAGTTCCTCGTCTTTAGTAACATCAACCACGCACAGTTGTTGTGGGAATCATGCATTAACACAGGTGAAAGACCTAACACGATTCTTGGCTTATAGCAGGCCCTCAATAAATCTTAGCCCCTTTCCTCCCCTTTCCCAGCAGTTCCTTATTTATCCAGACATTGAAACTGAAATGGCAAAGTCCATGTTAAAGGGACCATGCTCTTTACATATAAACAGAGATGATTGAAAGAATGGTTTTATTGCTAGCTTGTGTTTACACCTGGTGGGACCTGTCTTGTGTCTCTCCCAGCACTTAGCATGGTTCCTGGGTCTCGGTAAGACCTCTGTAGGCTCTGACTAGGTACCTGGGTACTGTTGCGTTGTTCAAACCCTCCTGTTAGACATTTATTGTTGGGTTGTATGCAGGGGTGTGTGCTGGGCCCCTACCTGTTGGGCTGTGTAGAGGGCAGAAGGGTTCAGATAAATGAGCCAGAGAGATGGCATCTGGAAAAATGCCCTTCTGCTGCATCTTGGTATCCAGATCATTGGAATTGCCCTTCCCATAGGCTGGCAGGAATCCCAGTGAGCAGAGACTGAATCCACTTTCCCTAAGGAGCACTCCTGAAGTTCGATTAGTTGGGGAAGGTCGGAGGTGCACTGTCAGCTGCCTGCCAATGAGAGGGGAGAGTGGCTTAATTAAACCTAAAAATAAAGTTCGATTTAGATTGCTCTTGTAGGCAGAGGAAAGATAGATTGGCCAGGGCTAAGAATTTTGAGGCCATCTCCCTTGCATTTAACTTTGACCCCCCAAAACAACTGAGGTAAAATAAATTTTTTGGCACCAAGTAGGGAGTCAGATGTCCGTAATGCATTAGTTCTGGTTCAGCACGTTCAGGGAGTTGGTAATTAGTTACAGCCTTTTAAAAATCTCTCTTTAAACTCAAATGATGTGTGGCATTTGAGATTCAGAAAGGAGTTGATATGTACGTGCCCTTGAGCACAATCTCCTAGTGTTTAATAAATAGATATCCCTGGAATAAAACTTACATGATTAAGTTTACAAGCTTTTTTTGTGCCCCCCAAATATGTAACTTTACTTGCTAAATTTAAAACTGTTGTAACAGTACTTGGTACCATGAGTCTTATACCCATTTACTAGAAGGTAACCTCAGCTGCCTTATTTTATGCAAGATAGTCTGGTTTTGGTAGTTCTACAGGAAGAGGGAAAATAAAAAGGAAAGGCAGACCTGAGCATATGTGATATATTCTAAGTTTTCTCCTTTTTTCACATAAATGGCAAGATTGAGTTGATATTTGAACTAAGGCAAAAATTAGCTATCATCACCTGGACTTATAAATGGTACTCTTCAATAAAAAGAACAGGCCTCTATTTAAAGACAGATTGAAGTTCTCTTCAAATAAGCATTGTGATTTAACATTCCTTTGAAAGCAATGTATTGATTATGGATATATAGAGTGAGTAGATGAAAATTTGATTAATGCTTGAAACAATTAAAACAATGATATTTGAATAGTTTTTGTTTTTTTTTTGGGGGGGGGGCAACGTACTTACTCGTCTAGTCTCTCTCCCAGGAATATGTTACAAATCATGTTTTATTATCATGAAATATTACTATCTTTGCCCCAGTTGATTCATTATTTGGGTGGGAACATAGTCAAGTCTCTGAACCAAAGAGGATATTGGAATCTTGTTGTAGTGACCACAGGAGTAAAGTTTGATTGATTAAGCTGTGGGAGGAGGAGAGAGAGTAATTTTAGTCTTAAAAATAGATACTCATCAGAGACAAAGAAAGGGCAATAGACCACAGTATTTAGGAGGGAAAGTTGAGTTACCTTTAGAGTCCTGAGGGACACATGTGTGATGAGAGAGAGAAATGAAGCAAGAGGTGAAAAATTCACAGAACAA
Organism: Homo sapiens; assembly: GCF_000001405.40. Lineage (NCBI taxonomy): Eukaryota > Metazoa > Chordata > Mammalia > Primates > Hominidae > Homo > Homo sapiens. The sequence goes on from NC_000003.12 coordinate 54,677,997, forward strand.
AAATGTCGATTATTTTAAAAAGGCACAAGGAAAAGACGGAGGGAGTGGTAGATGGGTCTTGTTTTTGGAGACTTCTTTTGAATAGAATGATCTGAATCTAAGGGGTCTGGAAAAAGTTCCAGGAGCTTAGATCCCTGGGAAGGGAGGGAATATCTAGGCAGTAGGTTTGCCCTCTATTTTAGACAGACCTTTCTGTAATAATTTAGCTTGATGTTTCCAAGAGAGAAGTAGTGGTGTGGTTATGGAGAAGTTAAAGTGCCTTCTGCATTAAGAGTTGGTGATTGTATGATTTGAGGTCTGCTGTTTACATAGAAGAAGCTGACAAGAAGAGGGACTGCAAATTGAAGACAAGAGAGAGTTTAATAGGAAAGATTGGGCGTAGAGGAAATCCTGAAATTCTAACCACACCTGAGGGAAAAGAGCACAATAAAAAAGTAGATGACTGGCCGGGCGCGGTGGCTCACGCCTGTAATCCCAGCATTTTGGGAGGCCAAGGAGGGCGGATCATGAGGTCAGGAGTTTGAGGCCAGCCTGGCCAATATGGTGACACCCCATCTCTACTAAAAATACAAAAATTAGCCGGGCATGGTGGTGCGCGCCTGTAGTCCCAGCCACTTGGGAGGCTGAGGCAGAAGAATCGCTTGAAGCCGGGAGGTGGAGGTTGTAATGAGCCGAGATCGTGCAATTGCATCCCAGCCTGGGTGACAGAGTGAGACTCGGTCTCAAAAAAAAAAAAAAAAAAAAAAAAAAAAAGTTGATGATCAAGTTAATTAATTGCATAAACATTTCTTTGTTTGGTAAAATTTGCTTTTTTCTCAGGTTTAAAAATTAAATGATAATGAATTAAAGACAAAAACACTGGCGTTATGATTAGGCAAGTGTAGCAGTGGTAGCTCAACGAACAGTCTGAATTGGAATCCCAAGGAATTTTGTTTTCTATAATGCAAGATTTCAAAATTCAGGAATAGGTTTCTTCTTTGTGGAGAGTGGCAGAAGGAAGGATTAAAGACCCTAACATTTGGTCAGCCAAGAACACAGAATCCAGAAGATGGGAAACATGGTTCAAGACTTACCTGTCAGCCAGGCAGCCCCTCTCTTGCCCTTTAAGACCCAAACTCCTCTCTGTCTGAGTTCCCTTCCTCTGCGGTCCCATTGGTCCTTTTCCTTAGCCTCCTTAGGGCTCCCTTAGGCTCCATACTGGAAGGGGACGGTCTTTGTGGCTTTTGAATGCCCTGGGTGTAACAGCTGCAAAATAATTAGCTCTTTAGGGCTGCAAAGACTAGCCTGCTCTAGGCATTTTCTTGGGTATTATATATTCAAAGAGGCTCTGTCTCTTCCCAAGTCTACTCAAAAGCATCCTTTTCTTATCTCACCTTAGATAGATGCTAGAGCGGTTGAGGGAATAGGAAGAAGTTCAGGGCCTACTGAGGCAGCGACTGAGCACTCCATATCCTCTCTGTGTGCATCAATCCCTGGGAGAGCTGGGGCAGCAAGGGGTCCACACATGGTCAAGCTGCTTGCAGTTTTCCAGATTGTGGTAGGCCTCCATTCTTTGTGCAATGTCATATACCCTCTGCCTGAGATGACCCCTTATCTCTGTGTCACACTCTTACTCATCCTTCACAGCTCTGCTCAGAAGTGCCTTTGTCTCTGGCAGTTGCTGACATAGGAAATAGATTCAGGACCATGCAGACCATTCTTTGAAAACATGCTTCGCAGTGGGTTCAAGGTCAGCAAAATGTCAGACTTGATCAGTGTTGAGTAGGTGAATATGGCGTCCAAAGGCAAAATCATTTCTTATTTTTAAATAAAATGGCAGAGCTACTGTGAATATTTTCCATCATGAATAAAATTACCTTTTTGGCAATTGCCAAATTTGCAAATTAATTCAAAGTTTGAAACTTTTAAAATGCTGCAGCAAATCGTTTATTGCTTGAACCAGTGTGATAGATCTGAGTGAACATTTTTGTTGCTGTTAATTTAAATTCTAAAACCTGTACTTTATGAAAACCAGTAACAGCGGAAAGAGATACTTTTAGTTCTTCTTTCCTATATGAACAAAATATAATTCCCTCACACAAACAACTTTTGTAAGGGAGGATTGTAGGGCATGGTTGGGGGAGGTTGGAACTGTAAAATAGCCTCCAGATTCATTGAGAAGCTAAAAAAAAAAAATGGTTTGCTAGGGAAAAATAATCACCAGCTATGTCCCTGGATCAAATGTGTGGATACTTCCAAAGATATACATTCACCTAATTGTGGAAAAGGAGAAGCTGATAATCTTGCTCAGCTCAACAACACTTCCTTTTTATTCTAAGGTTTTGTTCTCTTGGCTACCCAGATGTTTCTCATTTTTCCAGATGTGTTTATATGTTTGCAAGTTTCTGAGGCTGTGCTGATGAATGGAGTTTTTATTGAATTTTTATGTAGCTTTCAGATAGTAAAAATGTGCTTAAGCTTCTTCAACATGGCCCCTACCCCCAGCCTGGGTCTTGCCTGAGGAGACTTCTTATTCTGTCTGGGTATCCTCAGGGTTTCCCTGGCCTGTGTGTGCCTCCAGATGCTACTATAATTAAGATATTTGCAAAGAGGAAAAATGGCATTTGTGAATGTAGCAGGAGGATCATGAGCTGCTGGACTCATTGTTGTTGGTCTTCTCCTTTGATGTAAGAATTGATCGAGGAGAGGCTGTCCTCCCTGAGTGCTCTCATTGTGCCATCCTGTACAGAGACACATGTTTACTTTCAGATTGCATTTAAGACCTTTGGATGCTTGGGAGGTTTTTCAGGGTTATAGCTATGTTGCTGCATTTTGAAAATGGAGTTATAATCAATAATGGGTAGAAGTGAAAGAGCCCTTCCTCTGATCCCCAGTTATTCTCCAGGGGTAGACTGAGCACTCACTCTGTGTGCCAAGTGCAGGGCTGGTCCTGGGGCTGACAACCGAGGGGAGAGGTAGACACCTTTCTTAAGCCATGGAATGTTGATTCTAAGTGTGAGAACTCTGTTGTTAAGAGAGAGAACATGGCTTTTTCATTGATTATCTAATGGCTTTTTTCCCTAAAATCTGATGGCTATATGGAGTTCCCATTTTTAAAATTTTCCTCTGTGTTATTATCTAAGGAGAGAGAGAGAGAGAGAGACAGAGAGAGAAGAGAGAGAAAGTAGACAAAACTCTGACTTGTGACCATATCTCTCAAGTCTATTATACCATGTCATCATGGTATACTGTGTCATGTATGGATAGAAAGAATAGTGAGACCAGGCACGGTGGCTCACACCTGTAATCCCAGCACTTTGGGAGGCTGAGGCAGGCAGATCATTTGAGGTCAGGAGTTAAAGACCAGCCTGACCAACATGGTGAAACCCCATCTCTACTAAAAATACAAAAAAAAAAAAAAAAAAAAAAAAAAGGCCAGGCATGGTGGCACATGCCTGTAGTCCCAGCTACTTGGGAGGCTGAGCCAAGAAAATCGCTCAAACCCAGGAGGCGGAGGTTGTAGTGGGCCAAGATCGCATTCACTGCACTCCAGCCTGGGCGACAGAGTGAGACTCCATCTCAAAAAAAAAAAAAAAAGAATAGTGAAAATATTAAACAGAGGTGGACATGATGACATATAGGGGAAGATAGAAGGTTGGATCTGTGGAGAAAAGTATTTTAACATTTAAATGTCTATGTGATGCAAGTTTTTTGTTTTTGCTTTCTGAAACAGAGTCTCGCTTTGTCACCCAGGCTGGTGTGATGCAATCTCGGCTCACTGCAACCTCTGCCTCCTGGGGTCAAGTGATTCTCATGCCTCCACTTCCCAAGGAGCTGAGATTGCAGGCAGGCATGCACCACCACACCCAGCTAACTTTCTTACTTTTAGTAGAGATGGGGTTTCGCCAAGTTGGCCAGGCTGGTTTCAAACTTTTGGCCTCAAGTGATCCGCCTGCCTCCACCTCTCAAAGTGCTGGGATTACAGGCGTTGAGTCACCATGCCCAGCCCCTGATGCAAGCTTTTAATTGGTGAACAACTTAGGTTCAGAGAAAATAAGTGACCTGCCCAAAAACAAATATGGGGGGGATTTGGAATTTGAATCATGTGTGCGTGATTGCAAAGTGTGATGTTTATACTGCATTCTGGCTGCCTCCTTTTGTGTCTCATTTATGCAAAACAGAACAGCACACACACACACACACACACACACACACACACCACAAAACCCTAGTAATGTCATGATAACAAAAGTATTTAAATATAAATATGAGAAGGAAACAGAGGCATAATTATATGCAGACTTAAAGTTCTTCTTTATGTTGTATATCATTAGAACGTTGAGAATGAAATCAATAAGGAATAGAATTAGCCCGGGCGTGGTGGCTCACGCCTGTAATCCCAGCACTTTGGGAGGTCAAGGCGAGTGGATCATTTGAGCCAGGAGTTTGAGACCAGCCTGGCCAACATGACGAAACCCTGTCTCTACTAAAAATATAAAAATTAGCCAGGTATGGTGGTGCAGGCCTATAATCTCAGCTACTTGGGAGGCTGAGGCACAAGAATCGCTTGAGCTGCAGTGAGCTGAGATGGTGCCACTGCACTCCAGCCTGGGTGACAGAGTAAAACTCTGACTCAAAAAAGAAAAAAGAAATTAATAAGGAATAGAATTAAAGAATTACAAGTTCAAAAAGTGAGTATAGTGAATGCCTTCAGAATGGCCTTTAAATATACTCTATTTTATAAATACATCTGGAAAGCTACATCTGGAAAGGAAGATTAAAATCTAATCTTCCCACAAGGTCATCAGTGTGATTCCCAAGCAGTAGGCTTGGGCTGAGCACTGCTTGGAGAGATCAAGTGGAGACTTGGTGTGTTCTTACCATCCCACCACCCACTGCCTTCTCTGAAGTCGAGTCAGTCTTGATGACGTCTCTGAAGCTGAGCTATTAATTTTAACTTCTGAGTTGATTAAATTTTATGACAAAACAGCACAGTGAAAATAGGAAAAGCAAAAATTGGATCTTGGTTATCTTGCAAAAGCAACTAGATAAAGATTCTCATAAACAAACCAATATAGATTGTATCCTCTTCCCCTTCATTCACACCCCCTCTACAAAGTTTCTCACTGACAGGAATAAAAAGGAATGAGATATAACTAGAAATTCACTTCTGAAATGGAACACTCAGCATCACAGTAGTAATGAACTTCATAAATGCCACCATCCTTCTGCAGCCTCAAGTTACTAGGAGAGAACTTGCCTGAGATGGCAGCTCCCCACAGATAGAGGTGTGAGTTCTCTCTTTCCCTAGGTAAGAGGTCTTGGAGCTAGCTTCTCTGTATGGACTGCCTTGCTATGTCTGGAAATAAAAACACAAAAACCAGATATACAGACAAAAACTTTCAATGTGGGCTTGGTCAGCAGTAGGAAGTAGTGATTACAAGCATGGATTTGGAGTTCAATGCACCAGCATTTGATTCCAGGCCTTGCTACTTGTTAGCCCTGTGACAGTGGACAAGCTCTCCAGGAGTAGTTTCTTTGACTATAAAATGGAAATTACCAATACTTAGGTCAAAGGTGGCGAGCATTGAAATAATGCATACAATACACACAGCATGGTACTTGGTGCAGGGAAAGCGACCCTCCAGTGTTCACTGTCATGCTTCCCCTTCTTCCTTTCTTAGGAGAACTATTGCCATCAATACTATGTTTCTCAGGGATGCCTTGTATCACAAACTAGATGGCCTAAAACAATAGACATTTATTCTCTCACAGTTTTGGAAGCTAGAAGTCTGAAATCAAGGTGTTGTCAGGGCCGTGGTCTCTCTGAAAACTCTAGAGAAGAGTTTGTTCCATGCATTGCTCCTAGCTTCTAGTGGTTGCTAGTAACCCTTGGTGTTCCTTGGATTGTGGCAGCATAACTCCAATCCTTGCCCCTTCTTTCACGTGGCCATCTTCCTCTGTGTGTCTGTGCCCAAATTTCCACCTTTTTTTTTTTTTTTTTTTTTTTTTGAGACGGAGTTTCACTCATGTAGCCCAAGCTGGAGTGCACTGGTGCTATCTCGGCTCACTGCAACCTCTCTCCCCCAGGTTCAAGCGATTCTCCTGCCTCAGCCTCCCGAGTAGCACACGCCGCAACCATGCCCGGCTAATTTTTGTATTTTTAGTAGAGAGATGGTTTCACCATGTTGGCCAGGCGGGTCTTGAACTCCTGACCCATGTAATCTGCCCGTCTTGGCCTCCCAAAGTGCTGGGATTACAGCTGTAAGCCACCACGCCTGGCCAAAATTTCCATCTTTTTATAAAGACACCAGTCATTTGATCAGGGACCACCTAACCCAATACATCCTCAACTTGACTGTATCTGCGAAGACCCTGTTTCCAATTAAGCCCACATTTACAGGTACTGGGGATTAGGACCTCAACATATCTTTTTGGGAGACACAATTCAGCCAACAGCAAACACCACCTTTATTTTAGGCTGGAGGGAGCCTTGGCTTCATTCTGGATCAAGCACATCATCTGAAGTTACCTGTTTTGCCAGCTGCTGTGTCTTCTCCTGAGTGGACACTGCAGACAATGCTAACATTTGCTTATTGATTACTTCACTGGGCTTGTTCTGTCTTATTTTCCCTTGGTGCATTTCCCCTTGGTGCAGTTTGAATAGATAGTGTAGATATCTGATCAAATGGCAGGAGACACTCTGACCTTTCACATTTCCTGAGAAGCCCAGGAGACAGCGTACAAAATTAAAAACCATTATTAAACGTTTGTCATGTTAAAAAAAAAATCCCATGTTAAGAAGTTCTCAAGTGAACACAAATTGTGAGAGCAGCCCAGTGGGTCCAGCAGGTTTAGGGTTGGCTGGGCTGGCTGGTGTGATTCTCAGTCATATAAGAGGAGGGTCTACAAAGTCGCCTCCCTCTTCAATCTCGTTTACATAATGCATGCATCCCACTGCTTGGAGTGCAGGAAACTGTGGAAACATGTGTTTACCTTCAAATTCAGCAAGACATGAAAACCCTGACTTTGATTAAATGTCACCTTACAATCTATCAACTCCTGCATGTGCGTCTTGGCAGCTGAGACAAATATGGAAAATGACGAGGCTCCAGAGAACAAAAGCCTGTGGGGCATATTTCTGAGGGTGGTTCAACAGCCGAAAAATGCAGAGGGATGGACTTCCTGAGGCCAGAAGGTCATGGACTAGCTCTGAAAATGAGAATGAATGAAATCAACAACAAGAAAAAGAAAAACCGTTCAATTGAATGAATGAATCGGAGGTCCTCAAAGTTTTTCTGCAAAGTGCCAGATAGTGTTTTAGGCTTTACAGGTGATTGCAGTCTGTGTTGCAGTTACTTAAGTCTGCTACTGTAGCATTAAAGCAGTCATAGACAACATGTAAATGAATGGGCATAGCAGTTTTCCAATAAAACTTTATTTGCAAAAACTGGCAGTGGGCCAGATTTGGCTTGTGGGCTATAGTTTGCCAATCCCTGGAGTGAATCAGTCAGTCAATCTGATTACTTTCCTTCTGAATGCCTTTTTCTAGAAGCTGTATATTACAGTGACTAAGAAACAGATCCTGGGGAAAATACACCTGCCTTCAAATCCTGCTGTTGCTCTTGACTAGCAATGTAATCTTAACCTCCGTTGTCTCATCTGGGAAAATAATATACCACCTATAATGTGCTCAGCATTGTGGCTGACATCGTCCCTACCTAGTAACTGTTCATGGCTAGCTATTAGTACAGACAACTGCAGGAAGACTTCTTGTTCATAGAGACCACCCCTGGTCATTTTGTGTTTTGGGAGTTGTTTTCTTTGGCTATCACCTGATTCCTTCCTCCACCTCATCAGGTGAAAATCATCACTCATCTGTGCTTTCCTACTATAATCATTAACTTATATACACATGTGCCTCCTTGTAGACTGTGGGGTGCTCATGGGCAAGGACAACCCTTATGCTTCTGTACCCTATTCCTGCACCTGCCCTGAAAGGGGATCAGTAGGTGTTTGCTGCATTACATGGCTTTTACAGAAATACTTTTACCATTGCAGTTTGAATTGTCTCGATTCTCATAGCAGGACTGTGTTAATACAAATAATGAAATAGAGCAATCTCCCTATCTAGCTAGACCATGGTTTGCTAAAATACAATCTGTGGGCCAAGTCTGGCCTGCTGCCTATTGATATAAATAAAGTTTTATTGGAACACAGCCATGCCCATTCATTTACATATTGTCTGTGGCTGCTTTTTCACTATGTGGCTGAGTTGAATAGTTGCAACAGAGACCAAATGGCGCACAAAGCCTAAAATATTTAGAGATAAAGCTTGCTGACCCCTGAACTAACAACCTCTTCAATAGTACTCTGACTAGCACTTGTCATTAAACTGCAGATGGTTCAGATTTTTGCAGGAAGGATATAAATTTGTTAGTCTATCTCAAGATTCATGGTCAAAGGTTAAAGTAATGTTAAGACTGAATCTACAAAACAACAGGAGGTAAGAGAAAGAAAACAGGTGTACGTTTGAATGTCTTCCCAATTCACAGTGTAGTAGGTTTTAGATACTCTATAATTTAGGCTTAGTACATGGCTATGTTTCCCAAACTGTGGGCCGAGGTACCCTTTGGTATGCAGCAAAATCACCAGGGCTCTGCAGAATATTTTACATTTCCAATGAAAGCACAGCTTAGCAACACTATTTGACATCTCATGAATTAGTAATTTCAGTGGATTATGCTTTCTCCTTTTAGTGATGTCATAGCTCTGTGAAGATGGCTTTTTGGCAATTGCTGTGATTAAAAAAACAAGTATTATGGAAAAATTAATGTGGAATAGGAAATGAGGGTTGGTGTCCAGTCTGATTTCAAGGCTCGAGAATTTATGCCTGATCTATCAGGTGTAAATATGGTTAAGGGTGATATAAAATATTGTTAGTTTTTCAAATGCCTATTGAGTTGTCAGGGCATAACTACTTAATAAAAAGGGCTGTTAGACATTTGTTTTGACCCGGAGTCATTGTAAATCAAGAAAAATTTGGAAGCTTGGATATATGGTCTCTATAGGTGGCATACCTGAGTGCTAAGAAGAAGCACTCAAAGTATTCTGTTATTCAAATCGGATTTTTCTTTTTCTTTTTCTTTTTTTTTTTTTGTTTTTTTTTTTTTTTGTTTTTTTGACACTGGGCCTCACCCTGTCACCCAGGCTGGAGTGCAATGGTGCCATCTCGGCTCACTGCAGCCTCCGCCTCCCAGGTTCAAGTGATTCTTCTGCCTCAGCCTCCCGAGTAGCTGGGATTACAGGCACTCACCACCAAGCCTGGCTAATTTTTTTTTTTTTTTTTGTACCTTTAATGGAGACGGGGTTTCACCATGTTGGCCAGGATGGTCTAGACTCCTGACCTCGTGATCCGCCTGCCTTGGCCTCCCAATGTGCCAGGATTATAGGCATGAGCCACCATGCCCGGGCAAATTTTTACTTTTCTTGGGACAAATTTTTCTAAGTTTTTTTTAAGGAAATAAAACTTCTAGTAGATAGAAGGGGAAACAGGAAATTGATCTTCTGAAAGCTAGGTGGTTGATATGCCCAAAAGTTTTGAAATAGACTATCTAAACCAAAAGGAATCACTTGGGTTCAGCTATTTCAGTAAAGGATAATTGAATACTTATTGCATGTTGGAGACACAACACTGAACAGAGAGGCATGTGTTTGCAGGAATCATGGAAAGAATCATTTTGACATAGCAACTTGGCTTTCTAAACCCTTGTGAGTCCCATATCTGGCTGAATTTGATTTTCAAAGGAGGTATTTAGTGCAGAGCTTTGCAAGCTCCTCTTCCTAATAAATCACATTGGTGTTAGATATATGCTGTCACTAGAACGACTTTATTACTGAGAATGATTCTTCTGCATACAGACTTCAGACAGGTACCCTTTGTCTCAAAGACACCTTAGCCAACAGGTTTTTTTTGTTTTGTTTTGTTTTTAAACTCATGAGTAGAACTCTGTGAATCTACTTGTCTTTGCGTCGTTATTAACCAGAATGTTCTTACTTAGTGATATTATTTCCTTCTCCCGGTTTTATTATCTTTCATGTTGTATAAGCAACATCACATGTTTTATTATTTAAAAGAATCACACTGGCCTTTAAAAACAGAAGAAAAGAATTAGCAGGTGAATAGCAAACATGACTCTTTGTCCCCAAGAGCATGAAGCTCTTATTTCTTACTTTGTATTAATTGGTCAGATATTCATTTTAAATGTCCTGTGTCTCCCAAATTACCTACTGATATTAGCTCAAATAGAAGCCATTTGTATCTATAAGGAGTCCCTAATTTATTTCCTTCTTTTTTTCCTTGTCTCCATACTCATTTTTTATTTGTTACCTTTTTCACTTTCTCTTTTTCCTGTGCCTTTTTTCCTATGAATGTTATGAAGGACAGGAAGGAAGGATAAAGGGAGTGAAGGAATGAATGAACAAATGAAGGAGGGAAGGAAAGGAGAAGAAAGGTAGATTATTGAGTGAGGTTTCTATTCGCATCCTTTCTCCTGCTTGGCCGAGTATACTTTACTTCTCCAAAACTCAATATTTAGGTCTGCATTATGATGACAGTGAAATGGGCTCTGAGGACAGTTGTAAAGAGTGAATGAGGTCATACACATAAAGCACATGACGTGGTTCCTGACACAGAGAAAGAGCTCAAAAGCCATAGCTGCAATTATTAATGTTAATAATTGTAAGGCCGGGTGTGGTGGCTCATGCCTGTAATCCAAGCAGTTTGGGAGGCCAAGGTGGGCGGATCTCAAGGTCAGGGGTTCAAGACCAGCCTGAGCAACATGGTGAAACCGCGTCTCTACTAAAAATACAAAAATTAGCTGGACGTCCCAGCTACTCAGGAGGCTGAGGCAGGAGAATCGCTTGAACCCAGGAGGTGGAGGTTGCAGTGAGCTGAAATTGCACCATTGCGCTCCAGCCTGGGAGACAGTGTGAGACTGTCTCAAAAAAAAAAAAAAAAAAAAAAAAAAAAAAAAGAATGAGGTTGTATACATAAAGCACATGACGTGGTTCCTGACACAGAGAAAGAGTTCAAAAGCCATAGCTGCAATTATTAATGCTAATAATTGTAGTGATGGTCGCTGAAACCAGCAGTTCATTTTCAGTGTTTCTTCTGCTTCACTTAGCAGCAGCATTTAACACAGTCGATCTCGCCCTCTCCTTGATTTTCTTGGCTGCCAGGATACTGAGGCCTGTTGGTTTCATTCCTCTCACGAGCCTCTTCTCAGCCTTCTTTTGGTTCCCGCTCAGTTCTTCCAGCCTACATGCTCCAGGCACAGTGCTTATTGCTACTTTCTCCTCTATCCACATTTATTCCCAGGGATGGTGTGATCTGGTCCAGGCCCATTTCTTTCAATTCCATCTACATGTTGACAGCCCCCAGATGTGTATCTCCAGGACAGACCTCTTTCCTGAAGCTCAGACTTGTGCATCAAATTGCCTCCCTGCATCTCTGCCTGGATGTCTAATGGGCATCTCAGACTTCTCTTGTCCAAAGTTCAGCTCCTCAACTACCTCCCCAACTGGTTCTTCCCTCAGCCACCCCCAGTGTGTTCGAGAGCAAAACCCTCCTTCTCACTGCACAGATCAGCAGCTTGAAGTCATCCTTGAAGACTCTTTCTCTCTTAACCCTCAACAAGTGAATTAGTCAATCCTCGTGGCTCTACCTCCAGATATGCCGACTCTGACACACACACACACACACCCTACCCACTGGTCTGGTCACATGAACACTACACTAGCCTCCTAACTAGTCTCCCTGCCTCTTTGACACCCCTTCCCCTATAATCTGTTTTCAGCACAACAGCCAGAGTGATTTGTTTAAAATGCATGTTAGCTCATGTTTCTCCTCTGCTCAGTCCTCTGGTGGCTTCCATTTTCTCCAAGTAGAAGCTAGTTCCTTAGAAAAAACCCATGTCTCTTTCCTTTCATTCATGTGTCTCCAGCCTGGACAACCTCCTTACAACTCCTGAGACAAGCAGGCACTCTCCTGCCTCTACAACTTTGCACTGGTTGTATCATCTGCTTGGGACATTTTTCCCTAGATATCTGCACATCCAACTATCTCATCTCCTTTAAGTCTGCCCACTTGTCACTTTCTCTGTAACATCTACCATGATGACCCACCACGCCCAGCCAGTAATATTAATTTCTATTGATCTTGTCATCAGATTTATTTTTCTCTCCTCTCCACTAACTCTAGTTCTGTCCATTGACTCTGGTTCTAAAACTCCAAATGCTTCTCAATTTGCTTAATTTTTTTTCCCATAGTAATTTTCCTTACTACTTTCTTACATACTTTATAATTTACTTATTTATAGTGTTCATTGTTCCTCTCCAATAGACCGTTTGCACACAGGGATGGGGATCTTTGTAGCTTATTCACTGATTAAGTCCTAAATACTCATAACAGGGCCCAGCACAAAGTAAATATTCAATAAATATCTGCTGAATGAATCATTATCATCATCATCATCATTACTTTTATCTCATTTGTGTGAACTGCTTATTTTTACCTATATTTTCCATGGAGTATGTTATCTGGCTAGTGGTATTTGTATTGAATAGCTATGGTTTTTGACAGTTAACTAGACTAAATATCCTTTTATTCTGGGTGGCCTGTGATTTGATAACAGAATTGTATCTGACTGAAGAACCAGTATGGATCCTGCAATTTGGGAGAATGTTATTTCACAGATAGAATTTATTTGTTAAAATATGACAAATAGGTTTTGTGCAGTTTGATTACTTTGTTTTCCCTTTTCATTTCTCCTGTGTCTAGAATAAGAAGGGAAAACCTTACACTCATGCTAGAAGGATTTAGGCTAGTCTTCTGGGAAAGTCACCTCTGAGGGGTAGTGCAGCAAAGCCCCACTCAATCGAGGGCTGTCTTTTTACCCTATGATTGATTATTCTATTATTCTATTTTATGGTGGTGTGTGGCCTACAAATGGCAAGGAAGTATGAAGTTTTTTGGTTGAGCTTTTCTCTGATTGTGTGTGCGTGTGTCTGTGTGTGTTTGAAGATGCCTTTAGAAGATGTTAGCTGTCTACTCTAATGGGGTTGGGCTTTGTCAGTTCTTAGGAGAAGAGGCCTGGTTCCCAACCCGCCAGAGCCTTCTACCACCCATGATGGCTCACCCCTGTGTGAAAGAAAACGAAGCTACGCTGCAGAGTTTTATGTGCCTTTGAACACTCAGGCCATGGAAATAGCCTTTCTCTTGGCTAACAGTGTGGCCCTACATTGCACTGACTCTTCTGCTCCCCTCCCCAAGATATTCTGGTCAAATTTCAGCAGCAGCCAGGCTCTTTGCTACCAGGGGACTTCCCAATGGCTCGAAGACTCCATACAAACAGCTGATATGTGTAATCAACAAAGGAACATATTGTGGTGACTCACTTGCTTAGTTTCCAGCTGCACATCCAGGCAATATTCAGTCAATGAGGAGAGAAAGAGAGGGGCAGTGATGGAAGACTGACTGTATTTAAATCACTTGCCTAGAGGAGGTTATCAGAATGCCAAAAAAAAGGTGCCGAAAGTATATTGCCAGCAGACAGCTTAGAAAGAAAAGTAATTATAATACTCTCTAATTCAAAATCCTTAGTTTATTAACATGAAAATGAGCAAGTGCTGAATTCCTTCAGACCCCAGTGGCTTGGAGAGGAGCCAGCTCTGGGGCCTATGTGAGTGAGGATGTGTTGCTGTATTTTCCTGTAGGACAGAGTTTTTAATTTATCTATTGTGTGCTTAGTAAAATGTTCACATTTGCAGTATTTCATTTATTTGTCTTTTCAGCTTCAGGAAATTAAAGAGAATGCAGTGGATGCCTTCACCAATTGTTCTTTATCTTTTAATTTTGACTCTGTGAATAGCCCTCAAGTTGTCACAATGTCATTTATTACAAACAGCTGATAACTAGTTAAAGTAATTAATAATATTAATTTCTTTCTTCCTTTTTTTTTGAGACAGAGTCTCACTTGTCCAGGCTGGAGTACAGTGGCGTGACCTCGGCTCACTGCAACCTCGCCTCCTGGGTTCTAGCGATTCTCCCACCTCAGCCTCCCGAGTAGCTGGGACTACAGGCATGCGCCACCATGCCCAGCTAATTTTTGTATTCTTAGTAGTGACAGGGTTTCACCATGTTGGCCAGGTTGGTCTCAAACTCCTGATCTCAAGTGATCCACCTGCCTTGGCCTCCCAAAGTGCTGGGATTACAGGCATGTGTGAGCCACCACGCCCAGCCAGTAATATTAATTTCTTTTGATCCATCAGACTTGTTTTTCTCTTCCCTCCACTAAGAATTCCTTTTAAGTCATGCCCCTTCAGGTCAGGAGAGCATTTCAGCAGAATGCCAGCCCACATCCTCTCTCCTTAGTCCACCACATTTCTGGATGCTGTGCCTGCAGAGGGAGCAGGGGACCATGAACTTGTATGCCAGACTCAGGGCCTGGGTGCCCAGCTCTGGGCTGACATGCTCCCTGCTTGCTTTTCTTTTCTATTCTTTTCTTTCTTTCTTTTGTGTTCAGACTCTGGTGACCCTCAGGACACTAGCTAGAACTGAGCTTCCATTTAAGTCTGGATCCTACGAAAATTTCTTAGAAATTCCCAAGCCTCAGCTCTCTGGACACAACCCATCAACCAGCAAAATGGATCCCCACCCAGTTACCTGTATCAACTCACCAAAAGGCAGGATGGGCTGTAGACCAGTTACAGGTTTCTTTCATTCTGTGGGTAGATGTGTGTGTCTCTAGCAGCCTTTTTGGAAAGAATGCTTGTATTCTACAGATGTCTCTGCCTTGGCAATTCTGTTCAACTCAAAAGTGGTAATCTATCATCCTCTGCTGAGAATTTACCCAGCAAGTGCCTGAAGAAAAAAAGCCATTTAGTTTTTGCTTCCACACATGAAATGGCTAACTCTTTTTAAGTGAGGCTTGGGGATTTAAGAGTTGGATATCAGATACCTGGATTTCATGGACCAGCAAAATGTAAAAAAAAAACCACCACCACCACCACCACCAACAACAAAAAAGCCCCAAAGTTGTGTAGTAACACAAAGCTGCAGGTTTTAATTTTGCTTTGTCAATATGTTAAGAAAACCAAAACAGAACAACTGGTATTTATTATCTCATCATCTCATAGAAAAATGGGCATCTTAACACTAAAATGTGGGAAGGTCATTATAGGAATAAAGGATAATCCTTTCAGTGAAATACAGTCATGCTCTGCATAACGATGTTCCAATCAACAATGAACCGCATATTCTTATGCGGTTTTTCCATAAGATTATAATGAAGCTAAAATATTCCAGCCACCTAGGCTGCAGCCATCCTGACATGTTAGTGCAACACATTACTCACGTGTTTGTGGTGATGCTGGTGTAAACAAGGCTGGCATCAACAGTCATATAAAAGTATAGCACACACAATTATGTACAGTACAAAATACTTGATGATAACTATGTTACTGGTTTATGTACTGTACTATACTTTTATCATTATTTTAGAGTGTACTCCATCTACTTATTGAAAAGAAAATTTAGCTGTAACACAGCCTCAGGCAGGTCCTTCAGGAGGTGTCCAGAAGAAGGCATTGCTATCATAGGAGATGACAGCTCCATGCCTGTTATTGCCCCTGAAGACCTTCCAGTGGGACAAGAGGTGGAGGTAGAAGATGGGGATATTGATAATCCTGACCCTGTGTAGGTCTAGGCTAATGTGGGTGTTTGTGTCTTCGTTTTTAACAAAAAAGTTTAAAAAGTAAAATAAAAAAATTAAAAATTTTAAAAGTAGAAAAAAGCTAATAAAGATATAAAGAAAATATTTTTGTACAGCTGTACGATGTGTTTATATTTTAAGTCATGTTACTACAGAAGAATCAAAAGGTTAAAAAAATTAAAAGTTTATAAAAGTCACAGTTAGCTTAGATATTTATTATTGAAGAAATACATTTTAAAAAATAAATTTAGTGTAGCCTAAGTGTATAGTGCTTCTAAAGTGTACAGGAATATCCTAGGCCTTCACATTCACTCACCGCTTACTCACTAACTCACCTAGGGCAACTTCCAGTCCTGCAAGCTCCATTCATGGTGAGTGCCCTATACAGGAGTTCCATTTTTAATCTTCTATACCATACTTTCCGATATCTTTTCTATGTTTAGGTATGTTTAGATAAATAAATACTTACCATTGTGTTACAGTTGCCTACAGTATTCAGTAGTCACATGCTGTACAGGTTTGCAGCCTAGGAACACTGGGCTGTCCCATATAGCCTTGGTGTGTAGTAGGCTATGCTATGTACACACTCTAGGTGTGTGTAAATACACTCTATGGTGTTCACACAACAACCAAATCTTGTAATAACACATTTTTTTAGAACATAGTATCCCTGTTATTAAATGACACACAAATATACTTATAACTTTATAGAAAATACTATACACACTGATTTTCCTCATTTTGCCTTGGACTGGTGAAGGTATGCTGTCCTAGATGGGCTGCTCTGCTATTGACATTTGGTGGCCTCAGGAACAGTTAACAGGAAGATTCAGTCCACCCACTGCTCAAATCCTGTGACAAGACAGTTGGTGGATGCTTTGCATTCAACATACTCAAAATACCAAAACTTGAATTCTCAAGTAGCTCTTTTGAAAAAGTGCCTGAGGTATTGCTAGCTGTATTTGGGTTCCTTCCCTGTAAGAGGGTCCACATGCTTACCCCCTCCTCTGTTTTCATTCCCTTTTCTTCTTTTGTGTCTTCTGATACCTTTGTTATATTCTTTTTATTCTGAGAAATAATAGAAAAATATAAGGAGAAAAATAAGGTTTTCCAGTGAATGCATCTCATAGGGAATGCATAGTTAAAATCCCAATGTAGTAATTTCTAGCCTTTTTTCTATAAACGCTTTTCACAAAGTGAGGATCATTCTACATAACTTTTTATCTTGAGCCTTCTTCCCTATCATGTCATTACCACTTTGTCATGTCATAAAATATTTTTTTTTTGAGATGGAGTTTTGCTCTTGTCACCCAGGCTGGAGTGCAATGGCACAGTCTCGGCTCACTGCAACCTCTGCCTCCTGGATTCAAGTGATTCTCCTGCCTCAGCCTCCTGAGTAGCTGGGATTACAGGTGCCCACCACCATGCGCAGCTAATTTTTGTATTTTTAGTAGAGATGGGGTTTTACCATGTTGGCCAGGCTGGTCTTGAACTCCTGACCTCAGGCGATCCACCTGCTACAGCCTCCCAAAGTACTGGTATTAGAGGCATGAGCCACCACACCTGGCTGAAAATATTTTATGAAAACTTGATTTCAGTGACTGAACAGTATTCAAGTTTAGTTTTTTTTTTCTGTTTCTTGTTGCTTTTTTTTTTTAAACCATCATCTTTGTGCATATCACAAGTTGTTTCTAGGATGCATACATACAAATGCATGAGTGGTTCCAAGGTTACGAGTATTTTAAAGCTATGGATACCTGTTTGCAAATGGCCCTCAAGGAGAGTTCTATTAATGCACATCCCCACCAGCAATGTACCAGTGCTCTCTTCCCCTTACCTGCTAGTTGTTGCTAGAGATGAACTTTTAAAAAACCTTAGCCAACATGATAACAGAATAAATGCAACCTCTTCTTAATTTGCAATTCTTTCATTACCAATAAGATTTTATAGTCATTCATATTTTCTTCTCTGTGAATGACTCAAGACTTTTGCCTCCACTTTTGTTTTAAATTGAAGAGTACATCCTTCTCCTTATTGATTTGCAAGAAGTCTTTTCATAGATGGATATTAACTTTTGTCATTGTTCACAAATAATTTTCTCTGTTATTTGCCTTCTGATTTTTATGGTGGTTTTGCCATGTCAAAGTTTAAAAATGTTGTGAAGTCAGATGATCAGATATTCTTTTCTTGGCTTTTGCGTTGACTACTGTTCCTGAAAAGGCCTTGGTTTTCTTATTTTCCCTTCTTTCTACATCTTATTCTCATCTGTCTCTTCACTTGTCTCCCCCAGTGTGGTCCTAGAGACTGGGAGAGAGGTGGGAGGCATGGCCAGGGTCGGGGAGTGGGTTGTGTTCCTGTCTGGCTTCTAGTAACTCCACCATTATATTCAGAGAAAAATCTTCTTAGTAGTTTCCATTATAGTTGCCATCAGTTGTAACTTCACAAATAATTGCTGGTGTTATTTGGACCAGTGACTCCCTAGGTTAGCAGATTGGAGAGGGCTCCCTGCAGCCTTCACGTTTCATCTCAAGACGGTGGGCTGGAAGGTCCCCCCATTCCAGCAGCAGTGATATTCTGCATGGCAGGGCAGGAGGAGTCTGCTTCCTACTACACTGACATTAGGAAACTATTTTCAAATGCCTATGAGGTCCGATGCTATTTACAATGCATAGAAATGAGTTTGACTTCTGTCATCAGCTGATTTTGTAATTCACTTTGTTTGCTTTTCCTTGTCATAGGATGTTTCCTTAGAAGAGGGTTTTTTTTCTCTTGTTCAGGATGTGGTTATCAGCAGAGGGGTGTGTGGTCAGGGAATGTGGTGGTAGCGAGTACACAGAGGAAAGAATGGCACAGTTCCACTGTCCCCCACTCACCTTTCTTCTTGTGTGTGGTCGGTGGCTGTATGTGCACCTACCATCATCACATTACTTAGCAAACCCAGTTGTCCTGTGGTTCCACTTCATGGAAGACCCTATTCTCTGCTCTAGCACTGAACCCTCCAGAAGACATTTTAAAGAATGCTAAAATGGGGCTAAGCTCATAAATTAGCCAGCAGTATTATGTTAAAAATCATCCTTGCTTACTTCCCATTGTCTCTTGACTCTTACAAGTCCAAGAGTATGCAGAGTTTTTTGTTTGGGGAACCCAGTAGTGAGAAGCAGTGTTTTTGATCCTGTTGTTTGTTTACAAGATTTGGGGGTCCCTAGCTTTAGTGCTCTGGAGCTCTCTTAAAAAAATCAGATTCTTGGCCAGACGCTGTGACTCACGCCTGTAATCCCAGCACTTTGGGAGGCCGAGGCAGGTGGATCACTTGAGCTCAGGAGTTCAAGACCAGCCCAGGCAACATGGCAAAACCCTGTGTCTACCAAAAATACAAAACATTAGCCAGGCATGGTGGTGCATGCTTGTGGTCCCAGCTACTCAGGAGGCTAAGGTAGGAGGATCACTTGAGCCCAGGCAGCGGAGGTTGCAGTGAGCTGCGATTGCACCACTGTACTCCAACCTGGATGACAGAGACCCCATCTCACAAAAACAAGCAAACAAAAACATGAGATTCCTGGCTCTGTTTCTGAAGTTTCTAACTCTGGGTCCAGAGTCAGACTCAGGTATCTGCATGTTAACAAGCACCCAAGGTGACTCTTATCCACAGTAAAGTTTGAGGACCACTGTCTTAGGGAACCGCCTTCATTTGGCTGAACGAACTTTAGAGCATCAGCTTTTCTAATCCTACAGTTTCCAAGGACAAGCAGAAATCCCTATCTGACCATTTTGATGGAATCCTCACTCCCAAGAATACATGTTCACTGCCCTTTCTCCACCTCTTTTCCTCTCTCCTGTTTCTTCTTTCCCTCTGGCTGCAAGGTGCCCCACACTCCTGTGGTCTGGAAGGAATGGAGCCATGTGCACACTTAACTTATTTTTCATGCATTCCAGAGAGAGGGAGTTGGAGCAAGAGTGCTATAGGCAAGATACTTCTAGTTATTTTCTAACTACCTTCCATGCATTCAAATCACCGATTTTAATGGATGCTAAAGCTACTGCTGGGAAGAGGGTAGGAGATGGAAGGAGGAAGAATCTTGGCTAAATATCTTGAAGATGGAGCAATTAATTTAGTTTTCCCTTAGCCAGACATTTTTTTTTTCTTCCAGTCTCATTTCACTTGTGGGCATGGTAATCTTCACTGTTGGCCTGCCATTCATTCTTGTTTTTAAAATCATGCACAATATGTTACGTTAGCAACACTTTGCACAAACAGAAAATAAGGTTTATTGCCGATATTTTTAGCTATTGTCATTTTTGCTGCTCTCTCTCCTTACTTTCATTTAAAATGATGAACTGCAAACAATCCAAATAATATTTTCAAGCTATTTTCAGATCCTGGCGACAATTGACTACTATGGGTGCTCCCCAGGAGACTGCCTGTCAGTGTGGAACTAAAGAACAACAATAGCAGATTTGTAACCAAGGGGTAGTCTCAGGAATGTGAATAGCAAATTAGGGGGTGTAGGTTTGGACATCAGGGACTGGGGGATGGTTAACTTATTGACACACAGGGATGATGTTGTTTATTTAGAAAGGGAGTCACAGTTCAGTTTTCCTTTGAACTTTTTCAAAAGAGCTGGCTTCCAGACAGAGGGAAATGGAATACAGCTAGAGTTGTCTGTTTTCATAAACTTTAAACTTGCTTTGTTGCCAGTCCTGTTTTTAAAACTTGCCTTAGGAAAACATAAGGCGTGTTTAATATTCTGCTCTGAATGATCTTGATACTCATTTTGATATGTTTTTGGTCCCCATTGATTTTGAAAACGCTAAACACCACAAATACTTGACATTCGGAAGGGCAAGCGAGGGATTAAAACTCAATCTCTGCCTCCTGCTTGACGTCATCTTTGAAGAGATGAGAACGTACAAGTAAGCAGAATTCTTATAGTTGGAATAAAACATGATTAGAACATTTGGAGAAGGAGATGTGATATGACTGAGGGAAATGTGAACAACATAGAAATAAACACATTTGCCTAACACTTTTCATATCTTATGATGCATTTTATAAATTGGTGCATGGGCAATGGCCTGCCTATGTATTTATCTCCCACCCTGTGTGTTTTCCCCAAATGTAACCATTTATAGACATACAAGGACGTATGGGAGAGCGAGCAAAAGCTTGTACAAATCACTAACAACCACGTGAATGCAGGCGGCCCTGCAAGGACTTCAGAGTGGAATTATTGAAATCATAGGAGACATTTAGGTAAGAAGGGTGTAATTACCGTTATTATTTAGTGATTACTGGTGCTGACAGTGTGCTTCATTGAAAAGACAGAGGAAGACCCTGAACCTGCTCAGAAGTCTTAAGACGAAAATAAGACCAAGGCATCAAGCCATGACAGAACCCAAGTCATAGGGAGCTGGTGGCATCTGGTTTCCAGTTTCAAAAACTGTTCCTTTGGCCCCATGCCAGCCTCTCTCTGATAGGATGCTTGGGAGACCTAGCAGGCAAGAGAGAATCAGGAGGAGGAAGAAGACTGCATGGGATGCTGGAGGAGCAAGGGGGAAGGGGCTGGAGGTCAGAGGGAGGCTCATCTCTCCAGTCCCGGGCATCTGCTGAGCTCCTTCTTTAATGGGGCAGAAGAGTGTCCCATGCTTGTCATGATTAAGCAAAGTCTTTCCATCCTTTGGGAAACAGCCTGCTTCCCCCCAGTCACTAACAAGTTGTTCAGAAGCCAGCGTTTCCTTCTTGCCCCTTCTCCTCTTCCCTGTGACAATGTATGTCTCACTCTTAGTTTTACGTCCTGCTGCCTTGTGTTTATGTCTTATCTTCTCCGTGAGACTAGCAGCATTTTAATATAAGGGCACACCCCATTTATTGTTCTATTTCTCAGCAGTGATTCTTCTGAATTGGGACTTTTATCAGACTGGATTTTGGTTCCAGCTTGCTGTGTTCCTTTGGGTGAGTGATTTAACCACTCTATGCCTCCGTTTGTAGCCTATATAAAATGAGGATAGTAATATTGACTTCATCCTGGCTGCCGTGAGATTAAATGGAAAGTACTTAATATGTGCTAAATAATATTAATTTGGCTTTTCCTCTATCCCTTTGGGCCTCACCACACAGTAAGGGTGCTTACTGGACAGTTTATATTCTTACTAAATGAATAACCCAAACTATGCCAACCCAAACAACCATATTAACCATGAGGTTAAATCGTGTGTTTGTGTGGGTGCTGATGTGCTTTTAACCTGTGCGTGACACAGGTACACACAAGGTTGTCCCTCCTGGGTTTCCTTAGGGAGCAGAATCCACTCCTAGCATTTATTATCTACGTGCACTACCTAGTCATAGCCCCTGGCTAAGAAGAAGCTAACAGATTGACCTAGCTATTACAACGTGTAAGTGATAGATCCAGAATTTGAATTCAGGACAGTCTATAACTCCCAGCTCACTTTCACCTTCACGACTCATGGAACATCTCAAGTGTTTGCTGGGTGAGTGCTAAGTAATCATTCTCATCCAAATGTGGCTTTTCCCACTGATACTGATTTCTTTGTTTATTTATGCTCTCCTGTCTATTTTCCTCATATTCCAGAGGTGACTGAGCTGCCCAACATGGTGGCCATCAGCCACTTGTGGCCACTTAAAATTCACATTTAATTTAATTAAAATTAAACCAAATTAAAAATTCAATTCCTTAGTTGCACCAACCAAATTTCAAGTGTTTTAATAATCCCATTAGCTGGTGACAACCATGTCAGCACAAATATATAATATTTTCATCATTGAATAAAGTTCTGTTGGACATTGTTTCTCCAGAGGATGTTTCAAATAAGTGACAGTCAAGATGCCAAGTTTTTATTTTTATTTTTAATATGTATGGTTATAGCCTTAGAATTTTATAATTTATGAGACTTGAATCAATAACCAGTTGGTAGAAGAATGGTAAATAGTTATACTATAGGAATATTAAGTTTTTATTTAGTTGACTTTATCCTATGCATTGGGCTCTATGCAAAGTGCTTTCCAGGAGTTGCCTCATGTAATTGTCATGGCAGCCCTGTGAGACAGGAGCTATCACTAGTCCCTTTGTATAGGGCTGGAAAACTACTTGCCCAAGTCTCAAAACTGTTCAGTGAAAAAACGAAGACCTAACACCAATTCATTAGACTCCAGAGCTATAGGCTTAGCCATTGAACCACCTCCCTCTGAGAGTCCCAGCATATTCTCAAAAAGTAAGAGCCATCAGTAATTATTCTAAAAGCACAGGCTGCAGAATTCTCTGTTCTAAATTTAAATGGAACTGGGCCATATTGGATGAAAGAAATCAGGTTCTTTTCATGAGTGCTTGTCAAGTGCCTCTGATTCCTAAAAGAAACCAATTTGGCCACTGATCTGAAGTTTCTTTCTAGGCTTTACAAGTCATCTCTAATCCTATAATTTGTCTTTATTTCTACCAACTAAGATGTGTGCACTCCACCAAAAAAGATCATCTAATGTTTGAAAGTGGATCAGAAGCAAATTATATGAGAAACTGGTTTGTGTCATTAAAGCTTTGAAAACTAGTGATCTTAATGAAAGTAAAATCAACCCTACCATGTACAGGAAGCCTAATAGTTGTTTGTAAGGAATTTCAAGGAGTCTACTGAGATTTCCCCCTCCATCCTCTCTATATCTAATATATCTAGCTCCTGTTCACAAGGATGTGCTTGAAAGATGTAAATATGTGTTATAAATGTTTTTTTCCCTACAAAAGGTCATTTAAAAGTTTTAGGTTGTAGGAATACAGCTACCGAGGGAGGTGAAATATCTCTACAACACGAATTACAAAACGCTGCTGAAAGAAATCAGAGACAACAACAAACAAATGGGAAAACACTTTATGCTCATGGATGGGAAGAATCAATGTTGTTAAAATGGCCATACTGCCCAAAGCAATTTATAGATTCAGTGCCATCCCTATCAAACTACTAATGTCATTTTTCACAGAACTAGAATAAACTATTCTAAAATTTTCATGGAACCAAAAATGAGTCTGAATAGCCAAAGCAATCTTAAGCCGAAAGAATAAAGCCCGAGACATCACACTACATCACACTGTAGTATAGACTTCAAACTAAACCTCAAGGCTGCAGTAACCAAAACAGCATGGTACTGGTACAAAAGCAGACACAGACCAATGGAACAGGTCAGAGAACCTAGAAATAAAGCCACACACCTACAACCATCTGATCTTCAACCAAGTCAACAATAACAAGCAATGGGGAAAGGACTCCCTATTCAAAAATAAATGGTGCTGGGATAATTGGCTATCTGCATGCAAAAGATTGAAACCAGGCCCTTTCTTTTCACCATACACAAAAATCAACTCAAGATGGATTAAAGACTTAAAAGTAAAACCTAAAATTGTGAAAACCCTAGAAGAAAACCTAAGAAATAACCATTCTGGACATAGGCCTTGGGAAAGAATTTGTGATGAAAACTCTCAAAAGCAATTGCAACAAAAACATTGACAAGTGGGACCTAACTAAACTGAAGAGCTTCTGCACAGCAAAAGAAGTTATCAACAAAGTAAACAGACAGAATGGGAGAAAATATTTGCAAACTGTGCATCTGACGAAGTCTAATGTCCAGGGAATCTATAAGGAACTTAAACTTAAGGAACTTAAACCACTCCATTAAAAAATGAACAGAGGACATGAACAGACACTTCTCAAAAAAAGACATGTGCATGGCCAACAAGCATATGAAAAAATGCTCAACATCACTAATGATTACAGAAATGTAAATCAAAACCACTATGAGATACCATCTCACCAGTCAGAATGGCTGTCATTAAAAAGTTTAAAAATAACAGATGTTAGGTTGCAGAGGAAAAGGGAGTGCTTATACACTGCTGGTCTGAAAGTAGTTTAGCCACTGTGGAAAGCAGTTGGAGATTTCTCAGAGAACTTAGAACAGAACTACTATTCAACCCAGCAATCAAAGTACTGAAAGTATACCCAAAAGAATATAAATCATTCTGCCAAAAAGACACATGCTTTCATGAGTGCTCCTTTTCACAAGAGCAAAGACATGGAATCAATGTAGATGCCTGTAAATGGTGGATTGGATAAAGAAAATGTGGTACATACACATCATGGAATACTACATAGCCATAAAAAGAATGAAATCACATCCTTTGCAGCAACATGGATGCAGCTGGAAGCCATTATCCTAAGCAAATTAATATAGGAACAGAAAACCAAATCCTACATGTTTTCATTTATAAGTGGGAGCTAAACATTGAGTACACATGGACACAAAGAGGGGAACGATAGACACCGGGGCTTATATGAGGGTGGAGGGTGGGAGGAGGGTGAGGATCACAAAACTATCCACCTGGTATTGTGCTCACTACTTGGGTAATGAAATAATTCGTACACCAAACGCCAGTGACATGCAATTTACTCATGTAACAAACTTGCACATGTACCCCCTGAACTTAAATTAAAAGTTGGAAGAAAAAAAAAGGATAAAAAAATAAATAAAAGTTTTAGGTTGGACAAGGTGCCACAGAGTTTATTTGTATTAACCTACATGTGATTCATTTTATCCATTTGGAGCTAGAATTTACTTATAAGAATTTTACAGGCCTAATCCTACTCAAACAAACTAAATGTAAAAGTAGTTTCTAGATTCTTGGGTGGTATTACATTTTTTTAAGGATAACTAGTGTCCCTACAATTGGAATGGTGGCCACCTTTTGTTATTCACATGTTTAGTTTTGGACAAAAGTATTCCTGAAAGCATCTTGCTCAGCGCTGGCCACATAGTGAAGGTTCAATAACCGTTGACTATCCTCCTACCAGGTTTTGATTGGAATGACCTAAAATCCCCCTACAATTATCCCATCTTTGTAAGGTCTCATTTTCTTTTCAATATTTAGGAAGAAGGTGCCACATGAAAAGCTATCAAGTTTAAACCTTGTTCATACCTTCACACTGATGTTGTATCATGAGTGTCACCCAAGCGCCAAGTTGCAAAATGTCGGCAAGCTCACAGTAGAGCACAAAGGAAAGTGATGGTTAGATAATGAAACAAGGGCTTTGGGATGTAAGCAGAGATACTAACAGAGAGCCGCATTTGTTTGTAGCACTTTTAACTACTCAAGGAATCTTGAGGTGACTTAATTTGTAGTTCAGACCCCTACCTCTACCCCTAGTTAATCACAGGGGTGATGAAAAATACTACATGCTGTCTTTCTTTTCCTAAGCTCTCTTTAATCTTGATCTTTGAAAAGCAAGTGGTTTTTCTTGTGCAAACAGCTTCATAGAAATGTCAAATCTGGCACCCACAGTCTATGCTGAAGGGGGAGACTTGGTACAAAAGGCTCAGTGCTCAGGGCCCAGGCTTTGAAATGACTCCAGCTGTATTGCCAATGCAAATGCAGGAGGGGAAAAATTACTGGAACAAATTGAAAGGTTATTCAGACTGGAATTTAGAATCTCAATAAAAAAGGCTTTTATAAGCCAAAGCCTTGGAGTAACCGGATCATTTAAAAATACATCTTTTCTGCATTAAATGTGGTGTGACAGCCACATTAGAAATGCTGCAGTTTAAGTATGTTCCTTAAACATTTTTAACTGACTTGTAAGGACAGCTAAAACCTTCTATTGGGGGGACACTGGATCCCCAGTTCATACATAGTTTCCATTTCTTTATTTTTCCCTCTTTTTTTTAATACCTGGCTAATAGGTTTTTGCCTTTTCCCTGTGTTGATTGCTGCAGGCTCAGGGATCTCTGTGAGCTGCATGTCTTGATAAAAATTTGTTGAGCTAGTCATTTTCTTTTTTGACTTGCCAGAGAACAGTCTTCCTGATCACTCAGACGTTGGTGATAGGAACAGCACAGCTGTACGGGGGTGGAATCCCTTTAACAAGAGGTGTTTAGGCCAAGAGACACAAATATTAATATACCCCATCTAACATGAGGCAGTGTCACAGATGTGGGACTCCTTCCTATTGTTTAAAATCTGTTATTTCATGATCTTTTGAAAGATATGATCCAAGTCCAGTTGTTCTTGGTGTGCATTGCAGTTTTCCACCCCTACCTCCCTCCTACCCAACACCATTACTTCCTTGACCCAAAAAGGAGATTCTCTACCCCCCACCCCCATTTCTACAGGGAAACAACCCTGTAGAGAGTGGAGAGTGCATTGAAGTCAAAGTAATGGACTTTCCTGGGGGGCTTTCTGCATTCTCTGAGCTCTGCTGGGTACAGAGCTACTGTGGACCATGGAGTGTAGCTGGCCCAGCCCCTGCACTGTCATCTGCACGGGTCTTCCTGCCTGATTATTTCCAAAAATGGCTCAGTCTCCAAAAGATTAAGTTCATTGTTTTTAATTTGTGAAATATTTCAAATGTACTGAATACCCACTATCTGGATTTAGCAAATATTCACATTTTGCCATATCAATTTCAATTCTTTGGCCTTATTTTAAATCCTCACTTCCTTTCTCCTTCTCTAGGGGTCACATTATTTCCTTTCCCAGCAAAGTTAGCTCTTGGTGCTGCCAAATTATATTGTTTGTGTCAGTGTCTTAGGAGTTATATCATTGAACTAGAATTATAAGGTAACTTATCTGTAGCCTATTCTAGATTCCTCACTTGTTGAGAAGAAAAACTTGGCCTTTGTAAAGACGTTGTCCCCAGCCCCTGGTAACATGCCAGTGCTGCAATTGGTTCTCACAGGTTTTTTCTTGTTGTTCTGATTTGCTCCTTTGTTTGTTTTGAGTGAAGGGATGACTTCACAGTAGAAAAATCCAAGGACTCAAGGGTTATAGATAACACATTGACAGACTTTCTTCTTATTGAGGTTCAATATTTTTAATGAGTATTTTAGCACAGGATTGTAGAGTTATTTAATTCAACAGTTTGGGCCTCCCAATGTTCCTATAACTAAAAGCTTTGAATTAACCCTGTTTGATATCTGATATAATTATAGCATAATAGGGCATCTTCCTGGTTAGAAGAGTATAAGTTGCTTCAAATAATGTGCTGATCCTAACTTAATGAGTTTTGATTTGCTATGCGGATATGTGTCTGAAGCCTATTGTCTTGTTCATACTAGAAAGCAGACTTGGTCTGAGACAAGCACTTCAGTGATACTGACTCTCATGCCTCATAAAGTGATGATGGAGATGCTATGCATGGCCCCTCTTCTCCTCGTATAGTTCTCATAAAACAATAGAATGATCTGTTCCGGCTTCTGTGCTCCTTTGAGGCAGTATCACTAGCCCATATGTTTTAAGAACCATCTTGTTCACACACCATAAGGCCAAATCAACTGGAGCCTCATTCCCACATTGAAGTCCAGTTCTTCCATGGATCCAGCATTCCTTTGACTAGAAGCATTTGCGTGAAGACCCAGCAGTGCACTATTTTGATGTATCCAAGTAAAGTCATCTTTTAACATAAGGAGATACCTTCTTGCACTTTCTTCAGCTGAGATGGAGTTTGGGGATGGCCATGCATCCTGTTCTCTTCTGGGGATCAACATTTCAATAGAAGGTTAGCCTAGGGGCTTTATCCCAACATTTTCTTCCCAAAGTCGTGGCAGTTCTTAACAGTGTTGTTCACATAACATTAACAATGCATGAAGCCACCATGCCAATGCTTGCCTAGGGTTATGCCTCAGTCACCCCTTTCCCTTTCATTCAGGAACATCCTTTAGAATGCAAGTGGATGGCTGACATATTAGTAGAATGATTAACATCTGTCTTTATTTATTAAAAATGGTATCTATCCTCAGGCTTTGGTGCTTGGACTTTCATGAGTGACATGTTGCCATTGAGACCAGCTGTCCTTGAATAACAACACCTCAGTAGACTGTACCTTTTACTGAAGTGCTATGAGTTTGCTTCTCTTCAAAAATGATCTTGTAACTGGTTGCCAAGGCCATTGTGAGAATCGATGCTCTCCAGCTTTAGGCCCTCACTCTCAGGGTGAGGAGCAGTGGGAGGCTGCGTGATAACATTTAAAGCTCACAGAGGGAAACATTTTTGCACTGACTGTGCCAGAATCCCATGCTTTGTGGCCAATATAATGGATTTCATTTGGGGCCCTGCATAGGCCAATTGTCATGATATGGTTGGGAAACTTTCCATCAGCTACTGTGAGATCCATCACTCTGTTCCCTACCTCTGTTTCTGGCTTCTCCATTCCTGGTCACATTTTATGAAGCAGCCAACCATCCAGATTGGGATTTCATGCTCTGCTGCACTTCTGCCCAAGTTATTTCTCTTACAAAGGCCTCCTTTACAAAATCCTTAATCTAAGTAATGCGTAGAAGGCGTATTAATGGGTAGCAAGTGAAAGAAGGCAAGAGCCAGCTACTTCCTGAAAATTATTGTCATTAGAGCATTTCCATGAAGGCCGAACAATTCATTAGGGTGAGTCCAGGCAAAAGCCCCATCCCCCAAAACATATGTAATGAATTCAGATCTAATTGGCCATGGTCCAGTCTAGTTCTAAGGGTCATTCTTGGCATTTTGGAGGTCAGAAGAAAGGTTTGATTTGAAGTTTGTTATGTTTCCCACATGTTATATTTAAGTTTGTTCATTATGTTCATTGGATGTTCCCATTGGCTTTTAGTTCTGGACAAAGGTTAGGTAAATTATTCAACCCTGGCTCATCCTGCCATCAATCCGATGCCTCAGTGCAAAAGACATTCACACCCATGTCCCAGTACACGAAAGGGATTCACAGGGCAACCTAGGATTTGAGTGGGAAGGAGGCCTTGAATGAGAGTGATGGTTTCAGATTGACATTGGTTTTGTTGGCTGGAAAGAGATCCTGATTCTTTTATCTGTGGAATTTTCTTTGTAGTCCCAGTATCAGAGTGTGGCTAATGTCTCCAAAGCTTTACCGAGAAGCTGTATGATGATAAAGCCTTTGAGTAAGGCTGTCCATAGGCTTTTGCTGACTGTTGAATTTCCATGGTCTGCTCATCCAAGAATTTCACTATGTGGGGTAGCTTGAAGGAGAGGGAGATTCTGGGGAAATGACGGCCTGAGTTTTTATTTGCTTGTTTCACTTCAGCAGAGGAGTGAGAAAAGTAAGTGGCACATTGAGTTTGTGTATAGAAGGAGCTGTTTATCTGATGGAAAGGCCCTTCCAAATCCTGTTTTCATTCTCTTTTGCTGTTGGAGTTAGACCCCATTTATAATAATTAAGACTTGGTTATGTGACTTTAAGTCCACCTGTATCCACAGAGAGGCTAGAGATGTGCATTGTTTAAAGCTTTCAAGTGCTGAACAATGAATGAAGGTTATGGTCTGGCAAGGTAATTGTTTATTTGAAGCCAAAGTCAGAGATGTGGGAGACATAATTTAAAGAACTCAGGGGCCTTATATTCCTGGCCTCGAGTCGATCAAAGAACATATAAAACCATCCAGTGAAACTTTTCTGGATTTCTAACTGAATAATCCATTCTAATTCACTGGTCTTTAATCTCTGAGAATGAGAAGTAGCTGAGTGGTATCACATGATATATACAAAGGTGTTATCGAATTTGATGGCAGGCGAAAACTGTTTTGCCTGCATGTTCTAATGAAACATGGAAGTTTCAAGTCAGTGAGATAAATTTTAAGGTTTAGATTACTAGCTGTGTGGCCCACTCTGTAGAGCTACCAAAGACAAAGTGACAGAAAAATAACCCTAATAAACACTTCTTCGAAAGGATGGAGTTGAACAGGATCCTTTTGGTTGGAGACCTTGTGATTACTGCCAAATTGGTTGTTTATAATAGGTAAATGTTGATTGAGCAGAGACAAAGCTGGAATCTTAGCATTGAATACCCCCAGCCTTGGCCCAAGTATGCAGGAGGTAGAGAGTTGGGCTATTTGGAAAAGAGACAGATAATTAAATCTTTTAGAGGAGAATGCTTTTGAATGCATATTTGTAAGTTAAGCCATAATTTAAATGCTCAAATCCTAGGCGGCTCCAGAATTTCCTCCAACACCTGAATTCATGGTGGAGGGGTGAGACCCTGACAAGCCTTGACAGTCTTTTAGGCATTCATTTATTTTTCGCCAGACCAGTTTGGTTTTGACTTAAATCTTGGGTCTTAAGTTTTTCTCTTTTTCTGTAACCCTATTGATTGAAAAGACAATTTTTTTTTCTTTTGGTTTTCCACTAATTCTGGTATGATAAGGTGAGGCCAATTTTAAATAACTATTTTTTACATCTGCTTATCAACCCTAAAACCTAATTCTATACCCATCTTCATCTTTTTTTTTTTTTTTCAAGATGGAGTCTTGCTCTGTCACCTAGGCTAGAGTGCAATGACTCAATGTCGGCTCACTGCAACCTCCACTTCCTGGGTTCAAGCAATTCTCCCGCCTCAGCCTCCCAACTGACTGGGACTACAGGTGCACACCACCATGCCTGACTAATTTTTTTTTTGTATTTTTAGTAGAGATGGAGTTTCACCATATTGGCCAGGCTGGTCTCGAACTGCTGACCTCAAGTGATCCGCCTGCCTTGGCGTCCCAAAGTGCTAGGATTACAGGTGTGAGCCACCGCACCCAGCCTTCATTTTTAAACTCCAGCTGCAGACTGCTTAAAGTCCTCTCTCTCTCTCTTTTTTTTTTTCTTAAAGAGAGGGTCTCCCTCTGTTGCCCAGGCTGGAGGGCAGTGGCATGATCTCGATTCACTAAAGCCTTAGCCTCCTGGGTTCAAGTGATCCTCCCACTCAGCCTCCCGAGTAGTTGGGACTGCAGGTGTACATCACCATGCTGGGCTAATTTTTAAATTTTTTTGTAGAGACAGGGTCTCACTATGTTACCTAGACTTGTCTCGAACTCCTGGACTCAAGTGATCCTTCTGCCTTGGAAGTCTTATCTTTTAAAATCCATCACTTGCCAGGCATGGTGGCTCACACCTGTCATCACAGAATTTTGGGAGGCCAAAGTGGGATGGTTGCTTGTGACCAGTAGTTCAAGACCAGCCTGGGTAGCATAGCGAGACCCTATCCATACAAAAAAATTTGAAAATTAGCTGGAAATGATGGCATGTGCCTGTGGGTCCAGCTACTCAGAAGGCTGAGGTGGGAGGATTACTTGATCCTAGGAGTTTGAGTCTGCAGTGAGCCATGGATTGCCACTGCACTCTAGCCTGCATGAAAGAGCAAGACCCTGTCTCTAAAATAAAAATAAAATCAGTCGCCTACCACCTGGTAGAGGTATTATTTTCCAAAACAACAACAACAAAAGTCTTTTGTTTTCACACACGCACACAGGGAGAGAGGTGGGAGTCAAAAATCAGAGAATCGACTCATTCATTTGCTAAATATTCATTTGTTCATGCATTGAGCAAGTATTTGTGGAGCACCTATTGTGTACCAGGCATTGAATTAGCACCTATGAATAGCACAGGTGAACAGTGGTTACTGAGAAGTCAGGAAATAAATAAGCAAACCCCAAATAAAATACTTAATGGCAAATTGTGGTAAGTATGATGAAGGGAAAATCAATGTCTTGAAGAAATATTTGTATTAACGAGGCTAGGCTGACCTGTGTTGCCATAACAATAATAATGAATATGAAATCTAAATGACTTAACAAAAATGAAGATTTATTTCTTCTCACATTCCAATATGATGCAGATTGAATAGTTCTATTGGGATTTGAGGATCCAGTGTCCTTCTGTCATTGGTGCCACCAACTTTAACGTGCGGTCTTGACAGTTGTGGCAAGCGGGAGAGAAAGATTGAGGCAAATTGCACAGGCAGGTTTTTAGCCAGCTGGGAAGTGGGTATATCATTTCTGTTCATATTCCATTGTCCAGAATTTAGCCACATGGACCCACCAACATGACTACCAGGAAAACTGGGAAACACAGTCCTCCTGAGTACATAAGAAGAGAAAATGGGATTGGTGAACAGCTTGATTTTAATGGAAGATTTCATTTAGACCAGAGGCTCCAAGAGCCTCTCCCTATAGAAATGATTTTTAACTGGTAATTAGAATATTAATTGTTAGCCACATTGAGTGTAGTGGGAATACATTACATTTTAAGTATGTTTAGAGACCTTACAACCATTACTATAGATTTGCTACCAGTTAGGAGGATATTACTTAGAATATTTAATTAAATCTCCTTACCTACAATTGAAAATGTTAAAAAGTCAGAGGCCCAGCTGAGGAGGCAATTTAATTACAATCTGGGTAAACTGAACAACCAGTGTCACTGTCATTCATCTGTGGCTATGTAGCATATTTTGATAGAAGGTAATTGAACTTTTGCCATCAAATAACAAACAGGGGAGAGGCTGTTTGATTGGTGAGCAAAGGCCAAACTTTGGACTCACAGAGGGCTGAACTCTTATCCTAATTGTGCCATAAAATAACGTGATTTTTCTCAAGCCAGCTTACCTCTCTGAGCCAGCTTTCTCTCGCATAAAAAAGGAGAGTAATAGCCACTGTTCACTGGGTACCATGTACGTAAGACTGTGCCTCAGCGCTCCACATTGCCTTACTAAATGACATAAAGTGAACAGCACACACACAAAAGACCTATTGCACCAGTTAGGATAAGCCAACTTCAAACATCTGTCACCCGGAGACAGAGCAGTTCTGGAGCTGGCTAATTCAGCAGCTCAAAGTAATTTTTATAGCGATACTCTCTGCCATTCTTAACATGTAAACAATGACACTATCATAGTCTCAGGTGATGGCAGCAGTTTGAGGAGACACCAGTGGATTTTCTGTATCTCTTTTTATCTTATAAAAGAGGGAGTTCTTCCCTACCCCCACACAGGCACCTCTGTAGATCCCATTGGCCAGAAATGGGTCACATGTTTATGCCAGAACCAATCATTGGCAAAACAGATGGGATTACCATGATTAACATAGACCAATCGTGATTCCACACTGGGACTTGGGAGGAAGCCACATCTCTGAACATAGAAGAGTGGATATCTGGACAAAGTTGGGACTCTGGGAAAAAGGAGAAATAGGGATGATGTTAGGTAGACAGTTGGCAGTACCTGCCCTTCCTCATCTGCTGCTACCAGACCACGTAAGCTCTCTGACATGCTTGCCACTTGGAGTAGCTCCCTCATAGCTTTCTGCAGATAAATATAAAATGCCTAAAGCTAGATAAAGGTTGTCTTCCTCCCCTCCCTCCCTTCCCTTTAAATGCTATATGGTGAATATTAAACTTATCAAATACAGCCTGTGTTTTAATGCAAGAAATAATAGAGACAATTTTGAGTAGGAGGAGGAGCTGCCATGGGGAGAAGGCCTACTATTATAAGAGGGCTCTAGACAGCCTGGTTAAAATTCTAACTCTACAACTTACTTGTTAGGTGACCTCAGGCAAGAGTATAAAGCTCTCAATGCCAGTTTCTTCATCTGTAAAAATGGAGATTATCATCTTGATAAAGCCTACCTGTATTCATTTCCTGTTTATGTTGTAACAAATTACTACAAATGTAGTGGCTTAAACAACTCCATTTACTATCTGACAGTTCTTGGAGTCAGAGATCAGATGAAGGTCTCACTGGGTTAAAGTCAAGGTGTCAGCTGAACTGTATTCCTTTCTGGAGACGCAAGGAGAGTAATATGGTTTGGCTGTGTCCCCACCCATCTTGAATTGTAACTCCCACAATTCCTATGCGTTGTGGGAGGGACCTGGTGGGAAGTAGTTGAATCATGGGGTCAGGCCTTTCCTGTGCAATTCTCATGATAGTGAATAAGTCTCTCGAGATCTGATGGTTTTATAAGGGGGATTTTCCCTGCACAAGCTCCATTCTCTTGTCTGCCACCACGTGAGATGTGCCTTTCACCTTCCACCATGATTGTGAGGCCTCTCCAGCCACGTGGAACTGAGAGTCTATTAAACCTCTTTATTTTGTAAATTGCCCAGTCTTGGGTATGTCTTTATCAGAAGCATGTAAACGGACTAATACAAAGAGAATGTGTTTTCTTGCCTTTTCCATTTTCCAGAGGCTGTCTGAATTTCTTGGCCCATTGCCCCTTCCATCTGCAAAGCCCAGCCACAGCCGGCTTAGTCTATCTTGCACGGCAGCACTAACTCTGAAACTCTCTTCCACTTTAAACAACCCTGTGGTTGCATTGGTCCCATGGGATAACTGGCCCTATTTTAACATCATCTGATTAGCAATCTTAATTCCATCTGCAACCTTAATTCCCCTTTGTCATATAACATCACATAATCACAAACTCCTAGACATCATGGGGACAGGGGTAGGGGAACATAGTATTCTGCCCACCATACTACTCATAGGAATGTTGTGATGATTAGGTGAGAAGACTCCTGTAATGGCTTAGAACAGTGCCAGTCACATAAGCAAATGTTCAGTAATTGTTCTTTGTGACCCCATTATGTCTTATCATTTAATGAGTTTGTTTTATACAGGAACAGGCTATTGGGAGTTCTGTCTTGAGGAAGCATCTGATGCTACTTTGCTCACTGCTAGAAGTGATGATAGAAGGACAGAGATCTTAGTGAGAGCCAACTCCTTCTTGCTTTCTAAAGCCAAAGCTCAAGGTCTGAGCTCTCTTTGGAATTAGGTGATTCTCCACAGAAAACGTGTGGTTTGGGCAAAGCCAATTTTATGAGTAACAAGAATGAAATAAACTGGGGAAGATCCAAGCAGATAACATTATCCTCACATAAAAGTGGCCAATAGAAAGAAGTTAAGAGCCACCCTTCCCTGGATCACGTTGTATAGCCTGTGTAAGAGAAGGAGTGCTGTATGTAGTTAAGATAATGGACCCTGGAGTTGAAATTCCTCTTTTCTTCTCATTATCTGGATGACCTCAAGCCTTAGCTTCCCCATTTGTAAGATGTGGATAAAAATAGTTTCTACCGCAGGATGAGATGAGGTCTGGAAAGTTCACACAACGTAAGTGCTTGGCACAAGGAGGGCCTGGCAGAAACTGCTAGGTCAGAGATAACTCTGGGAGGGTTCATACACAGTAAGGGTCTCATTGCAAATAATTAAAGTTGAGAGAGCCACTCTCCTGCCTGGCTGGGGCTAAGGAGTCTGTAGCCTTAGAGTATTATGTTCAAAATTCTACTCTCATGCAGTTAAATCTTAGCCTGAATGTTTATTCCATTAAACTTTCCCTCCAGATTGCATCATATGTAATTACAAGATGAAAATATTGTGTGGAGAATGTAGCCATTGTTCAAGTTTCACATATGTGATGATGGTTTTTGAATCTTCTTGGTGGGGAGGAGGTTAGATTTGTTGGTTGAGGTGGATTGTGACAAGTGAGCAGAGGGACAGACAGCAGAAAGCTGGGATTTCTTGGTTGGAAAGAAATATGTTGCAGGTCCTGGACTCCACAGGAGTTATATCTTGTCTTGGGTTGTTTTCATCCCACAGCAGGAATAACTAAAGATAAAGACAAAGATGATGAAAGACAAGATGATATTTTGATGTCACTGGGCCTGGAAACAAGGGCGCTATTGTTTGCAGGCAGCCTGTATTCATCTGTGAGAGATTAGCAATGGCATTAATTTATTCAAGATTACAGTTCAGAAGCAAAGTCATCAAAACTGAAGCTCTTTCATTTATGGAGCACGTTGTACCTCTGGGATGGAGGGCGAGTGCTCTGGGGCCGGGGTATCCTTCAGCGTGAGTTGTCTTAACAGGATGTTTTACTCAGAGAACAAGCCTTAGGATTCAGCTTTTTCAGTCCTGTAGCCACTCTCAGGATTCCTTCATGGACTTGATATACCCCAAGACTCTTCAGATTCCCAATGGTGAGAGCAATGGCCGTGCTTGGAAAGTGGAAATTGGTAAGGTCAGTGGGTTTCACTTAGAGCTACTGTGATTCAGCCCAACTCTTCCAACTTGTTTCGTATGTTTACACTCTTGACAAAAATTTTACAATCATAGACTATTTCCTCACTAGACCACCTCTTTGCCTCTGGATCATGTACACTCATGGTCACGAGGATGATGGTAGCACTGTGTTGAAGGAAATGAAATCGATAGCAAAGAGATAACTGCATTCCCATGCTTATCGATGCCTAATTCACAATAGCAAAGTATAGAAACCATCTGAGTGTCCATCAACATGTGGATGAGTGGATACAGAAATTGAGTTTTAGTGATATAGGAAAATCCAAACTCAGTTTCTCTTATAATACTTTTACAACACAGTACACTTCTGTGATCCTGGATGTCTGAGTTTTTTCTCCACACACCAAGCAATCAACTGTCCAGCAGATTCTCCAGTAGATACGATACCAGCTGGGTTTCCTCTAAATCAATTCAGTTCTGACACTATCTACCTGGAGACAGGTTGAGGACTGTCCCTCAAGACTGCCCCTACTTCAGAGGACAGTTGCAAGTAGTAGATTGTCACCTATACTTCTGATCGACCAGCTGTGAATTGGGGGGTTCCCACAACCTCATCCTTGAGATCTATTAACTTTCTAGAGTGGGTCACAGAACTCAGGGAAACACTTTACTTATAATAAATGTACACGTTTATTATAAAGGATATTACAAAGGATACAGTTCAACAGCCAGATGGTAGAGATGCACAGGGCAAGGTATGGGAGAAGGGGCACCACGGAGCTCCCATGCCCTCTCTGGATGCACCACACTCTAAGAACCTCCCATGTTCAGCTGTCTGAAACCTCTCAGAACTCAGTATTTTTGAGACTGAGTTTTTTATGAAGGATTCATTATGTCCACTTGTTTATTAACTCAACATTCAGCTCCCTTCCCCTCCCCAGAATATGGGGGGGGCAGGGGGAGGTAGAGAGGAGGCCTGAAATTTCCAGTCCTCTAATCAGATGGTTGGTTCCCTTGGCAACCAGCCTCCATCCTGAGGCTATCTAGGGGCCCTCAGCCACAAGTCATCTCGTTAGCATACAAAAGACACTCCTATCACTGGAGATCCAAGTATTTTATGAGCTCTGTGTCAGGAAACAGGGAGGAAGACCAAATATATATTTCACAATATCACAGTAGCAGATATGTAATGGAATATTATTCAGCCATAAAAAAGAGGGAAACTCTGCCATTTGTGACAACATGGATAAACTTGGAGGACATTATGCTAAGCCAAACACAGAAAGACAAATATGTTTCATCTCACATATGAACAAGTGGTTGCCAGGGGCTGGGAAGTAGGGGAATTGAAGTCATGTTGATCAGGGTACAAACTTGCAGTTAGAAGATTAATAAGTTCTGGGTATCTAATATACAGCAGGGATGGCGATAGATGTGTTAATTAATTTGATTGTAATAATCATTACAACATGTATATGTATATCAAATCATCACATTGCGTATCTTGAATATATTCAATCTTTGTCAATTATATATTTTAAAATAAAAACACAAACTTTATTTTGAAATAATTTTAGACTAACAAGAAATGCAAAAATAATACTATGTTCCCATGTACGCTTCCCCAGTTTGTCCCCTACTGATACAGTCTTCTATAAGTGCAAACCAAAAAGCATGTAAACAGATCTCAAACAGTTGGGAGGTTTATTTTGCTAAGGTTGAGGATACACCCAGGAAAAAGAGACACAGGCCACAGTAGTATGTGTGGCCGATACCTTTTCTGAAGAGGGTTTTGAGGGCTTCGATATGTAAAGGGGAAAAGTGGGCAAGTGGGGAAAGATGAAAAAAAGAGGGAAGATGTGTTCACAATCTTGTGAATCCATATGTTGCGTGTGAAAAGGAGGGGGTAGACGTTACTGTCAATTACGTATTCATCTTACACTCAGTAAATCTGCACTTTACATAAGGGAAAATAAACAGAGTACAGGAAGCTGTCAAATATACATTCATCTCTGGGTGGGTGGGGGAGGATTTCTGGTCTCCTCCTGTCCTGTGTCTATGAGCTGTTAATTTACATTGTTAGGGTGGCCCCTGTCGAGACATGAGAAGTTCTATCTGTAGCTATCAGTTTAGGAACAAAAGTAAAGGAGTTTTTGGGTTTTATTTTTGGTTTTGTTTTTCCATGTCTCAGCTTCCAAGCTAAACTTTTCCCTTTGGGCATAGTGAATTTGGGGTCCCAAGAGTTTATTTGCCTTTCACATAGCATAATAAATTATTTTTTAAAAGACTTTATGTGGAGCATTTCAAAAATGCATGTGATAAGGGACGCAAAACTTGTGTGGCACTTTTTTTTTTTTTTTAACAAGTTCCCTCTACCATGTTAAATCATAGCGTCAAGACAGAACCTGCCAGGACCTTCAAGCCTCCTTCATCATGCCTCCTTCTAGTCATTCTGTCCCCTACAGTAACTACTTTTCTGACTTCTATCTCCATGGGTTAGTTTTACCTGTTATTGCACCAGAACCTTATGTAACATACTCTCTGGTGTCTGGTTTCTTTCACTCAGTGACATGTCTTTGAGATGCTGTGTGTGCCAAGGGTTTGTTTTTATCATTGCTGTGTAGTACTCTGGTATGGACATATCATTATTTATCTCATCTAGCATAGATGGATATGTAGACTCTTTCCAGTTTTAGCTATTTCAAATTATGCTGCTGTGAAAATTCTTCCACATCTTCTGTTGCACACTTGTGTATACATTTCTATTAGGGAATATCCAGGAGTCGAATTACCACCTCAAAAGGTATACATGTGTTCTGCATTAAGAAAATTCTGCCAAACACCTTTCCAAAGTAGTGGTAACAAAGAGCATTTTAGTTTATCTTTGCCAACGTTTGCAATCCCAAATGTTCTTAATTTTCACCATTCTGGTGTGTGTGTCTGTGTATGCGTGTGTGTGTGTGGTGTGTGTGTGGTGTGCATGTGTGGTGTGTGTGTGTGTGTGTGGTGTGTATGTGTGCGTGTGTGTGCATACATTCGTGTGTGTGGTGTGTGTAGTGTGCATGTGTGTGTGGTGTGTGCGTGTCTGGTGCGTGTGTATGCATGTGTGGTGTGTGTGGTGTGTGCGTGCGTGTGTGTGGTGTGTGCATGTGTGCGTGTGCGGTGTGTGTGTGCATGTGTGGTGTGGTGTGTGCAAGCGTGTGTGTGGTGTGTGTGCATGTGCGTGTGTGGTGTGCGTGTGTGCGCATGTTTGCGTGTGTGTGGTGTGTGTGCGTGAGTGTGTGTGTGGTGTATGTGCGTGCGTGTGTGTGGTGGGTGTGTGTGCGTGTGTGTGTTCTGCATCTGGGTGTTTTAGTATCTAAGTATCTTAATTCCCATCCCTGTGATCACTAATGTTGATCAGTTTTCATATGTATATTAGAAATGTATATGAAATACAGATATTTATTTGTATATTGGCTATGCCTATGTATTTTTTGTGAAGTGTTCAAGATTTTTGACAATTTAAGAAATCTCATGATATACTTTTTTTACTTAATGATTTATAGTCATTCTTTATGTATTCCAGATACCACTCCTTTACTGGATATTTAGACTGAGAATATCTTCTCCCACCCTGTAGTTTGCTCTTCTTTTAATGCTATCTTTTGATGAACAGAAGTTTTTAAAAATTTTGGTAAAGTTCAGTGTATTGATCTTTTCCTTTATGGACAGTGCTCTTTTATATACAATTTAAGACATATTTCCCTGCCCCAATGGTGGATGATAGTCCACAATATTATATTTTGGAAGCTTAATTATTAAGCTTCACTATTAAACTTTATTATTAAAATCCATCTGGAATTAATTATGGCTTATTTTTCTCCATATAGTTGATGCAGCACGATTTATGGAAGACAGTTTTTCCCATTGGATTATAGTAGTACTTTTTAAAAATTAGGTTTTTTTTTTCTTAGATCCTCTGATGTTATGCTATTGGTCTGTTTATGTTTGTACTCTGTTTTAATTACTTGAGTTTTATGTAAGTCCTAATATCTGGTAGTATAAGTCTTCCAATATCATTTTGATTCTTCAAAATTGTCTTTGCTCTTCTTGGTTCTTTATATTTCCATGCAAATTTTAGAGTCAATTTATTGATTTCTACAAAATAATCTGCTGAGACTTTGATTGCGATTGAGTTGAATGTAAAAATCAACTGAAGAAGGATTGACGTATCTTTATAAGATTGAGTCTTCCAATCCATTAACAGTCCATCCCTTCACTTATTTTCTTTCTGTAATATTTTGCAGTTTCTGTGTTGGAAGTCTTACACATTTTTCCTAAGGTTTATTACCAGGTATTTAAAAGGCTTTGCTGCAATTATATAATATAGAGTTTTTTAATTTTTTATTTTCTAATATTTGAAAGCCATCAACTTTATAATGATCTTGTGTACAATGATTTTGCCAAGTTCACTTACTGAAAAGGGTTAATGATGACTATATCTTTTTTATTTTCTGTGTATATAATCATATTGTGTTTGAATAGTGTCTGCTATATTTCTACTTTCCCAATCTATATACCTTTTATTTCTTTTTCTTACCAAGTTGCACTGGATTTCTTTTTTTTTTTTTTTTTATCTTGTTACACCACCAGTACAATGTTGAAAGAATAAGGATTAGCACATATTCTTACCTCTTTCATGATCTCAGGATGAATGCTTTTACTAGTTTTACCATTAAGTCTTATGCTGCTTTTGATTTTCATACATATTCTTTTTAAGGTTAAAGAAGTGCTCTTCTGTTCCTAGTGTGGTAAAAATGGATGTGAATGGATGTTGAATTTTGTCGAGTGCTTGTGCACCTATTAAAATTATATAATTTTTTCTTCTTTTTTAATGTCATGGATTACATTGTTTGATTTTCAAATGATAAAATAACTTTACATTCGTGGTATAAATTCAACTTTGTCATAATATATTAAACTTTTATATTTCACTGCGTTTGACTTTGTGCAATTTTAAGATCTTTGTGTCTGTGTCAAGACAGATACTGGTCTGAAAATTTCCTTTTTGTAATGCTGTTTTCAGCTTTTTTTATTAGGGTATGCTGGCCTCAAAATGAGTTGGGCAGAGTTTCTTCTTTTTATACTCTCTGGAAGGATTTGTGTAAGATTGTTACTTCTTCCTTAATTGTATGGAAGAATTCAATGGTGAAGCCACAAGGGACTGTAGTTTACTTTGAGGGAAGATTTTTCGTTATAGATTCAATCACTTTAATAGATGGAAGACTATTCTGACTTTAACATTTCATCTTGATTCAGTTTTAGTAAGTTGTGCTTTTTGAGGAATGTGTCCATTTCCTATAATTTTTCATATTTATTGGCCTAAAGTTGTTTATAAAGTCCCCTTATTTCCTTTTTCACATGTAAAAGATCTGTAGGGCCCTTCTTTTTTCCATTTCCAATATGATTAATTTATGTTTTCACTCATTTTTTCTAAATCCATCTTGCTTAAGGATTTATCAATTTTATGGATTTTCAAGAAGTAACTTTTTGGCATTGTACATCTGTTTGCTGTGTCATCGATTTCTATTCTTATTTTTTATTTCCTTTACTCCACTTTCTTGGGGTTAAATTTGACCTTTTTTTAGCTTGTTAAAATGGAACCTTAGATTATTGGTTTCCAGCCTTACTTTTTTATTATATGTATTTACAGATACCAACTTCCCTGTAGTTGTTTTAGTAATAGTGCACTTTTAGATATCATATTTTCATTATCATTGAACTCAAACTATTTTCTAATTTTTATTGTGAACTTTATTTAAAGTGTATTATTTAATTCTGAAACAATTTGAATACCAAATTTTCTAG
Organism: Homo sapiens; assembly: GCF_000001405.40. NCBI lineage: Eukaryota > Metazoa > Chordata > Mammalia > Primates > Hominidae > Homo > Homo sapiens. The sequence goes on from NC_000003.12 coordinate 54,720,414, forward strand.
TTAAAATTTTATGATTTTTAGTTTATTCCACTGACATGTTGAATACCTTCTATATTATGTCCATCCTTTCAAATACATTTAGACTTGCTTTACAGATGATCATACGATGTGTTTTGGTTAATGATCCTTGAGCACTTGTAAAAAAAAATGCATTCAGCAGTTGATGAATGCAGTGTTCCATATATGTCAATGTGATCAAATTGACTAATTGTAATATTCAGATCTAGTCTCTACTGATTGCTGTATTTGCTTATTCTATCAGTTGGAATTCCCCACTATGATATTGTATTTCTCTCTGTCTCATTTTAGTTCTGCTTAACATTTCAGCTTTTTGGTGTTATATGTTGTTGTATGTGTTATTATCAGTATACAGATTTAAGGTTGTCATATTTTCCTGTCGAATCAGCTCTTTTATTATTACATCTAAATACATAGTATCACTTATAATTACATTGTGCTTTACATGGTTTGAAGGTAAAAAGAAAGGACAAGATATACTAAAAAATAGTGGCTATTCAATGTAATTATTGTATAATTTAATCTTACCTATAATCTTGCTATTTTTCTTATCTATGTTTCTAGTTGATTAATCTAAAAAAGGCAAAATATTTCTATTATTCAGTTTTGTCATCTATTAGCTTGTTAGTAAACATTATTTTATTATTTACTTCAGTGATTACCCTAGAGGTTATAACATTTATTCTCAATTTAATATTAGAGTCTATATTATATTAGCACTTTTCCCACTTATATAATGTACATACCTTAGAACAGTTTACCTCTATTTAAGCTCACCCGTCCTTGGTGCCATATTAATCCTCCAAGCCATGATTATTGTCATTTTAAATAGGAAATATTTAATTAGAGTGACTCATATGGATTTTCCCCCATTTTCTGTGTTATTAATGGGATCATTTTTCATCTGCCTGAATTATTTCTTTAAATTCTGCTGATAAATGTGTCTGAAAATATTTTAATTTTGCTGTCATTTTAAAGAATGTTTTTAATGGGGTACAGAATTCCGAGGCTTACATTTTTTTCAGTTCTTTAAAGATATGTTCTGTTGACTGGGCACGGTGGCTCACACCTGTAATCCCAGCACTTTGGGAAGCCAAGGCAGGTGGATCACCTGAGGTCAGGAGTTCGAGACCAGCCTGGCCAACATGGTGAAACCCCGTCTCTACTAAAAATACAAAAATTAGCCAGGCGTGGTGGTAGGCACCTGTAATCCCAACTACTTGGGAGGCTGAGACCAGAGGATCACTTGAACCCAGGAGGTGGAGTTTGCAGTGAGCCGAGATTGCACCACTGCACTCCAGCCTGGGCAACAAAGAGCAAAACTCCATCTCAAAAAAAAAAAAAAAAAGAAAAGAAAAAGATGGGCTTCCCTTTGTGGGTAATTCGACCTTTCTCTCTGGCTGCCTTAACATTTTTTCCTTCATTTCAACCTTGGTGAATCTGACGTTTATGTGTCTTGGGGTTGCTCTTCTCGAGGAGTATCTTTGTGGTGGTCTCTGTATTTCCTGAATTTGAATGTTGGCCTGTCTTGCTAGGTTGGGGAAGTTCTCCTGGCTAATATCCTGAAGAGTGTTTTCCAACTTGGTTCCATTCTCCTTGTCACTTTCAGGTACACCAATCAAATGTAGATTTGGTCTTTTCACATAGTCCCATATTTCTTGGAGGCTTGCTTTGTTGCTTTTTATTCTTTTTTCTCTAATCTTGTCTTCTTGCTTTATTTCATTAAGTTGGTTTTCAATCACTGATATCCTTTCTTTCGCTTGATGAATTCAGCTATTGAAACTTGTGTATGCTTCACGAAGTTCTCATGCTGTGTTTTTCACCTCCATCAGGTCATTTATGTTCTCTACACTGGTTATTCTAGTAAGCGATTCGTCTAACCTTTTTTCAAGGTTCTTAGCTTCCTTGCATTGGGTTAGAACATGCTCCTTTAGCTTGGAGGAGTTGGTTATTACCCACCTTCTGAAGCCTACTTCTGTCAATTTGTCAAACCTATTCTCTGTCCAGTTTTGTTCCCTTGCTGGTTAGGAGTTGTGATCCTTTGGAGGAGAAGAGGCCTTCTGGTTTTTGGAATTTTCAGCCTTTTTGTGCTGGTTTCTCCCCATCTTTGTGGAGTTATCTACCTTTGGTCTTTTATGTTGGTGACCTTCGGATGGGGTCTTTGAGGGGATGTGCTATTCCTTTCTGTTTGTTAGTTTTCCTTCTGACAGTCAGGCCGCTCAGCTGCCGCCCTGCTGGAGTTTGCTGGAGGTCCACTCCCGACCCTGTTTGCCTGGGTATCACTAGCAGAGGCTGCAGAACAGCAAAGATTGCTGCCTGGTCTTTCCTCTGGAGGCTTCGTCCCAGAGGGGCACCTGCCAGATGCCAGCCAGAGCTCTCCTGTATGAGGTGTCTGTCAGCCCCTACTGAGAGGTGTCTCCCAGTCAGGATACATGGGGGTCAGGGACCGACTTGAGGAGGCAGTCTGACCCTTAGCAGAGCTCGAACGCCGTACTGGGAGGTCTGCTGCTCTCTTCAGAGCCATCAGGCAGGGACACTAAAGTCTGCTGAAGCTGCACCCATAGCCGCCCCCTCCGCCAGGTACTCTGTCCCAGAGAGATGGGAGTTTTATCTATAAGTCCCTGACTGAGGCTGCTGCCTTTTTTTCAGAGATGCCCTGCCCAGAGAGGAGAAATCTGGCAGTCTGGCCAGAGCAGCCTTGCTGAGCAGCAGTGGGCTACACCTAGTTCAAACTTCCCAGTGGCTTTGTTTACACTGTGAGTGTAAAACCACCTACTCAAGCCTCAGCAATGGCGGACGTCCCTCCTCCCACCAAGCTAGAGCATCCCATTTGGATCTCAGACTGCTGCTGTGCTGGCAGTGAGAATTTCAAGCCAGTGGATCTTAGTTTGTTGGCTCCATGGGGGTGGGACCTGCTGAGACAGACCACTTGGCTCCCTGGCTTCAGCACCCCTTTCCAGGGGAGTGAATGGTTCTGTCTTGCTGGCATTCCAGGCGCCACTGGGGTATGGAAAAAACTCCTACAGCTAGTTCGGTGTCTGCCCAAATGGCTACCCAGTTTTGTGCTTGAAACCCAGGGCCCTGGTGGGGTAGGCACCGGAGGGAATCTCCTGGTTTGTGGGTTGTGAAAATCATAGGACAAGCACAGTTTCTGTGCCAGAGTTCCTCAGGCTCAGTCCCTCATGGTTTCACTTGGGTTGGGGAGAAAATTCTCTGACGCCTTGCACTTCCAGGGTGAGGTGATGTCCCACTCTGCTTCGGCTCACCCTCCGTGGGCTGCACCCACTGTCCAACCATTCTCAGTGAGATGAACCGAGTACCTCAGTTGGAAATGCAGAAATCACCCACCTTCTGCGTTGATCTCACTGGGAGCTGCAGACCGCAGCTGTTCCTATTCAGCCATCTTGCACTATGAAGAAACTGCATCAACTAACAGACAAAACAACCAGCTAGCATCATAATGACAGGATCAAATTCACACATAACAATATTAACCTTAAATGTAAATGGGCTAAATGCCCCAATTAAAAGACACAGACTGGCAAATTGGATAAAGAGTCAAGACCCATCAGTGTGCTGTATTCAGGAGACCCATCTCACGTGCAGACACACATAGGCTGAAAATGAAGGGATGGAGGAATTTTTACCAAGGAAATGGAAAGCAAAAAATGGCAGGAGTTGCAATCCTAATGTCTGATAAAACAGACTTTAAACCAACAAAGATTGAAAGAGACAAAGAAGGGCATTACATAATGGTAAAGGGATCAGTGCAGCAAGAAGAGCTAACTATCCTAAATATATATACACCCAATACAGGAGCACCCAGATTCATAAAGCAAGTTCTTAGAGACCTACAAAGAGACTTAGACTCCCACACAATAATAGTGGGAGACTTTAACACTCCACTGTCAATATTAGACAGATCAACGAGACTGAAAATTAACAAGGATATTCAGGACTTGAACTCACCTCTGGACCAAGGGGACCTAACAGATATCTACAGAACTCTCCATCCCAAATAAACAGAATATACATTCTTTTCAGCGCCTCACTGCACTTATTCTAAACTGGACCACATAATTGGAAGTAAAACACTCCTCAGAAAATGCAAAAGAATGGAAATAATAACAAACAGTCTCTCAGAACACAGTACCATCAAACTCTAGAACTCAGGATTAAGAAACTCACTCAAAACCACACAGCTACATGGAAACTGAACAGCCTGCTCCTGAATGACTACTGGGTAAATAAGGAAATGAAGGCAGAAACAGAGATGTTCTTTGAAACCAATGAGAATGAAGACACAACATACCAGAATTTCTGGGACACATTTAAAGCAGTGTGTAGAGGGAAATTTATAGCATTAAATGCCCACAAGAGAAAGCAGGAAAGATCTAAAATTGACACGCTAATATCAAAATTGAACTAGAGAAGCAACAGCAAACAAATTCAAAATCTAGCAGAAGACAGGATAGAATTAAGATCAGAGCAGAACTGAAGGAGATACAGACACGAAAAACACTTCAAAAAATTAGTGAATCCAGGAACTGGTTTTTAGAAAAGATCAAGAAAATAGATAGACTCCTAGCCAGACTAATAAGAAAAGAGAGAAGAATCAAATAGATGCAATAAAAAATGATATAGGGGATATCACCACTGAACCCACAGAAATACAAACTACCATCAGAGAATACTATAAACACCTCTATGCAAATAAACTAGAAAATCTAGAAGAAATGGATAAATTTCTTGACACATATACCCTCCCAAGTCTAAACCAGGAAGAAGTCGAATCCCTGAATAAACCAATAACAAGTTCCAAAATTGAAGTGGTAATTAATAGCCTACCAACCAAAAGAAGTCCAGGACCAGACGGATTCACAGCCAAATTCTACCAGAGGTACAAAGAGGAGCTAGTACCATTCCTTCTGAAACTATTCCAATCAATAGAAAAAGAGGGAATCCTCCCTAACTCATTTTATGAGGCCAGCATCATCCTGATACCAAAACCTAGCAGAGACACAACAAAAAATGAAAATTTGAGGTCAATATTGCTCATTAACATTGATGCAAAAATCTTCAATAAAAAACTGGCAAACCAAATCTAGCAGCATATCAAAAAGCTTATCCACCACAATCAAGTCAGCCTCATACCTGGGATGCAAGGTTGGTTCAACATATGCAAATCAAGAAATGGGATCCATCACAAAATAAAACCAATCACAAAAACCACATGATTATCTCAATAGATGCAGAAAAGGCCTTTGACAAAATTCAACACCCCTTCATGCCCAAAGCTCTTAATAAACTGGGTATCAATAGAATGTATCTCAAAATAACGAGAGCTATTTATGACAGACCCACGTCCAATATCATACTGAATGGGCAAAAACTGGAAGCATTCCCTTGGACAACCAGCACAAGACAAGGGTGCCTTCTCTCACCACTCCTATTCAACATAGTATTGGGAATTCTGGCTAGGGCAATCAGGCAAGGGAAAGAAATAAAGGGTATTCATATAGGAAGAGAGGAAGTCAAATGGTCTCTGTTTGCAGATGACATGATTGTGTATTTAGAAAACCACATCGTCTCAGTGGAGTCTCCTTAGGCTGATAAGCAACTTCAGCAAAGTCTCAGGATACAAAATCAATGTGCAGAAATCACAAGCATTCCTATACACCAATAATAGACAAACAGAGAGCCAAATCATGAGTGAACTCCCATTCACAATTGCTACTAAGAGAATAAAATACTCAGGAATACAACTTACAAGGGATGTGAAGGACCTCTTCAAGCAGAACTAAAAACCAGCGCTCAAGGAAATCAGAGAGGACACAAACAAATGGAAAAATATTCCATGCTCATGGTTAGGAAGAATCAATATGGTGAAAATGGCCATGCTGCCCAAAGTAATTTATACATTCAGTGCTATCCCCATCAAGCTACCACTGACTTTATTCACAGAATTGGAAAAAACTACTTTAAACTTCATATGCAACCAAAAAAGAGCCTACATAGCCAAGACAATCCTGGGCAAGAAGAGCAAGGCTGGAGGCATCACACTACCTGACTTCAAACTATACTACAAGACTACAGTAACCAAAACAGCATGGTGTACTGGTACCAAAACAGAGATATAGACCAATGGAGCAGAACAGAGGCCTCGGAAATAACACCACACATCTACAACAATCTGATCTTTGAGAAACCTGACACAAACAAGTAATGGGGAAAAGATTACCTATTTAATAAATGTTGTTGGTAAAACTGGCTAGCCATATGCAGAAAACTGAAACTGGACCCCTCCCTTACACCTTATACAAAAATCAACTCAAGGTGGATCAAAGACTTAAACGTAAAACCTAGAACCATAAAAATCCTGTAAGGAAACGTGGGTAATACCATTCAGGACATAGACATGGGCAAAGGCTTCATGTCTAAAACACCAAAAGCAATGGCAACAAAAGCCAAAATTGACAAATGGGAGCTAATTAAACTAAAGAGCTTCTGCAAAGCAAAAGAAACTATCGTCAGAGTGAACAGGCAACCTACAGAATGGGAGAAGATTTTTGCAATCTATCCAGCTGACAAAGGGCTAATATCCAGAATCTACAAAGAACTGAAATGTATAAGAGAAAAACAACCCCATCAAAAAGTGGGCAAAGGATATGAACAGACACTTCTCAAAAGAAGACATTTATGCAGCCAACAGACATATGAAAAAATGCTCATCATCACTGATCATTAGAGAAATGCAAATCAAAACCACAATGAGATACCATCTCACACCAGTTAGAATGGAGGTCATTAAAAAGTCAGGAAACAACAGATGTGGGAGAGGATGTGGAGAAATAGGAACGCTCTTACACTGTTGGTGGGAGTGTAAATTAGTTTAACCATTGTGGAAGACAGTGTGGCAATTCCTCAAGGATCTAGAACTAGAAATACGATTTGACCCAGCAATCCCATTACTGGGTATATACCCAAAAGATTATAAATCATTCTGCTATAAAGACACATGCACACATATGTTTATTGCAGCACTATTCACAATAGCAAAGACTTGGAACCAACCCAAATGTCTATCAATAATAGACTGGATAAAGAAAATGTGGCACATATACACCATGGAATACTATGCAGCCATAAAACAGGATGAGTTCATGTCCTTTGCAGGGACATGGATGAAGCTAGAAACTATCATTCTCAGCAAACTATCACAAAAACAGAAAGCCAAACACTGCATGTTCTCACTCATAAGTGGGAGTTCAACAATGAAAACACATGGGCATGAGGAGGGGAACATCACACACCAGGGCCTGTCAGTGGCTGGTGGGGGCAGGGAAGGGATAACATTAGGAGAAATACCTAATGTAGGTGACGGGTTGATGGGTGTAGCAAACTACCATGACACATGTATAGCTATGTAACAAAACTGCATGTTCTGCACATGTACCCCAGAACTTCAAGTATATATTAAAAAAAGATATGTTCTGTCATTTTAGACCTTTCTTACTTCTTTTGAGAAGTTCAATTGTTAGTCTTATTGCTTTTTAGTATGTTTTTTTCTTTAGCTGACTTTAAGATTTTTATATACTGTTTAGAATTTGTATTATGATATGTGTAAGAATGTTTTCTTTTGCATTTATTTTACTTGGAGTGTGTATATCTTCTTGAATCTATGGCCGGAAGTTTGTCATCAGTTTTGTAAAATTTTTGTCTCACTTCCTCCAAATATTTCCTTTGCCCCATTCTTTTTTTAAATTCTTTAAGAATTCCAGTTATGTATCAGATCTTTTGACCAGATCCCATATTTATTTTTTGCTTCTTCTTTGTTGTCTAGTTTTTTCTCTATACAGTTCGACCTGGATATTTCTACTGACTTCTCCAGTTCATTAATCTTCTCTTCGGTAGTGTCTAATCTTCTATTAAATAGATATGATGAATTCTTAATTTTAATCAATGTTTTCAATTCTAGGAATTTCATACAATTCTTTTTTATACTTTATCTTTTCATCTGTTTCCTTCAATATTTTGATCATGGTTATTTTAGAGTCTGTGCCTGTCTGTAATATCTGGATTACCTGTAAGTCTATTATCTCTTTCCTTTTTTTATCTCTTGACTTTTAGTTATCTGGCTCTGTTTCTTGGCATGCCCAACAATTCTTGATTGCTTGCCTGATGGTGTATATGAAAAATTGTTGAGGCTTTGGATGTTCTTATCTTCCTCTTAGAAAGAATAAATCCTGTGGCGGGCAAATAGAATACAGGCAAAGTATCTTGATCTAATTACAACTTGTTTATTTATAATTTGTCCTGACTCTGCAGGCTTAGCCATTTCAGAGGTTTCAGCTGAAAGCTTGTAGTTTCTACATGTGCTGTCTCCTCCTTGGTGAGGGCTTAACTTTAAATTTTGATTTCCCACCATTTTATGATGGTCAGGTTCTCTGCTTAACATTTCAGTCTTTTAGCTGCTTTCTACTTGGTTTTATTGAGTCTTAACTAACACATACATAACTTAGTCATTATCAAATACATTAGGGAGAAATTGTCTGCAGAACATGGACTTACTTCCCTAGAGTTCCCTTTTCTTCTGGATTTTTTTCTGTAGCCTGAACCCATTTTTTTGGTCTTCATCTTCTAGTAAGGCTGCCACTAATTCTAGATTGCTGTTTCCTGTTTGGCTTTCATGCCCTTCCCTATGATCTCTAACTCCTGGCCTCATGTGATCCACCCGCCTCGGCCTCCCAAAGTGCTGGGATTATAGGTGTGAGCCACTGCACCCAGCCTCATATTCTTCCCTATTAATTGGCAAATGCTATGAGAGGGGAATGGGAGTGAATATAGGTCTTTACTCCTTGTAATTATTTTCAGTATAGGATCTGGTGGCACCTTCAAGCCCTCATTGCCCTTTTTCTTTTTTGTAGTTTATCCAACCTTAATAGATAGATGTTCTCAGTATTAGGATTCATCTGACAGTACATAGTCCATCATAGCTAGAAGCAGAATTTCTCCAATTAATACTTTTAAATTTATTGTAAGAGTTGCTTTATTCCAGGAGCTGGGCTCGTTGGTTCTCACTGATTGTGCACAGTCATTGGGTGGTGGCAGACATCTGGATGCAGCTTTGTCGATGAACTAGCACAGAAATGCCAGCTTTCCTCCATTCGAGTGTTATCAATAAGAGTATTGCTTTTGTCTCTGTTCGGTGGGTCTTCCCAGGGTATGAAGTTCTCTGAATGCTAATTGTTAATGGTACTCTATGTTTTAAAAATCAGTGTTTATGGGCTGGGCATGGTGGCTCACGCCTATAATCCCAGCACTTTGGGAGGCCATGGTGGGTGGATCACGAGGTCAGGAGATTGAGACCATCCCGCCTAACATGTTGAAACCCCATCTCTACTAAAAATACAAAAAATAAGCTGGGCGTGATGGCAGGCGCCTGTAGTCCCAGTTACTCAGGAGGCTAAGGCAGGAGAATGCCATGAACCCAGGAGGCGGAGCTTGCAGTGAGCTGAGATCACACCACTGCACTCCAACCTGGACAACAGAGCAAGACTCCATCTCAAAAAAAAAAAAAAAAAAAAAAATTAGTGTTTATGGAGGCCTTTTTATTTTCATTTAATTTTATTATTCTTTTACCAAATATGTATTGGAAGTTTAGAAAGCCATAGTCCCACCTGAAAAAATGTACACTGCACATTATTAGCATACTAAAGGCATAGACCTGCATCTTTGACACTTACATGTTCAACTTTGCTGTCCAGGTTCTTAGAGCATAGTAATGAACAAGACACAAAATGTCCACTGGGGCTACTGAAATTGCCCAGAGAATCCACCCTGGTGGCACCCATATCCATGCAAAGAAGACACATTTGTGAAACTCTGAGTTAAACTAGTCTCTGTGGACAACCACTGGGCCTTACTTCTGCTTCCAGTGGTCACTGGCTCTGCTGGAAAGGCTAGCTAGAGCATGCAGATATGGAAGCCTAACTAATGGAAATGGTCACTTTGGAGTGTTTTGCCTCCTTTGGGGCAACAAGTTAGATTGAAACAGAATCTTTCTTTCTTTCTTTCCTTTCTTTCTTTTTGATGGAGTCTCGCTCTGTCGCCCAGGCTGGAGTGCAGTGGCGTGATCTTGGCTCACTGCAACCTCCGCCTCCTGGACTCAAGCAATTCTCCTGTCTCCACCTACCAAGTAGCTGGAATTACAGGCACACACCACCACACCTGGCTGATTTTTGTATTTTTAATAGAGATGGGGTTTCACGGTGTTGGTCAGGCTGGTCTCGAACTTCTGACCTCAGGTGATCCACCCGCCTTGGCCTCCCCAAGTGCTGGGATTACAGGAGTGAGCCACTGTGCCCGCCCGAAACAGAATTATTTAACATAGCACAGTGAGTATGACTTGGTCATACATTGCACAGCTTGCAACAAGTGTTGCTGCATTACCGAAACAAAATTAATTTAAATTCTCTTTAAACACATGTTTTGGGTTGATTTTCTAATTTGAAACTGTCAAGAGATCAAGTAACAATGTCATCATAATGAGAAAGATGGGGAACTGTGCTTTAAAGACTGTCAGCCCATTTGATCTACCACACAGAACTAGGTTGGTAATTACCCTAAAAAAGTCAACTTGCCAAAAAAAGAATAGTCTGAAGGGTCAGTTAGTGATTGAGTATAAATCCATCTTGTGATTTTATGTAGTTATAGGTCGAAATGATTGTATATATAGGCATAGACACACATCTGTATGTACATACTTTTTTCAAATTCTCAGACTCACATTTCCTCTAAGTAATTAGGAAAGATATTATGCAAAGTCATACTGCCTTCTGAAATGGACACTTAGGATCTTTGACATTTTATACGAAGCACACTACTATTCCTGTTATTGGCATGGATAATTGACACTTGACTGTATCCTTCTCATTCACTAGGTTCTTCAGACCCTCATACATTGAGCTGTTTTTAAAGACTCTATGTACCCCAAAAGTTGTTGATGACCACTTGTGTACATTTAAGTGTCAAAAGGAAAACAAAATGTAAGCATGCTTTTCCAGGTCACAGTTATTTACATCATTGGCTCTCTCTTCAAGGTCACACTGTGTGCTGATTTTGCATTTGGTCCAGAACATGTCTGGGGCTCATCTTGGCCCTAGAAGAGTCAGAAGTGTCATGATGAAAGTAATAGTGAAGGATTTGAGAGAATTCTGTCTTTACTGGGGCAGAGTAACCCTCATCTTAAGGAAATACCTACAAATTCCACCCTTCCAAAATTTTGGTTCTTAGCGGCACCCAGGATTCTGTAACTATGTGTTAAAATGTCTGAGTTCTCTGATTTTAAATGAGGCATGACTGTTCAAAGGCAGGTAATGTCTTCTGTGGAGACAGGTATTTAGACGAACACTTCAGAACAAGCAGAAACGTATAGGGCAATGGCGTGGATCAAAAGCATCACCGTGTAATTGAAACTGACTTTGTATTGGGTTCCTTCAGTGTCAAGGCCCTTTTTTTCTTCTGAGAGCAACATTTTCCCTCTTATCTTCATTTATGCCTGTGCTTCCTTAATCATCTTCAAATGTTTGTGGGTTGATGTTCACATGTCCTCATTCTGTTTTTTAAATCTCATTTGTTGCCGTTTTTCTCTTACAGGGAGAGGAAGTATTCTGTTTAGGCTACGTGTTTAAGGGTGAAAAGTGTTTATAGAATCTTCATCTGTTTCCTTTGAGCCTGATATATTTGATGACATCACTCTGTAATTTTACATGATTTGGACAGTGCGAAGCACACAGGGCAGAATGTTCAGGACGACAAAGAGAACATGTTTTTGTAATTAGCCAGGGAACCCAGGCTACAACTTGTGATCCTTGTTGAAAACACGCACATACACTTACAGATCCAATGAGAGAAGATGGTCCTTGCTAATGTGTTCTTTGGTGGCCCATGACTGACTTTAAGGGCTGTTTGGTTTGAATGCTTGTGTGTGGACAAGACACGGGTCTGGGGTGAGAGTTCAGCTTTTGAACTCTGGGTTAAGAATTTAATGGGACTAGGTCATTGATAATAGAGATTTTGGAGACATTTAAATAAAATCTCTTCGTGTCTGGAATTTGGGGATAGCAATGGAAGGTCATATTAATTTTGTGTTAATGAGTGTTCAGTGAATAAATACATGCTTAAGCCATTTCCCCTGTGCCTTGTTGTTCTTTATTGATTTCCCAGTACTTTCTCATTCTCTCAGTCTGAAGTGATTATTCAGAGCCTCCTTAGGAAGTCCCACTGAATGGCTGAGCACTTCTATTTGAGACACCATTCACTGACTGCTGACCTTTGGGGCATCATTTCCTAAGGCTTCCACGTTGTGGTCATCAGAGTTTTATGTGGACCCTCGAAAAAGTCAAAAGGTCAGAGCACAGAAGAAAGAATTCTGATGAAGATTTATGAAATGTCAAAAATTAACAAATCTAAAATCTAGTTTAATTTCAGCAAGAATGACAGCTTTGAGTGGCTTGTACTTGGACATCGGTGGAAGTAAAACTGATCAGAACTTCTAAAGTGGGAACTCACTGGGGACCATCCCCACAGGTTCTCCCACGGTAATGCTTTGGCATCTGTCCTAGCGAGAAGTCATTTGGTAGAAACCTCATGTTTCTGCCTAGGTGGGACACTTGCACTTTGAGGGCCTTGGACGAATAGATGGGTTAACCCAAGTGTTGAACACTACTTAACTATCTCGGGACTTTTGTTCTGTGTTCATGGATTTAGTAATCTTAATGTAAACAGGCACCTCAGCAGCTGTGTCCCCTTAAGCGGATTTTATTTAGCAGCTGAGTTACCCACGTCACTTGGCAGTCATAGATTTTCAGTTTTTCCTTGTGCCAAGAGGGCAGCTGGAATGATTTGAGTACTCATTAATTTGGGAGAAATATGAGCTGTATAAGGCAGACAACATGAGTTTTCTGTATGGTGTTGTACCAGGATAAGCAGATCAGGGTAGAAGCAATTTGCCCTATCCCAAAGGGGCCCTAGGATTTTAATAAGCTGGTTATGAAAATTCTATTTCTTTGCAATTTGAAGCAGCTAATTAGAGCCTGTAATTTCTCTCCTGTAACGAGAGTGGATGAAGGTTAACATTAGGCCTCCCGGGCCCTTTCACATTCATTTACAGAGAGAAATCAGGTAACAGTTGTAGCTAATTAGAGCAGGGTATTAAATATTTAGTCCATCTTGATTTAACTTAGAGAACACATGCATGTTGTTGGGGTATGGAAAATGATAAAGGGAAGTTAAATTTAATTTTTAATCAAAGATAAACTTAAAGGCAGTATAATAATTGTAGCACTGACTACCCTAACCTGACAGCCAGAGCAGCAGTTGCCTCCAGCGGTCTGAACTGTCAAGATAAAGGAAGATGATGTCGATTTAATTTCATCAGTGAACACGTAGCCCAAGTTCAAACAGCTGGGATTTATGCCATCTGCACAAAGTACAAAGAACTCGATTTTTATTGTAGCAGTGAGATTGAAAAAAAAAAAGCACCTTCTTGATGTTTCAGAATTCGGAGTTTGACTTTGGATGCTATGAGTGCATATCATTTGGATAATAGTTTTGGGGAACTATCCTAAGGAAGATATCTCATTCATAGGCATTTTTAAAAGAGGATTTGTGTCTGGCGAAACTGCTCCCTGGAAGGAAATCGTTGTCCAAGAGGCTGGGCAGGCTTAGCAACGGGGTAGCATTGTGTTGAGTAAAGTCTGACTTTGCCATAGGCTGATACCTAAACTGTTGCATGCTGAGGACACTAAGTCATTCTTCTCTTGTCATACCCAATTCAGATGATCTTCCTAAAGCGGGACTCAGTTAAGTCAGGACATGCATATCAGAAAGAAATTCACCCCATGACTCCTTTTCCCTCAGGGCCTCACACAAGGGTAGAGCATCTTCGCAGTGAAGTCAGTTCACAGGAAAGCTCTCAGGACTACTGCAACTTCCCTGGAAGCAGGCTTTTAGGAGGCCAGAATAATATAAAAAGGGCAAAGATGTGGGGAAAAGATGAAAAGGCTTATAAAAATAGAAAGACTCTAAAGAGTAACTCTAAGGCATGCATCCCTCTAACTTCACTGATTTATCTTGGTGCGTGACACCCCATCACTACCCTGGTTGTTTCATTTGGGGATGCTCGAAGCATCTTTGCAGATCGGTAGGAAATAAATGGCAACTCACAAAGACCATCTGACTTTGCTACATTGTCTTCCAGTTGCCAGTTATTACAAAATGGTTTCTGAGGGCAGTAATCCTTTGGAAATGCCTGTTATTGGGGATAATAACTGGTTGTCAGAGCATTAACATCCTCGGCTTCACTCTGGGCTATTACATAACAAAAGAATGAACTGGTGGTGAGTCTGCCAGGTGTGTTAAATTATATCATGCATTATGGAAGTTCGGTGATGGGGATTAGCATCCAGAAAAGACTATCAGAAATTGCCAAACTCATTATCTGCTGAAGCAGGAGACTGGCCTCAGGCCTAGGGATGCAAGGTTTGAGTGTAACCATTAAGGCACTACCTCCAGTCTTTCTCTGCCCTAGCGTGGAGACAGGAAGCACACCAGCATTTCTTCTCTGTTCTTCAGCCGCTAAAGAAGATCAAAAATACTGTGTTAACCAGAGTAGCAGCAAAGCTGTATTGACAATGAATTTACACATTTCCTGGACTTCTTAATGGCAGAACTGCTGCTTAGGCAGTCTTCTGTAGTCACAGAATTTAGTGGATTCCCCTAGCACTTTTGGGGTCTAGATTTTGTTCCCTGGTGCCCTTAGGACAATAGAGATGGATGGTGAGCCTTCAGAAGCCATGACCTCTGGGAAGCTCTGCCCCCATATCTCAGATACCCACAATCACTCCTAGCATTTACACATCACATTGAGCACAGGACACATTTTGGGTCAGAAGTTTTCCAAAGGGGTGAAGCGTGAAATGCAATGAAGGTTGAAGTCCCTTGGAAATAAGCTTTGCACTGCAGACACACAGATAAATGAGGACTTGCCAGTTCTCAGCAGCTCTGGATGACCCTTCGCATTGCTGTTGGTCTAATCCATTGTTGAGATGAACTGTGGGGATGGTAGTACTTCTAATTAATTTTCAGTAGAACATCTTTATGCCCATGAGCTCCTTTTAATAGCACATCACCTCTATAATCTATGCTTCTACTCTTAAGCATCTGTACTTAAGACATGCATGATGTGTTTGCTACCTGGATATCATCTATATGGAGTTGGGGATTGGGTCACCATTATATTCCTAGTACCTCAGAGCTGCACAGGAGATCCTCTGTAAATTTTTATTAAATGGAATTGAGTGGAATTTTTTTCTTCAAAATACTTTTCTTATAGAAAACAGCATTACATGTTAATTCTAGAAAATTTGGAAAAAAAATAAAAAAATAGATACTGGGAAAGAAACAGGGATCACTTGTTATCCACCCTCGAGAGATTATGGTACTAGACACTTTTTGCATATATCTTTGCATTATTTTTCCATGCATGTATATATATATACATATATATATATGTATATATATACACATACATATATATATGTATATATATACACATACATATGTATGTATATATATATACATATATATGTATGTGTATATATATACATATATATGTATATATATACATATATATATGTATATATATACACACACACACACACACACACACAGACACACATAAATGGGATCAGACTGTATATGGGGCATTTTGTAACCTCTTTTGTTCATTTAGTGATGTCTTTCCAAGTCATTAGCAATCGGCTTTGCCATTATTTGTGATGGCTTCATGAAAGTTCATGATTAAATGTACTATAATTTAATCCCCTTCTGTGATACGTTTAGGTTGTTGTAATTTTTCTGTAATGTGAACAGTACTGCAACATAAATTCTTTCTGCTAAATCTTCATTTCTTTATATGATTGTTTCCTTGTGTTGATTTCCTAGAAGTAGGATTGCTGTGTCAAAGGTTATGCACATTTAAAATATTTAATAGATGTGGTCAAGTTATTTTCAGAAAACTTATGCCAATTTACATTTCCACCAGCCGAAAGGATATTTCCCAATACCCTTGTTGTTAACACATCATTTTCAATTTGATAGGCAAAAAACAAACAAAAATACTTTAAACCTTGTATTTGTATTGGTGCTTAAAAGTGAGCTTGAACATCTTGTTCTCTGTCTTTTGTTTATTTGTTTTTGTTGCCATGGGTAGTATTCTGGGATCTGCTGGTTCATGCACTTTGCCCTGTTATTGTGTTCTCATGTCATAATGTAGCAATTAAGAAAATGAGCTTTGGGGTCCCACATGCCTTGAAAAGGTCCAGTAGCTATCATTTGCCTGCTGTGT
The DNA here is from genome assembly GCF_000001405.40 of Homo sapiens. Taxonomy (NCBI): domain Eukaryota; kingdom Metazoa; phylum Chordata; class Mammalia; order Primates; family Hominidae; genus Homo; species Homo sapiens. The sequence goes on from NC_000003.12 coordinate 54,736,843, forward strand.
GACCTGGGACAGATTCTCACCCTTTGTAATCCTCGGTTTGTTCAGCTGTTAAATAAGAATGATGACAGTGACCACCTCAATGCAGTCGTATCATGTATGGTACCAGGTTTGGGGCTGATGTTCAACATGCTAGGTTTTAGTACTTTAGTGCTCATTTAATCCCTCTATTTCTTTTAGCATGTTCTTACTCCTTATACCATGATGGATTATCCCCACTTAGCTTAATTGTATGCAATAACCTTATTCATTTTTGGGGTATTTGCTATGGATTAGCAGTTGGGAAAACAACAGTGAACAAAACTAATATATCTCCATCATGAAGCTTATATCCATGTGTATATGTGTGTGTGTGTGTGTGTGTGTGTGTGTGTGTGTGTGTAGGGAACAGAATATAACAAGAGGACAGACAAAATAACTGTAAATTACACCATGTGCTATGCAGAAAACCAACAGAGGCCAAGGCAGAGACTAAAAAGGGGGACTTATGATAGATAAGGAGAGGAGGAGGGGTCTTTTGGAGGTGGAAAGTTCAATGATGAGTCCTAAAAAATAGGAAGGAGATAGCTGTGTTAAAATGTTTTAGTGCAGAGCAGGCAGGTGGGCAATATGTGCAAAGGCCCTGTGACAGGAAAGAACTTCAGGTGTCAAAGGAATTTTTTACAAGTCTAGCCTGGGAAGAAGAGGGTGGTTGGGAATTTGGCAGTTGGGGCTGAGTAGGGGGGCAAGTGGAGGTGAGATTACAAAACAGGGAAGGGGTCAGGACATTTTGACTTTTATTTTAAATAAGGGAAGGCCTCTATAGAGCTGTGAGCAAAGGCGGGGATCTCTATCCTCTTTTTTGAGATGGAGTCTCACTCTGTCGCCCAGGGTGGAGTGCAGTGGCGAAATGTCAGCTCACTGCAACCTCCGCCTCCTGGGTTCAAGCGATTCTCTTGTCTCAGCCTCCTGAGTAGCTGGGATTGTAGGTGTGCTTCATCACACCCAGCTAATTTGTTGTACTTTTGTTAGAGACGGGGTTTCGCCATGTTGGCCGGGCTTGTTTTGAACTCCTGACCTCAGGTGATCCACCTGTCTCGGCCTCCCAAAGTGCTGGAATTACAGGTGTGAGCCACCATGCCCAGCCAGAGGGACTCTATCTTATTCCTGTTACAACAAGCTCTCTCTGGGGCTGGATAGCAATGGAAGAGCTCAGGTAAGAGTTCCACCTGGTTCTTCAAGTGAGAGGCATTGGTGGCTTGGACTAGGATATTAGCAGAAGATATAGAAGTCACAGAATGGTATTTTAGCAAGAAGGTTCCAAATAAGTCATTTGTTTCTCCACTCCATGTTGTTCACTAGGACCATTTTTAATACTGGCTGTCATTAGAAATTGCCCAGTGCTCTGAAAGAGTGAGTTTCCAAGTGGCAGATAATCTGGCTTCTCTCTTCAGTGTAATAGGGTACTAGTGACATGTCCTCAAACTTACTCTTCTAGGAAAAGCTCTAGTCTCCCAAAAAGCCATGTTTAAAATGGAAGATTGCAGAACTTCCTGCAGTCATAAGAGCCATTGGCTTTGATCAGTCCCTAGTCTCCCAACTGAAGGAAACATTTTGAAAAAGTCAACTCAGTTCCAGCACATGGTATCTTTCTCCTCTCTTGATTCCCATGAAAAATGCTGACCCTAGAAAAACAACAAACAAGCAAATAAACAAAACTATGAGGGTAAGGAAACAAGATAGAGGCCAGCTCTCAAGACTGTTTATTCTCTTTTAAAATACATTGTTCCTCTTGGTTTGCATTTCCCTGATTTGTTTGCTCCCTTGCAGAGCACCCTTTGCCATCATCCCTATACATTTCCATGTAAGTTCTGCCTATGGGTTTATAGCTTCTCTACTGACAGGAAGCTCTTTGAAGACAAGAATGATCTATGATCCCATATGATCCTACCTTCTTCAGCCCTTATCTGTCACAATGCCTTTTTCTCCCACTTATTGTATGACCAGTACTGCTTAACTTTTCTTGCTTTTCTCTTACGTGTAAGACTTGGGGCTGGGCATGGTGGCTTACATGTGCAATCCCAATACTTTGGGCGGCCGAGGCTATCTTGAGCCCAGGAGTTTAAGACCAGCCTAGGCAATATGGCAAGACCTCATCACCACAAAACATACAAAAATTAGCCAGGTGTGGTGGCACATGCCTATAGTCCCAGCTTCTTGGGAGGTTGAGATGGGAGGATTGCTTTGGGCTGCAGTGAGCCGAGATCATGCCACTGCATTCCAGCCTAGGTGACAGACTGTCTCAATAGGAAAAAAAAAAGACTTGGCAGAGAAGAAGAAAAGAATGTGGAGGCACTTGGGGAGGCCGAGGTGAGTGGATCACCTGAGGTCAGGATTTCAGGACTAGTCTGGCCAACATGGCAAAACCCCATCTCTACTAAACATACAAAAATTAGCTGAGCATGGTGGTGTGGGCATGTAGTCCCAGCTACTTGGGAGGCCGAAGCGGGAGAATTGCCTGAACCTGGGAGGCAGAGGTTGCAGTGAGCCAGGATCCCACCACTGCACTCCAGCCTGGGTGACAGAGGGAGAGTGAGACTCTGTCTCAAAAAAAAAAAAAAAACAAAAAAAAAAACCACACACACACACACACAAACAAAAAATAACATGGAGAGTGCCTGCAAGGTTATTTCTAGGAACAAACAGTTGGGGAAGACATTGGGATTCTTTTCACCTCAAATTTTCATCTTACCAGTGCACTATGCTTAGAAAAGGAATAGGATGATTTTGCATTTACATGATCCTCCTTATCAACTGGAGCTGGGGCCATAGAGTCCAAGATTGCATGTGTCCTATTCAGGGAAACCAAGCTCTTTGTGGGGAGGGTGCAGTAGCGACCCAGTTCTGGAATGACAGGCCCTTCTCCTCATATATGTGTGTGTGTGTGTGTGTGTGTGTGTGTGTGTGTGTGTGTGTGGAATTATATATATGTGTGTGTGTATATATATAACTATTTACATTTAGTTTTATATATGTATAAAGAAATACATATATTTTCTTCATATTCCTTTGCCTTCCCCATTCTATAAAAAGTATTTCAAGAGCTTACAACTTCCGCAAGGGCAGAGACCATATGGATTTTTTCCTCCCCATTGTGCCTCCAGCCTGCAGCAGGATGTTTAGTATCTAGCATTTCCAGTTAATACTTGATGGATGGAAGGCTAGGTGGGAGGGTGGATGGATGGGAAACATAAAACAGAAAAGGTAACACAAGTCAGTTGTCAGCAGCAAGGAGAAAAGGACACCAAAGACAGGGGAGCCACAGAACACGTAGTCTCCGATGGGGTATTTGAGCCCTCTGCTTGAGCCAGTTTGCACTTGCAAAGAGGGAACCAGGACAGCCGTACAAATCACTGTCTGAGAGATTAAGACACAATGATTGCTTAGGATAAAATACAACTTTTACTGACTGAAGGTAAGAAATAAACTTTCTCTGGGGCTTCTCAAAAAGAAGATAATGGTTGCCCCAAATTCTCAGGAACATTGACTTGCCTTCCCACCCTATTCACCTGAGGCTACTGCTCACTGAAGTCCTACCGGCAGCTTCCTACAGTAGGGTCTTCAGCCAGGGGCGCATGCTTCCATAGTGGGAGTTGAGGATCTTGGGTTATTAGAGTCCCTGGAAGGGCAAGAGGTTGGTATACAGAAAGTGAGCTCGTACAGATCACCAAAAACCCACAAGTCATTCTGATCTGTCCTTCCCCCTTCCACAAAGAGCTATGTCCCTACCTGTCTGCCTTTTGGAGAATCACAGGTAAAACAGAGTGAACACTGTCCTCAGCAATATCCTTCCAGTTGACTGATGAGTCCTTGACTTTTCTTACTGACAGAAGTCCCAGAAGGCAGTAGGTGAGGTGACAGGGGAAACTGCTATTTTGGACTAATTCCTAGTGACAGGGAGGATGGGTTGGGAAAATAGAAATGACAAGAACTTGGGAAAAGGCAACTGTGCTATCTTAGAATTCACAACAGCTGTTGGTTTTAATGAGTCTGAGAATGATTTGGGCAGAATCCAAAACTCCTGACTCCTCGACCTGTAACCTGCTGCTGTGCTGCTTCTGCAGGGTGGTACGAGAGGGGACACTGTCCAGAGGCATGCGGCTTCTTACTGTGGGGCTTTGGCCCCAAATCCCAATGAGAAAATCACAAGGACTCCAGCTGTGCCCAAGGCCAAGTGGGTCTTGGTTGTGTACCCTGATGTGGGCCTTTGGGGTCTCACTGATCCAGAGGCAGGGGGAGGCAAAGGGAGACAAACTCATGGTGGGGGTGGATGGCGGGAAGGGAGAGCATTAAAGGAAGAGGAGCCTTTCTCTAAGGCCTAGAGGGACACACCCAGGTCATGTCATCAGGCGTTATACTCTCAGACCTTTCCCTGTTTCTCTGTTCTATTTTTCTCTCTTTAGGGTCTAGGCAAAGGGCACCTTTGGAGATCTCCTCTTAGAAGACCTCTCTTCCTTTGCAGAATTAATCCTCCCTGCCCCTCAAGTCCCAAACATTTTACTTTATTTGATCCATTTCACAACATCATTCTGGTTCTATGATGTTGACCAATTTACAAGTAAGGAAAGTGAGACTTACAAAGATCAAGTAACTTGCTGGGCAAGGTGGCTCAACGCCACCCTGGGAGGCTGAGGTGGGTGGATAGCTTGAGCTCAAGAGTTCAAGACCAGCCTGGCCAACATGGTGAAACCCCATCTAAAGAAAAAAAAATAATAAGAAAAATAAAAAAAAAAAAGACTGTTATTTCACCAGGCTCTGCAGTGGTCCTCTTTGTTGTAAATTAGGGATCCATGTATGTGTTGGTCTGCTTTGGAGTTTTCCTTGGTGGTCCACTGGACAATTTCTGTATTTGTACACTAAAGCCACACTGCCTTAATTACCATACTTTACAATAAACCTTGATAGCCAGTGAGATAATTGTCCTGCCTTGTTCCTATTTTTTTAGGAGAGTTTTTGGATATTCTCATTCCTTTGTATTTTCATATAAATTTATTTTATTTTTTAATTTATTTATTTTTTTTTTGAGACAAGGTCTCTGTCACCAGGCTGGAGTGCAGTGGTGGATCTCGGCTCACTGCAACCCTGACTACTGCCCCCGACAATTCAGTCTTCCAAGTAGCTAGGACTACAGGCGAGTACCACCACACTTGGCTAATTTTTATATTTTTCGTAGAGATGAGGTCTTGCCATGTTGCCCAGGCTGGTTTCGAACTTGTGGGCTCAAGCAGTCTGTCTGCCTCGACTTCAAATAGTGCTGGGGCTGGGTGCGGTGGCTCATGCCTATAATCCCAGCACTTTGGGAAGTCGAGGCGAGTTGATCACATGAGCCCAGGAGTTCAAGACCAGCCTGGCCAACATGGCGAAACCCCATTTCTACTAAAAATACAAAAATTAGCCAATGTGGTGGTGCATGCCTGTAGTCCCAGCTACTTGGGAGGCTGAGTCATGAGAATCGCTTGAACCTGGGAGGCGGAGGTTGCAGTGAGCTGTGATCGAGCCACTGCACTCCATCCTGGGTGGCAGAGTGAGACTGTGTCTCAAAAAATAATAAATAAATAAATAAATAAAATCAAGTAACTTACCCCAAGGCCTCACAGCTCATTTGAGGGAAGACTCAGATTCTCAATATGGGGGTATCCAATTCTTAGCCCTGTTTGGTAACCACTGCTTTGTGCCAACTTGTCCACCCACTCAGCTCTGGCTTCCATGAAATGATGCCGTCTGTCCACTGTTACAAAGTGTAGGGAAAAGGAGAGATTTCCACTGAAAGCTGCTTGGAATAGCAACCATCACATTGCTATTTTAAGATGCAGTCTTTTCCCTACTAGGGAATCCCTGAAGCAGGCAGTTATTTAAAATACAATTGGCTTCAATCTTTGCATGGCTTCCATCTAGAATCAAGAGGCAGGCACCTAAGAAGAAATATTATAATACTGATCTTCCATCCATGGGAGGCCTTGCCTAAGACACCTTTTTTCTGGTCCCTGACTATGAGGCTGTAATAACACAGATCAGAGCTTTTTTATACCTCCATTTCCTCATATGTTATCACTGAGCTTCAGGAGAAAAAGAAATCATGGGAACTGAGCATAGAGAAAGTAAAATCTCAACTGATTGATAACAGATCAGTCTGGAAAAATAGAAAAGTATTGAAAATAGAGTCGCAATGAAGGAATGAGCTCTATGCTGATAAATTCAAGTATGTCCCATGCTGACTTCCCTTAATTTCCCAAATTTGTGAAAAGGATAGAAAAGGTGGGTAACTAATATTCGTTGAGAATCTACTCCATGCCAGGTACTGAATTGGGCACGGGTGCCTCCTTCTGCTCTCACATCTGTGTTTCAGCTTGGAAGTAGAAATAAACATAAGTAAACTAATAAACCATTAATATAACTTAAGAATATACTGAGTATCATGAAGAAAACAAAATGGGTGATGAGGATGACGGTAACTGGGATGAAAGAGGGTTAGCCATGCAAACAGGAGGTGAGGGGCACTCCAGGTAGTGGGAGAGGTGGACTGAAAGTCTAGAAAGCCAGAAGGAGTTGGTCCAGAAGGAGAAGGTCAGGACCTTCCAGGGCATCTTAGCTGTGGTGTTAGGAGTTTAGAATGTATTCCAAGTACAATGGGAAGGCACTGGAGGGCTTTAAGCTAGAGAGTGACACAGCCCCATGATGTTTTATGAACATAACCATTGCCATCCCAATTTGTGGAACAATTAATTTATTCCCCTTTGACATAAGTCAATTTTCTGATCTGTTTTTGGTTAATTTGATGGCCTTACACATGTTAGTTTGACTTTTTGTTCATGGTATTGAATCTGTAATCCTTCTTGAGAGATGGGGCATACCTATGAACAAATGGCTGTCACCACTTGATCTCTCAGTGTTTTGGAGGGCAAGGGAAGCAGGACGGGGCTTCTGAGCCATAAAAATCCTAGGCCATGCAGTGTCCAGCAGCCTGAAGCTTGGAGACAGGTTTGTTTCAGGATCCCTAGTATCAGCAGACAGGGGTTTTATGGTATTGGCCAATCAACAAGTGTTTGAGTGCTGGCCCTTTGCCAAGCACTGTGCTGGATTCTACAGACTCAGTTCTGTCTGTCTGTCCCTTCCATCCCTGCTCCTTTACATGTGGTCATGCAAAGGCTTAATGATGTGATGTGCATCATAAAAACCCAAGGTCCACAGTGATGCCTATTCTGTCTCAGGGCTCCTGATTTCTCCACAATGTCCCTCTATGTAGAGGACTCACTTCTGATATGACTATTCTGGATCTGAATGTGAATAGCTGATATCTGCTCTGCACAAAACTGTCGCAGAATGGGCATGTAAATGACCAAATGAACTTTCTCAGTTTGGTGAGCACATCCACTAAGAGGGCCCATCTTGATCATCCAAAGAAACCATTTTGATTTTGAGGAATTTATAGTGCAAAATACAAGAGATTTATAAGACAAGGGTTCTTAACCTGGGAGCCAGATGTTCTTAGACAGTCCTGGGTTTTGGTGGAGGAAATGCCCCAACCCTCATGAATTTTATCTGAAATTGTGAGTGTATAGACTTTGGATTTTGCGGGGAGGAAGTCAGAGGTAGGAGAAGGTTTATAGCCACTGCCAAGTTCTCAGTGGATCCTTTGACTCTCCAAGGGTTATAAAAGTTGTAATTGTTATTATAGCTCTAGTGTTCCTGATTATGTTAGAAACTGTCAACCCCATTATCCTTGGATGGCTTGTCAAAACCCACCCCTGTGAAAAATCCCATTCTTCACCCACAGGAGTCAGCTTCCTCTTCAACCAAACTTCTGGGCAGGCTGAGGGAAGTATCTATGGATGGAAGACTTGGCTTTCCTTGGCTCCCTTTGTTTAGTTTCACTGCAGCAAGTTATCTGAAATGTGAGTGGGATGCAACTCTAACTGAATGGGATTTGGTGCTTCTGGCCTGTCCTTGCATCCATTGTCTCATTTGCTGTTGATCACCAATGTGAGGTGGGTGGGTGGAGGATCCCCATGTTGGGGGAGGTGCATGCACAGCTCAGTAGGTTTAAATACCTCTCTCAAGATCACCAAGCCAGTAAGTGTAGCATTGAACCCACCTGGAACAAATAATACTTGGTCGTTTTAAGAATACCTGGAATTTGTTTTAGTCAGGTATAATAAGGCACACAGACACAGAAATGATTGTCATGAAGGAAGAAGTATATTGTATCCATAGTTCCCTAGAAGCAGAAGGCATGCCATACCATGAAGGGACACACAGGGAAGTGCCAAGGCAAGATGAGTGGGCAGAGAGAGAGATCTAGAGGGCAGGAGCCTTTATTGTGTTTTCCATGGGAAGAAAGAGGGAAAGCAGGCCAACCAGGCTTAGCGTTGGACAGTCAATCATCTCAGTGGGCACTGGGGTAGAGGGGCTGCCCCGAGTTGTCTGATACCTGGTCCTGGGGTGATTAGGGCAGGTGGTATGACCTCGAGTGTGAGAGCCTGATGAAGGGAGGTGATTGGAGGCATGGGCTGTGGATTGGTTGGTTTGTGTATCAGAAATGCACTTGCAGGCCAGTTGCTTACTATCTCCAGGAATTAGCTAACCCTAGGAGGGGGAGTCCCTCCAAGGTCATAAGGCCTCAGACATCAGAGCAATAATACTACAGAAAAATCCAAAGACATGGTTAATACACTGGCCCTGTCCTCTGAATGAATTCAGTGGAGCTGGATAGTCTAATAAATTGCATCACACACCTTTAAGGATGTTTGCAGCTTGACTTCTTACTGCTCCATTGAGCTGTATGTAATCTCGTGTTCCATTGTACCAACCCCAGGTCGTAGTCTCTGGATGGCCAAGAAACACCTGTCTCCTTCACCTTAACAAAACACATGGCCATAGAACTGGACTTTTATCCCTTTGGCCAGAAGATTACAAAGAATAATTTTTTTTTCTGAATTGGAATTTTTTTTTCAATACCGCACTTGAGGTATCAGGCACTTGTGCTTGGGAAAAAGAGATTGTATAGACTCTTAGAGCGTCCCTAAGGTGACAGTCCATTTTTCATAATCATCTATGATATTCGTTTGTTGAAATTTTATTACTTTTGTAATTTAATTCAATTTATCCCATTTTATTGCTGTTCAGGGTAGCGTTACCATGGTTGCCTTTCTCTTCCTTCTGGATAAGGATGTTTCTTCTTTTATTATGAGCGTGATGGCTTATAGATTAAAGCAGCCTGCTCAATATAACTGTCTCCTTTGGAGTCAACCTTCTTTGAGCCCATCTCTACTCTTGTAGAATTTTCATGAAGATAAATATTGGCAGTGATTTATGAAGCATTTATGTGAGTAATCAGGTTCCAACCCTTATCTTCTGCTTAAAGATTAAGGATTTTATTCAGAAATGCTTCTCTGTACCAGAAATCATAGAAATGAGCAAATAACAATGAAAGTTGGTTAGTAATATCTTTTGTGAAGATATAGATTAAGAACATATTCATTAGCTGCAAATGGACTTTAAAACATAAAGATGTCAGGAGACCCCTTTCTAAAGCTGAAGTCATTCATCATTTTGAGAAATCCTGGAAATATTTTAGGGAATAACTGAGTTGGGCAGTGAGTCCAAAAGGACATGAGCAGGTGAGAAGACAGGAAGATGTCAGGAAGGCATGCCTAATACGGAGGCTGCCACTTAGCTAAATTAAAATTTAGAACCCATGAATGTGGGCACCGATAGGTCATGAAGAGATTTGGTAGCAAATGACACTGACATAAATAATTCATATAACTTGCTTGCTTTTAAAGGTAGAAGGAATGGATTTGTAGTTAAATGTTTTTTAAAATAAAAGATTACCTTCTTTTTTCTATAAAAATATAGACTGTTTTTTGAGGCTCATAAGTGCTTGGTCTCCAAACCTTCCTTTCCTCTGCATCTGGGAGCAAGAGTGGAATTATTATAATTCCAAAGATTGTGAAGACCCAGCTCAGCAGCTACAGACAGCTGGGTACAGATCTGCCCTTTCTTGGGGAAAGAGGAAAGTATAGTTAGCTAATCCTGCTTGCCAAGTCTGGCTGATGTCTCATGATCCTGCCTTCTTCGGTTGACACAAGCTTTTTAAAAAATGTCATTTTGATCCAGCTTCTCTATTTTTTTAACCACCCACTGGATTGTAAACTCCTTAAAGTTTTGCCTCAATCTTTAGTAAATTGTAGGAATAGCTTTCCTGGAAATGGCTCCAGTGATTTCTTAATGTTTGGTCTCACTTAGACCTCATCTGCTTGGTGGCATTTTTTAAAGTGTTGGCCACAGCCTACCTGGGTCAGACCCCACGGACATTTTTTAAAATGTATATCCCTGGGCCTACTTTATTCTGAACCTCGGGAGGGTGGGTGCTATGACTCCACCTTCAACATGTGATTCAAGGCTCCTGGTGATACTGATGCCTTGTGAAGTTTGAGGACTCTCACTGCCCTGGCCAGAGCCACAGTCATCTCTCACCTGGAACATTGTAGTGGCCTCCTACTTACTACCTCTGTTTCTACCCTTACTCTCTATGGCTGTGGATGGGACATGGGCATTCAGAATTATAAGATTATCATAGGATAATGGAATGGACAGCCAGGTTGAGTGCACTGTTCATGGCCTATGCTCTATCCTGCAGCCAGAATGATCCTTTTACATTATGTATCAGCTCATGTCAGACTTCTACTCAATCTCTCCTGAAAAAAAAGGAAAAGTGGCTTGCAGGGATCCACATGATGTGGCACCCATTGTATCTCCAAGTTAATTTCCTGCAACCTCTGCTAGGTGACTGCATTCCATTAACACGAGCCCCTTCAATATCCCTGGAGCTTCCCTGTCGCAGGGACCTTGTACCTTTGGTTCCCTTCACCTGGAATGCTCTTTCCCATTAGCTATATGGCTTGTTCCTTCTCCCCCACTCCATTTTGTCTAGATCTTTGATCATATGCCATCTTATCAGGAAGACCTTCCCATCTTCCTTTTCTAAAAATGCAGCCCCCATCACTCTCCATCACCTTACTTTGCATTATTTTCTTTATCAGCATTTAATTCAACAAATACATAAACATTCTCTATGAATTTGCCATTTATTATGTTTCCCTCCCAAGAAAATGTGAAGTCCCTGAGGGCAGAATTTGTTTTGTTTACCCATGGTAGCCCTGGCACCAAGAATGGTCCCTGGCACATAGTAGTCACTCATGAGTTACACGTGATAGATGACAAACTACTCCTCTTGGATTCTCTCAGAAACACAAGCTTTCTTCATTATTGAAGGGAGATGTGCAGGCAGCAGCAGCCTATTTTCTGTCTGTGCAATTGCCCCATATAACTCTCCTGGTAGCCACTTCCTTCCCCTAATTTTAATGGCTGCAGAAAGGAGAAAATTTGATTCATTATCTTTACAGACTATCTATCTTCACCAAAGGTTAAAAAGAAGGGTACCCCTCTCAGTTTCTGATAGGGATTGCTTCTATGTGAGTAAAAAGCATAATCGGTTTTTTGAAAAAATCTGGATGAGTTTTTTGTTTGTTCCATTGGGGAAGTTTTATACTAAGTAGATTAAGGTAAGTGACTTTGAACTTTCAAAGTCTACATCTTAACATTTTATTAAGCTTAATTGGGTTTGTAGAACATTTAAAGACCATCCAAACTTAAGTGGGAGATCAAAATGAGCGAAGAGGCTGATGCAGACTTTTTTTTTTTTCACCCCTGCCTTTGAGCTGCATTAATGAAAGTGGTGCGCTCCATGCCTGCAGATGATGAGCATGAAAGCCTGGCTTTCCGGGGAGCTCTGGTGTATTCCAGAACTATGTCACAGCACCTTCCCATGGTTGTCTGTGCCGTGCACCTGGCCTTCAGGACCACCCCAGATTTGGCTCTGCTTCACACTCCTTGCATCTGAAAAGTAGCTGGGCTCAAGGCAGACCACTGAAAGTTTGTTACGTGGTGCTTCCTAGGGAAGAAACTCCAGTTGTTGGAAATAAAATCCATTAGGGTACAGAATCTGTTAATGATGGAAATTAGGAGCAATTTGACTGTTGTTCACAGAGGTTTTGCTCTCAGTTAAATGAGCAGTAGCGTAAGGCAGTACTAACTGGAATATGCAAGGCCAGGACTTAATTTCCACATGTCATCTCTTTTTTGTGTTTGATTTTCACTGAAACATTTATTCTTCCTATGTTGTAACAGAATTGTTCAGGAAGTAGCAATGTCATTACTTTCTTTTCACTTAAAATGATCTTTAATTATTAAAGCAATGCTAGTTTGTAAAATGGTATAAAATTTATGAAGTAAAAAGTATGAGGCCACTTTTAGAAAAAAATAGAATTTTGTGCTACACAAAACCCACAACTTGCTTTTTACCTTTACCAGTACATCATGGATGAGGACATAGCTGCTGGGTAGCCCACTACACGAATGTACCATGAACTTGTAGCCAGTCAGCTATCAATAAAGACTTAGAATTTAACAGTTTTTGACCTTTACAAGTAATGAAGGTGAACATCCTTGTACTTTTAATTGTGTATTTTTGAAAATGTCTAAATCTGAATTCTAGGGCTTCCAGAAAATATGTACTCTCTTCTACCACTTCTGTCCTTTTTGTTACCTCTTAGTCCCCATAAGCATTTTATTTGTTATTCCAGCTATAAGATAAATGCCTGAGGGTGGAATTACTGTGTGAAAAAAAAACCTGCAAATATAAAATGCTATTATTAAATTTCTCTCCAAAATATTTCCTACTTTAAAGTAAAATCTCTTTTCTTCTGTGGTCAGTTGAAAGGCATTACTGTGAGAGATGTAGGACGTGAACCCAGCATCCTTTGATTATGTTTATTTTGTAGGCAGACATGCAACAAGTCATTTTCATGCCATTTCTGCTCAGATAAGGAGGTCAGTGTACTGGGAGCCAAGGACTACAAATCAGTGGAAATATTGAACATTATTCTGATTTTCTTTCATAAGCAATAAAATAACATACAAACCAATGAAACAAATATAATACCCATAAACCCCTCAGTACATTACCTGACCCAGGGGATGGTGCTGATTGTAGCAGCCACAGTGGTGGTGGTGGTCGTGGTAGGACTGTGCTGGTGAGGTAGGGGACATGGTGATGGTTTTCATTATTATGGTTATTGTTAGCATAATTATTCTGAAGCAGCCATGTCTGATCTGAAGTTTGGCACAATTCTACTGGTTTTCCAAATAGGTTGCCATCTTTTAAATTAGGAGTTGTAGAAGTTTTGCTGGTGATTCACAGTATTGTTCTGGAGTTTTAACTATGTCTCCAAGAGAACTCAGTTTATATGAAGGCTCTTCGTCTAGACAGCAGAGGAGGCTGGCACTCACAGCCACTTTTGCTCAAAAATATGGGTTGTTTTGTGTTGGGTCTTTGCTTATGAAGATAGACTCATAGCTTCATTTCCTCAGAGGCATCTCTTAGGCTTCTTGCTTGCCAAGGAGCCAGTGGGGATACAAGTTTTTGTCGGTCTAGTGTTTCCCCTTTAAAGAGCTTAAATTTGAAATTAAAGACAAAGATTTATGAGAAAGCATGGGTCTGGTCTCAAGAGACTTGATTCCAGTTCATCCTGGATTCTGTGGGTGCTGGCTCTGGGCCTTGGAGCTGGTTGGGATCTTCTGTATTGACCAAACCAGCATCTCCCAAAGGTTGAAAGCAGATACCAGTGCTATCCTGAGGTCTTAGAAGTCTTCTCTCATGAGCTGCAACTTTGATGAAATGAAGCAAAACACTTAACTGGGCCTCAGTTTCTCCCCTCAATCAGAGATTCTCAGTTAAGTGCCGACAGTGGACAGGCAGAGAAAGTGAACGGGGGTGCAGCTATATGAAGGAGGGTCAGTGGTAATCACTTTTGGCAATATGAGGCTGGATCTTTGCTTTTTTTTTTTTTGACATAGGCCCTCACTCTATCACCAGGCTGGAGTGCAGTGGCGCAAACTCGGCTCACTGCAACCTCCGCCTCCCAGGTTCAAGCAATTCTCCTGCCTCAGCCTCCCGAGTAGCTGGGACTACAGATGCATGCCACCATGCACAGCTAATTTTTTTGTATTTTTAGTAGAGATGGGGTTTCACCATGTTGGCCAGGATGGTCTCGATCTCCTGACCTCGTGATCTGCCCACCTCGGCCTCCCAAAGTACTGGGAGTACAGGTGTGAGCCACTGCGCTCAGCTGGATCTTTGCTTTCTTTTCCCCCCAAGAGAAGCCAGAATCTCCCAATTTAAAAAACAAAACAAAACAAAAACCGTATCCTCACTCCCAAATGTGACTCTGATGGGAATGGTGTGGAGAAGAGCCAGAGGACTGGAGAGAGGTCTGTCTGCCTGCCCATCCACCCCAGAAATCCCCTTGCAGGAGCTGTGATAAATAAAGTAATGGCCTTACCAAGCACAGATGAGCACAGACTGACATTCCATAATAATAACGTGCATTTACATATCCCTTTAAATTAGGAAGAAACCATTACCTCACAACTAGCCTTCAAGTTATAATGCCCAGATTAGAGGATATGCATAATTAAAACAGAATATTCATTTTTATAATCCACTGTAAGCGTTTTTTGTGTTTTTTTTAATCTCTTCATGTATTGAGTATCAATGTTCCAAGTGCATTGCTCCATCAGGGCCCAGCCAGGTAAAGGAGACACATCCCTTCCTTCCCTAGTCAACTGGATACTCTAGTGGAGCAGATCGACTTCACAGACCAGCTACACAAAATGCTAGCTAACCACAATTGTAGCAAAGGCTGGGGAGGAGCAATAGGAGCACTTGACCCATCAGACTAGAGGAGCTGGAAGGACATCACCTGGTAAAGCCTTTGATACCACCTGCTGAGTGTCATTCATCTAATGCCATGTCTTCACTGACCTCAGTCACAAAGAGGTGGCCACAGGCTGCACATGGCCCATCCGAAGGGTTTTGTTTGGACTGTGTGGCATTGACCCACATACCATTTTAAATTGAATTAAAGGATTTTAACCTTTTCATTCCTTATCTTTCTTCCATTTAACCTTAAGTACCATCTGGCAGGTAGGTCATGCTTTGTTTCAAAGAGTTCTGACCTCATAAGAGAGGGTTGAGAAACCAGTAGAAAATAAGAAAGCCAGGTTTTTACATTTGTTTTTTGCTCTTCAGGAACCAAAAGCTTAGGAAGACTAGAAAGAGTCTCCATAGATCTCCTGGCCACAGGCTGTGTCTCTCATCCCAGTTAATTATCTTCTAATATCATGCCAGACACCACAGATGGTAAGAGAGTGTCTGCAGCCTGTCCTCACCATTGGAGGGAAATGTCGAGGGTCTTTCAGGGGCATTTTTATTCCCAAGAAGAGCACACTCTGCATTTCCTGTGTGAATGGGGAAAATGCTTGGGGATTTGGTCCAGACTTAGATGATCCTTGTCCATATGTGTGGAGCAAGCCCAGGCCTGTGAGGCTGCCAGTCTCCCATTCCCAGTTATTCTCTTCTGTTTTGACTTGCGCACCAAAAAACAACCACCACCAGTGCCATATGGTTTAAAAGATCAAAGGCCCCAATTTTGAGTACATTTCTAGCTGACTATACTTCAGATGTCTTAAATATGTTCCTGCAGATGGGAAGCATGGAGCATTAAAGAGGTAAGCCACATGTGTGTGAGCCATGCATGTGATCTGTGCAGGATGGCGAAAAGTGAATGCCGCTCAGCCATGCGTTTGTCTTCCCTTCAGGTTCGCATCTTCACATACCTCATTGGACGAGAGGCTGCGTTTGCAGACAATCTAAAGTGGATGGCCTGTGCCAACAAAGGTGGGTCTTCGCATTGTGCTCGGCTCTGAATAACTTCCACCTACTTGTGCAGAATTAGGAATATTCATGAGAAAGTAGAGAGTTCTAATAATTCTAAGATAAAGTCTGGGTATATCTAAGTGATTACTGATAGACTTGTAACGGTTTCTTCCAAATTATGTTTTTTTTTTTTCTGTTCTTTTTTTTTTTATTTTTTTTTTGTGGACAGAATCTTGCTCTGTTGCCCAGGCTGGAGTGCAGTAACGCGATCTCAGCTCACTGCAGACCACGCCTCCCGAGTTCAAGCAGTTCTTGTGCCTCAGCCTCCCGAGTAGCTGAGATTACAGGTGTGCACCACAATACCCAGCTAATTTTTGTATTTTTAGTAGAGACGGGGTTTCGCCATGTTGGCCAGGCTGGTCTAGAACTCCTGAGCTCAAGTGATCTGCCCACCTTGGCCTCCCAAAGTGGCCTCATTACAGGCATGAGCCACTATGCCCAGTGCCAAATTTTGAGGACATAGTCAAGTGGAGTGGTTAAGCCTTTCCACTCTTCTGCTTAGTAGCTGAGTAGCCTTGGGAGAATTGCTATGGCAGAGACATTTACTGTGCATCAAATATCCGTATGCTCTCTCATCATTCCTAGCCTTCTTGCCTATAGGTGGGGCTTCAAGACTGGTTCTGGCCAATAGGGCGGGAGTGAAATCAACCTGAGTCATTTCTGGGCTAAAGCATTTGAGAGCTAGTGTGGTGGTGTTGGTACTCTCTTCTGCTCTTGTGAACTCTGAAGGTACATGGTCCAGACAGAACAGTCACGAGATGCAGCAGCCTTCATCAGCCTGGGTCCCTGAGTGAGCACATGGAGCAGATGACTTTCACTGCCCCTTGCATCTGCCAACCCACACTGGATTATAAATAGTGTTCATGACAAATAAACTTTTATGTTAAGCCACTGAGATTTTTAGTTTGATATGTTCTTATAGCATAACTTTACGTACATTACTAATTAAGTTGGTCAACTTTAACTTGCCTCAATGTTCTAATACTCAAAATGGTAATGGTAATAATAATTCTTCCTTTAATTTTTTAACTATCAAATAAAATTATGTATATTTATGGTGTAGAACATGATGTTTTGAAGTATGTGTACATTGTGTAAATGACTACATCAAGGTAATTAACATATGTATTGCCTTACATCTTTATTATTTATTTGTGATGAGAATACCTAAAATCTATTCTTTTAGCAATTTTCAAGTATATAACACATTGTTATTAACTATAGTCACCATGTTATACTATATATCTCTTGAACTCATTTCTTCTGTCTAACTGAAAGTTTGTATCCAGTTCTTCCTTTAATTCTTATTAACGAAATGGTGCATATTAAGTGCCTCGTTCAATACTAGGACATAATAAGTGCTCAATAATCCTTAGCTTTTTTATATTCATAAGGTTAATTGATTACCAATTCCCTGTTGCATGTCAGAAACAAATAGTTTGGGGACAGCACTGGGAAGGAAGTAATAGGGCTGCCCAGTCTGTGAAGGCCTTCTTTTCATTTTACACATGGCCAAGAAGGCAAAGCATAGCAAGTTAATAGGGAGGAGAGTCCAGACTCCTTGTATCCAAGTCGTATCCAAGTCGAGCAGTCACTATCCACCAACTATGTGCAAGTTACCAAACCTATCTGGGTAGATCTGAGTCACGTCATCTACAGAGCAGAGGTAGTGACAATACCTTCCCCTCACACATGTTGTGGGCATGACATGATGCCATATAAATAAAGTTGGTAGCTTGGCTCTGGTATGTAAGTGCCCTGAGTTATTCTCTTGTGTTATGTTGATCTCTGGGTCCTGTTGGCCTCCCTTCTGAGGCTACAAGCTCCATGAGAGCAGCCTTTGACTCTTATTTCATCTTGGGTGCTCTGACACAGCCCAGCCTCGTACCAGAGTGGGTGCTCCTTTGATGTTTGAAAAAATAGGTAAGTTGACTCTAAGTACTAATAAAGGAAGGTAGGTCCTGTTGCATAGTAGATTGGTTCAGTGGTCTGCTTTAAATGGGTCTCCTAAGCCATCCTTCATAAAAGTTCCAGTGTTTGGACTTCAGTGGAGAAAAGAGGACTCAGTGAAGGGTTTGTGGGTCTTAGCTCCAGTTTTGATGGCCTAAGACAAAGTTGTTTTAGGTGCAAGCCACCAAAGTTGTTCCCTGAAATTAAAAAAGGGGGCATTTTGGAGAGAGGGGGGTGACTGAGAACTCTGGTAGGAAGGGAAGCTTGGGTCTCACAAGGGAGAAGGAAGACGTGTTTGTGTTTTTCTGTTCCTTCTCAGTTTCTTCTGACATGTCCATGGCATTCTTCTTCCTTGTAGATAGACCTTCCGTACTATGGCATGCATACAGCCAGGAATGGCCACCCCATACCATGCATGCCCATCCATCCACGCAACAATACTGTGGGCAAGGCACAATATCGGAAAGGAGTATTTATATCTTTTCCGTTTGAGGCTGACTAGCAAATCTAAATTCTGATTTCACGTCCTTCTCCTCACCCCTTTGAAGAGATTATGGTACCCAGCTTGGGCCAGTTCTTCCTCCCTGCTGAATTGGGGGTGGGCAGAGGAAGCCCATGGGGAAATAAATGCTTCTGTGGGGGGGCTCAGCATTGTGGATGGGAGTGTGGGAAAGTTCTCCAAGAATAGGTGAACAGCCAGGCTCTTAAACCTGCACCCATCTTTCCCTTTGCTTGGCATTTTCTTTAATTATCTGCTTCTATTTGAACAGTCTTTTAAGCAAGGCTCAATTTCCTCATCTACAAAAGGAAGGGCTGCATGGAAGTTTTTAACATATCCTTGAAGCTCTAAAATAACACCTTCTGCAATTGTGTTTCGTTCATTGTCTGGCTTGCTTCACTAAAAGGTATCAATAATTCTGCTTGTCTCAGAGTTACACATTTGGCCTCATTTCAGGGAGAACTATAGGAAGAACACAGGCAGAGGAGAGGGAGGCCGAGTAGATCCCAGATTTCCTCTGAGTGAAGAGGCCTTTCTTGAAATTAGTTTTGGAACTTTGTTGACATTTAAAAACCTTGAGTTAGCTATACTTTTCCCATTTTTTCCTTTATTCTGTGGTCTTGAAAAAAAGAGTTCCTTTCCATTTTTTAATTTTTTTTAAAAAAATTTGCTGTTATTTCTTGCCACATCAGATTGCAATTCTTCCATCAGCTAGTATGCATTTAGTCATGGGTTATTGTTTTTACCACTGTCTGTGTCCAGCTGATGAAAATTACTGAAATTGAAGTCTTGTCTTAATCAACTAATATTACACCATAATTTAGTTTTAGTCATTGTTTATAAGAATCTTTGAGGCATCCTTTTGAAGACAGTTTAGTCAACTCAGAGTATTTTAGGGCCTGGCTATAGAATATAGCCTTTAGGATTTATAAGTTCTGAGTACAGCAGTGCAGAAAATCCAGGGAGGTAATAGTAGCTGCTTGGCTGGACAGGCTGTGGATTCCATAATAATTCTCCTTCCCTTCCTGTCTACATCCAGTTATTTCCCTTCCTACCAGAGTCAGCCCTTCTTGATCGTTTCATCTTCCTCATTCTGCTTCTATGTAAAGAGCCTTGGGAATGTCACTGTTTGCCACTCTTCAAAGTAGCAATGCCATCAAAATGTGATATTCCAGTCATCTGTGCCCATATAAACATTGGCTTCACGTTGCGTCAGTTAAGGGGTTTTGGACCATGTAACATCGGTGAGCAAGTATTCTTCTATGGTCATTAATTAAATCATTGTTTATAGTCTCAGATTGTTATAGTATGGAGGCAGCATAACATTTTTCATCTCAAGTGTCATGAGGTCCAGAGGGCCCCCTTACATATTTTCACCCTGACTCAGCCAAGTTCTGCAGTGAAATGAAGCATTAGCATTCAGGGACCAGAGCAGACCCAAGGAGCGTCGAAGGAGGCAGAACTAACGCACTGGGCCTGACCACAGAATGACCCTGGGAGGGAGCAAGAATCATGAGGGCTCTCACGTTGTCCCTGAGTTAGTGGTCAAGGACCTGCTATCAGTGCAGGACTTCTTCCTTGGGAGTCTGGTAGCCATGGAGACAGTTCTTAGCTAGCAGATCTCAGACACTTTCCTCTGGAAATGAATGTCTGGGGACATTCGTACCCCTTGCAATAGTTCTCTGCCTCCTCCAGTCTACCAGCAAAATCCAGGGAGGCCTGGAGCTTGTGAGTTTATTTCATTTTATGCATAAGTAGGTCCTGTCTTGAGGGAACCAACCCTAATGAGACAAAGCAGCAAGCCATTTTACATACATTAAAACAATCATTACCACTGTAGAATGGCTGGTGGAATTTAAAGTTATGCGTTCACACTATTTCAAAAATAAGCGAACTGGAAAACAGAAAAGAGGGCCGACTACCGACTAGCCCAGACATTTCACAAAGCCATGGTGACCTTCTCTAACATTCAGTATGCCAAGATTTTAAATAAGCACTGGCTGATTCTCCTTCAGAAATCACAGTTAATGGAGTGTTTTCCAGCTGTGCAAATAAAGAAGGGCCTCCATGTTTGGGTTCTCAACCGATCAGTCATCGTCAGGTCCAATGGAAATGCCACATGTGTTGTCGTCTGCTTAGCTTACCCCTTTTCCATGGGCTAAAGGTCATTCTCTCCTTATCTGAAAGAGAACTGGTGGCCTGAGACTTCCTGGAAGGTCCAGCTCCTAATCTTTTTTCAATAAAAAGATTCTTAACCTCATTATATCTTTCCACATGTAGTGTCCCCCAAAAGATAGCTTCACATTTATGAGGCCGGAATGGTCATAGGCGACAGCAGGAGAAAAGTGGCAATTAAAACATTTTGCTATTTTAAGAGAGGTGAAGGAAGGCACAAACAGCAGCTATTTAAATACCTTTTTGTAGTTCATTGCACACATTCCTTAGAATCAGAGATTTTGAGTGGGAATGAAGATGGTGATGCTTGCTGTTACCGTAAAACAGCAACTAAGGATGACAAGCTGCTCACTAAGTGCCAGGCATAGAACAGAGTACATCTGTGCATTACCTCTTTTGATCCTCCCAAAGGCTCTATGAGGTACTGTTATCATTATTTTTGTTTACAGAGAAGGAAACTGAGGCTGAGCAAGACTAGCACCTTGTTCCAGATTACCAGCCAGCAGGCGGTAGAGCTAGGATTTAGGCCCAGGTGATCCAAAGCCCCAGCCTGAACTCTTCATCAGATGTAAGGCTGCTTCTCTTTGGAGAGGAGAAAGCTGTGATTCATAGAGAACTCTTACATATCTCTCTTCATTTGAGGTAATCTAGGAAAAGAAAACTAGAGAGTGAGAAAGGATTTCAATGTGCCATAATTAACAAAGGCCAGAGCTGGGATTTATGCCCAGCCTGTATGTTCTGGAAATGGCACTGCTTCAGCTTGCACAGTGGTATGGTTCAGGTCCTGATGTTTCAGAGTTGGGGACATTAAGGCTGTAGATAAGACGAGACCAGGAGAAACCACAGCAAGGTGTGATGGGTGTAGCCACAGAGCTATAAGAAGGAGACAGCATTCCTATTTCCCCAGTGTGTACCTTTAGATTGTTTTCTTCTTTTTCTTGTATTTTTAACATGGAGTTAGAAATTAAAATGTAGTCATAGTCACAAAGGAAAAGATGTGTCCCTTGATCTGAGGCTCAAGCTGATTTTGAGAGCTCTGCTCAGGAGTGCGGTTCTCCCACCAAGACCATTGGGCTCCCTGCCCTCAATGTCCATTCTCTCCAACACCATGAATATGGGTTCTTCTGCTCTCAGCACTCAACAGACCTCTTGCTTGTTTTTTGTGAAGTCAGAGAAGACAGGGAGGTAGGAAGCTGTTTATAAATTGTACCTTTTTCTATAGAAATAAGTGTTTTTTTCAGTAGTGTGTGATCTTGACAGGGAGGAGGAGGAAGATGACACAGAACACAGTATTGGGAGCGTCTTCCAAGAACACCATTGCTCATAGGGAATGCAAACCAGGGAAGCCACAGCATCACCTTCACTGCCCTGCTAAATCTCATTCTTACCTCGGCACCCTCTGGAGACTGATATTTTGGTGCTGGCTCTCAGGTTTTCTGCCTGCCTTGCTTAAGGTGGGAAGAGTCTTTGGAAAGACTCAACAACTCAAAGGAATCAAAGGAAGCTACACCCGTCACTCCAAAGATGGAAGGAGGACCTCACTATTTGAGGTAGACAGCTAGGATCTGCCCACTGAGGACAGACTCCTGGTACCCTTGGATCTGGTCATTGCAAAGTGGAGTATTTAATGATTCACCACAGGAGCTTCTCATGCTCAGGCAGCTTTGAGGCAAAAGACTCTAAAAATCCCCAAGTAAGGGTAATATCTCAGAAACACAAAGCACTGCGTTGCATATGGTTTATCACATGCAGTATTTGTAACCCAGAGTTCACAGAAGGAGCTCTGCAAGGGAATAAGGTAAATAAATTGATGTTATAGAGAAAAACGAGCAGACCATTTGTAATAGGTGGCTAACTTCAGCATTAATTGCTCCTTGGTAATTACCGAATCATTGCTGATTCTGTTTTCTTACATGATATATGAGGTCCAAAAAAGCACATTAAAAAAGAGAATAAACATTCAAGACCTAGAATTTAACAGGAAAAAAACAGAGAGAAAGGGGAGGGAAAGTGGCCAGCTGAGAGAATACAGAGGGAAAACAAGGGAAGTGTCTATGGTTACAGCCAGATTCTAGCCCTTAGTGATTTCCTATTATCCATCATTTGTTAACTAAAACTTATACTAAGACATTTAAAAACCAAAAAAAAAAAAAAGGCTCAGAAAGATTTTAAACTTTAATGAGTTGGAATCAAATGTGCATAAGCTTTGCAGCATACATTGTTATTGTCAATATTATTTTTAAAATTTTATCTTTTCTTACCTTTTTATACATCTGCATCCCTGGTCTACATAGTGAAATATAAGTTGGAACTATAGACTGGGGTTTGAGTAGATCTTTGTTGTTGCTCATTGCTCAAAGGACAGTCATATATTGCCCCATCCCCATCCTCAGAGTTCCCCAGCTACAATACGCAAATAGCCCATTAGAGTTACCCTCCTGGGGGAGGAGCTCTGAGCTGCTCTCCTGTCCCTTCCCAGCAGCGAAAGAGGCAGTGTCTTCAGTGGTTCAGAGCAAAGGCTTTGGAATCAAATGAACCTGGATTCGAATTCATCCAGGACAAATTACTGACTCAGAGTTTGTGTTTCTTCCCCTACACGGTGAGCACATGCTTTGGGCCATTGTGAGGCCCACATGCAGAAAGGCAAGGTGGATCTCAGTAAGACCTCAGTGAATGTTCCCACCTTACTAATGGCTCCTGCATACCTTCCCTCCCTGTTCTTGGAATATTGCTCCCAACAAGGTGGGGATTTTTGAATCATTTCGTGGAGCTAATATTCCAGTTAGAGAGAACACAATAAGCAAGTGAGAATCCAATGATGGATGAGTCCTCTGAAGGGACTGATGCAGGGTGAAGGGAGAGGAAGTGACTTCAGACAGGAATGTCAGGGAGGGCCTCTCTGATCTGAGCTGAGCCCTGAGTGACAAAAAGGAACCAAACATGGAAAATGGGATAAAGGGTGTCCCAGGCAGAGGGCAGCAAGTGCACAGGCCCTGAGGAGGGGAACGCAGTTGGCATGTGAGAGGCGGGGAAAGAAGGCCAGCAAGCCTGAACAGTGAGCAAGAGGGAGATGGCAGGGATGAGGTCACCCAGGTAGGTGGAGCCAATTCAGGGAGGGTCTTGGAGGTCAGGGTAAGACATCTGGATTTTATTTTAACTCTAAATATAAGCTATTGTAGGATTTCAACCAGGAAGATGATGATTTGCTGTGACCTCTTAGACAATCTCTGATGGCTGTGAGGAGCCTAGACAAGGGGGAGAGGGATTTGTGGGGAGACTCTTGTGGACTCTGGGTGAGAGATGATGGCATCTTGGAGTAGTGAAGCAGTGGAGATTGGGAAGTGAATTTAGATAGATTTTAGAGATAGGACCAGAAGAACATGCTGGTGTATTACATATGGGGTGGGGTGAGGAAAGGAGGGATATGGAGGATAATTATGTTTTGGCCTCTCTGGGAAGTGGTGCCATTTTCTGAGATGAGAATGACCAACTGGGAGAGGAATGGATTTGGGAAGTGAAGTCGGGAGTTGGCTTTGGATGCATTCGGCCTGAGAATCCTGCTAGTTATCCCTGTGGAGGTGTCGGGTATACAGTTGGCCGTGGGTCTGTCGCTCTGGAGAGAAGTCAGCTTTCTGTAATCTTTCAGAACCTTGGCTATGATAAGCAAGGACAAGTGGGGATGATTTCTCAGCTCTGTCCTTTTCCAAATGTATGATTGTTTTCCCCCAACTCCCTCTCTATCCTAATAACCTGTCCCTCCCACCCTCCTCCTTAAATTCATCTTTCTTCCCTTGGCACTGTTTTTGGAAAATCCAAATCAGAGAGCTTTACTGCTGGCTTTGAGGATTAGATGTGAATACAGGCAACCAAGAAGAACTCCTACAAGATCCTGTCTGGGCCCAAGAGCACAGGCACCTAAACAGAATTGTTTGACACTGCAAAGCACTCATCCCTGTATCCTTAAGGTCTGGAGCTATTGAGTTG
The DNA here is from genome assembly GCF_000001405.40 of Homo sapiens. NCBI lineage: Eukaryota > Metazoa > Chordata > Mammalia > Primates > Hominidae > Homo > Homo sapiens. The sequence continues at coordinate 54,761,325 of NC_000003.12, forward strand.
TGTCTCCCTACTTTACCATGGTAGCACCCCTCTTAGCTTGTCCTCTGTGTCAAGACCCCTTAACGCAGAGCCCAAGATTTGCCTACTAAAGAAGAGATGAAATATTTTCTTTCTTATCAAACGCTGATTGCAGCCTCCATGCTTGGAGAGATGATAACTGTGTATGTGGCATGTTCCCTATCCTCTGGCAATCCTTTTTAAAACCTGTCCTTTCCGACCATGCCTCTAAGAGGAACCATCTAGGAGCATTGCTAGAGCAGCATTCCAAATGGGTCTCCCTAACTATGGTGCCTGATGGCTGAGAGAGGTGAACATAGGCCCTGCTCCCAGGTCTCAAACTAGGACAGAAACTCACAGCCTATTCCTTTGGGGCCCTGTTTCCCCTGGGATGGGAAAGGCTCTGACCCAGGCCAGGAGGGTGGGGCAGGCAGGAGTGACAATGCATGCTAATTAGCACTATGCAGAGCTGTCATCAGGAACCCAGAAGCCACATGGTCCCAACCTGGTTTGGGGTTGGCACACCAAATTCAAACCAGCTGGCCTTTGTTTGGAAATCCTCTGGGTGGGTCCCGACCCTTTCTGGACAACAGCAGGGCTGGTATTTCCTTACCCTGAGCCCTATTTTAGTCACTAAGAGATTCTATAAACTCTGGAGCTAGTGCTGTGATGGAGCTGGCCTCAGAGGCACACATACTCTCTTTAATTTGTTTGGCGAGTAGGAGGTGGTATGAGCCTAGGATCCTTATTTAGAGGCACGGGGAGGAAACAAGAATCTGTGTCCATCCCCTGCTTGAAATCCTTCCCTGACTACCTGCGTATAGGATAAAGTCTAAACTCTTTCCCAAGTTCTGTGTGACAGTCCTCCTGCCCATTTCTGTCATCTTATGTCATCTTAACTCTACCCTCTCTCTACCAACTCCTTAACTCCAGCCATTCTGAGCTATTTTTAGTTCCTAGAAGGGGCCTGCTTCTCTCTGATCCTGGGTCCTTATTTATATTCCTTGTTTTGCTGGACACCATCTTTAATCCCAGTTCCTCTGGCTAACTGGTCCTCATCCTTCAGGTTCTAGCTACACTGACCCTTGCTCAAGGTAACCACATTTGATTGGCTGTGCCTGTTGTAAGTTTTAGCTTAATGTTGAATGTGCCATTTTGTAATTGTCTGTTTACTCAGAACTGCCAGGCCCCAGGGGGGGCAGGGGTCTTGCTCACCTTGTTAATCGCTGCTTCTTCAATGCTAAACACAAAGGAAACCTTCAATAAATGTGTGAATGAAGGGCTCCCTCCAAGGGATCCAGGCCTGTGTTCAGTTCACCCTTTCCCTTTTAACATCTCCTAACCCACAGCAAAGCTGATGTGACCCCAAGCTCTACAGCAGTACAGGAACATAGCAGCGCCCTGGAACTAAAGACCAAAATAGTGTCACCAATCACAAGACAACAGCATGGTGAGAATGTTTCTGTTGCTTAGAAATCATGTCTACCTGGCTGGGCGTGGTGGCTCATGCCTGTAATCCCAGCACTTTGGGAGGCCGAGGCAGGCGGATCACGAGGTCAGGAGATCAAGACTGTCCTAGCTAACACGGTGAAACTCTGTCTCTACTAAAAATACAAAACAGCCGGGCGTGGTGGCGGGTGCCTGTAGTCCCAGCTACTCAGGAGGCTGAAGCAGGAGAATGGTGTGAACCCGGGAGGCGGAGCTTGCAGTGAGCAGAGATTGCACCACTGCACTCCAGCCTGGGCGACAGAGTGAGACTCCATCTCAAAAAAAAAAAAAAAGAAAGAAAAAGAAATCATGTCTACCCAACATATTTAAAAGGCAGCACTGGGGACCACATCATGATATGGGCTGAAATTTTAGCCTCAAACATGCAAAGGGCAAAATTCAGTAGAAGTAAAAGGGACAAATTAAGAGACTTACAAACCTGGACTCATCATCTGTATTTGCTACTTGATGCCTGAGAGAACATAGGCAAAAAACATATCCCCCATCTGCATCGGTCATCTTATCTTTAAAATGGGCACAGTCATCTGCACTTAAATATGTTGTCACAAAGAAAAGGGACAACGTTGATCAAGTGTTTAGCAAATTTTATGGCACCTAGCACTCAAAAATTAATCATAACTATTATTGTTATGTTTATAAAAATGAACTAGCCTTTAATTTTTATGGTTCCTAGTTTTTCCCTTGGAAATAGACTCACAAAAATGAAAAAATAAGGTTACAAAATATCATGTAGAAAGAACTGTCATTTGTACCAGGGAATAAACACACACACACAGTATGTCTGTGTAAACATATACTGTGTGTGTGTGTGTGTGTATATATATGTGTGTGTGTGTGTGTATATATGTATATATGTGTGTATATATGTATATATGTATATATATGTACATATATACATATATATGTGTATATATGTGCATATATATACACATATATATGTATATATGTACATATATATGTATATATATGTACATATATATACATATATATATACGTATATATATGTATATATATGTACATATATATACATATATATATACGTATATATATGTATATATATGTATGTGGGGGGGGGGGGTGCATATAAAGTTAGGGAGGATATTCTCCAAAGAATTAACAGGAACTTCCTCTGGGAGATGAGTTTATGGTTGATTTTAATTTTATTACATTTGCTTGACTGTATTTTCTAACATGAACTTATTACTCATAAAGTGGGTGATCGGGGAGAGGAGCTAACGTTGAAAAGAAAAATGGGGGAGAGGAGCTAACATTGAAAAGAAAAAAGAAGGAAACTAGCTAGAGGGCAAGAAGGCATGGCATATGCATATTCCCAGTTGCAAGTCTTTCTGTCTGTTACTAAACTTGGCCCTCCCTTGGGTTTTGACAGGATTTTTTACCCAGATCTCCACCTTGGCTGATGTGCAGGAGAATGTCATGGAATACCTTCACGTGCTTAGCCGGCCCAAAGTCATCGACCAGGAGCATGATGTGGTGTGGACCGAAGCTTACATTGACAGCACTGTGAGTCCACGGGGCCCTGGGAAAGAGGCTAAGCTTTACCCCCATCCCCAAATTGTGTTAATTCCAGAAAATAGCAACTGTATCACTCTTATTTTTTGTGTTCAGTGACACTTTTCTTGATTGTTTGTATAGTGTTGGTCACCTTGACAAGCAAAGTTGGTGAAAAATCATAACGTACTAGAAAGTATGACACGTACTTCAGAAAGGTAGCTGGTCTGCACAAAAGAAATCACGTTTTGCTTGTCTTTTCTCGTTACTTCTGTCCCACTTTTTCACATGTGTTCAAATTCTGTCAGTGTAGCAATGATTACAAGCATTCTTAGATTCTGTCCTCACCATATATGAGCCCCAGTCCTGGCAATGAATCTTTGTGTCTCAATTGGGAATGTAACCAAAGCTCAGCTCTAATAATGAATTGGGGCCACCATGGAGGCTACAGTTGCATTTTCTTCCCATGCATAAGTGAGAATATGCTTGAATGGTGGTTCAGTAGGCACTGGATTGTTGTTTGAACTCTGACCATGGGCCCATTCTAAAGCCGAATTCTAAACAGCAGATTCTGATGCTGAATTAGCTGAAAAGGAGGAGCTTTGCCAATCATCAAGTAATGGCTCAATGGCTGGGTTTCTTATGTAATCTCAGGGTGATTTTTCATAGTGATAATAAGTCTGATGGGAGTGGTGTTTTTCATTTATTGATTGTAAGTGTTCTCACAGGGCCTCTCTCCAGTCATTTTTGTTGGGATTAACATCACATTAATCACTGTAACCCAGACACAGCTGTCCTCCAGAGTGATCTCAATGGCTGTCATGGGTCAGCTTTTCTCTCCCTGGGCTCTCTCATTCCTGCTGCACTTCTGGCAGCTACAGGCAAACTCAGGGCAGGAAAAGCATGTGGGAACTCATTTCAGGGGACACCATGACACAGGCCAGGCCACAGCAGCCTGCCCCATCTCAGCCTTAAAGTATGCAATGCGGCCCTGGAAATAAGAATGTATCCCCTTGTCAAAAAGGGAGACTCCTTCCCCAGGAAAAGTCATCTTGAATAAAGATGAATGTTGAGCTGAAAAGGCTTCTCCGATGCTAGGGAGACCATGAGCTTTTATCAGCTTGAGTCTGTCCCCAGTTTGGTTTTAAATCATGGAAACAAAATAAGCTGCCCCATTTATGTTGGCACCATATTAACAATAGCAGCCATGGTGATAACTTCATCTTTTCTTGTATGTTGTTGGGTAAGGCAGGAAAAATAGGAGTGAGGAGGAGGAGGAGTGTGGCTAGCTAGTATTAAAGTAACCAAATCACTCAGTGGTTTTGTGTACAAACCCCAAATAGCCAGTTTGTTCAGTCATTTTATTTGTTTCATCAATTTAAAAAAATATAAGACACAGTTTCTACAATTAAAACATTATGGTAGTAGCACCTGGACAGACAGATCAGTAGAGTAGAAGGTCCAAAAAATCAACTACATATGGGGATTTAGTATATAATAGAGGTGATGTGTCAGATCAGTGGGGCTAAGATGGGCTTTGTAATAGATGCTTTTGGGAAAATCAGATAGCCATTTAGAGAAAAATAGAATTAGTTCAGTCTTCACATCATACCCAAGGAAGAAATCCAAGTGGATCAGACGTCTAAATTGTAAAAAATGAAACCATTACAAGCAGTAGAAGAAAACCTGGGTAAATTCCTCTGTGACCTGGATTCTGGGAAGACTTTAACAATGACTGCAAAATCTACAGGCAATAAAGAGAAAGATAAATAAGTTTGACTACAACTTATTTATCAACAACAAAAAAAAACTTTTGTAAGCCAAAAACACATCATAAGCAAAGCCAAAAGACAAATGATAAAATAGGAGAAAATATTTGTGACACATAGTACACATGAAGAATTAATAATCTCCAATATACAAAGAACTTTTTAAAATTGAGGAGAAACTCCCAAAATTGCTATAGGAACAAAATGAGCAAAAAAGTTGACAATTCACAAAAAAGAATAAAAAATGGCTTTTAAACATAAGATGTACAACTTCATAATAAGCAAAATGCAAATTAAACTATAATGAGATACCATTTCACACCCATCAGAGTGGCAAAAACTAAAAGCTTAACCTTGCACTCTGTTGGTGAGGCTATGGGAAAAGGGACACTCTTATTCATTGATTGTGGGAATGCAAAATGGGGCAATCTCTATGGAAGTTAATTTGCATTTACCCTTTGATCCAGCAATCTTACTTCTAAGAATTCAACCCTGAAGATGGACCTTTAACATCACAAAAATATATGCACAAGTTTGTTCTTTGCAGAGCAGCTTGTAATTTCAAAATATGGGAAGTTACCTAAATGCCCAAACATAAGAGATTGAATAGACTATGGTACCTACACCTAATGGAGTCAATATTAAAAACAAGAATGAGAATGACCTGCATTAGTTGATAGAGAGTGATTTACAGAATATACTTCTAAGTAAAATGAGCAAAATCACATATAGCATACTACTTTTTGCAAGAATTATATATAGCATACTACCTTTTATATAGGAAATGAGGAAAAAAGAAGATAGATATGTAATTACTTACTTTACAAAAAAAAAAAAGAAAAAGCAAAAACAAGAAACAGAATAAACCAGAAACCAACAGAACTGGTTACCAACAGAACTATCATTCCCTCCCCAAGCCATCTTCTCTGCACCACCTCCCACATCTTATTAGGATATGGGAGGTGGTGCAGGGCTTGGGGAGAAAATGACACAACTCTGAGTATACCTTTTTGCACAGTTTTGACTTTTGAAAGCATATGAATGTTCTGTGTATTCAAAAATTAAACAAGATTGGGGGGAAATTAAAAGTGAATGCAAACAGAACAAAATGAATCCAATAATATTTCAAGTGAATAAAAAATTTCTCAGAAAGGGAGGAAAAAAACTTTAGAATATAGTAGTACACACAATATTAAATTTTGAACACAATACTTTCACTCTCTACCCCTCAATCTAGGGAGGAAAAGAGAACTGCAAATAAATTCTAAACTCCATTTGGTGTCATTTGTGGTAATATGGTTACAGCAATTCTGAATCCATTTTGTGAGTATGGAGGTATTGGGCAAATGTGTAAATGCTGAAGACAGGGGATCTGCCTATGGGATTAGACTTGATTGGAAAATCCCAACTCTGTCTTTCTAAAGGACCTATAAGCAGTGGCACCCAAGTAGCAATGAGCCCATCCAGTACCCAGATTCTGGCTTCTAAAAAACACTCCCCACTAAGAGGAGCCAGGGACCCTTAGAGTAATTGCTTATTCCAGGGCTGCAGCAGAGAAGGTACCAAATAATAATAATGATGATGACAATAATAATAATAAGCTTGGAATATTTTGTGCCAGAAACTAAGGAAGTGCTCAAAACAATAATGTGGTCATGTCAAAAGGACACAGGATCAGCATGAAGAGGCTCTCATTGGTCAAATCTGGGACAATTTGAGCCTCAAAATAAGGAATGACAATAATGGTTTGTAACTTGTTGAATAAAACAGAAATCCACATGTCCTTACTGATAATAAATAACTAAACAAATCCCAAACAGATGAACCAGATACGTAAGTCAGTGGGTGAGAAGAGTGCAGTGTATGATGGAGTGCTGACTGGCAAATGAGGAGGGAGTGATGGAGTTGGAAAATCACTATTTTGCAACCATTTTGGTAAAGACCAGTTAGGGCAAAGGTCTGTCAATGGATGCTAAATCTAGGGGGAAAGTTCGATGATGAGCAGGGTATTTTTATGACCTCAAAATGCTTCCCTAGACTTTTCATTAGTCTTGAGGGGGAAAAAGTGGCACCTGAACAGTGGGATACTATGTACACTGTCTTAGTATACTATATATTGGATGAATCTCAGCAACATCTTGAGCGGGTCCTCAAAATTAGCACCACCAATGAGAAGCAGATGGACATTGTGTGCCTGCAGAGAAAGACACATCACACTTATGTATTGTTTTGACCAGGGACACATAACCTGATGCTCACGGCAGATATAAGTTCATGAAGCAGATACAGCTTTGCATTAATATGATGCCTTGCTTTAGGTAATGTTCAGCACTTAAATCGGTTGTTGTATTAGATTTGCTAATTACATACAGATATAGGAAGTTAGAGGGGGAACCCATTGCTACTCAAACTTTTGCGCTGAAGTACTTTTGTGACCACAGAGCCAAAATATATGGTCTGGGGCAGATCTGGGCATGTAGTTACAGAGGAAAGTCTCTGAAGTCTTTTGCTTTATCTTAAACATTTGCACAAATTTTACATTCTGTGCCATAATCATTCTTATTTACTTTAAAATAACATTTCACGTGGCCCATTACTAAGTAAACTTGGTATGCCAAGATGACAGAGCTCATTTATTCTACTTCTTAAAGAACTCTTTGAGGTTCATAAAACTAAACCCACAAAATCAGGTTATCCCTAAAATGATAGCCCAACATTGTTGCTGTGCTTCCCAAGGTTCTGTTGCTGTATCTTTGCAAATTGCCCTAATAAATACATCTCCCGGTAGAATGTTCTGAGGGTTCCTTCTCCTCTTCATGGTGTTGAGCAACCTGTCAGGCCAGGAAGGGCACTGGGGAGTCTGTCTTCCTCTTTGTTAGGTCTGCCGGGTGAAGAGAAGGCAGCTGCTGCTTCAACAGGTACCTCTGACCAGGAAGCAGCAGTTTCTTCCAGCTCCTTATGTGGACCTGGATTCTGCCAGGACACGAACAAACAAACAACAACAAAACCCCATCATTTATACGGGGTCAAAACAGGGTTCACATGGTGAACTCATCTGCAGAGTCTAAATTCTGAGATGCTTACCAACTTTGGAACCACCCAGAAGATCAAGGGGGAGATGAGCAGTTTTGAATTTATGACTGTCCTGACACATCCAGGACAGTTTCAAGCCAGCATTACCCTAAGGTGACCCAGCTTGCAGTAATGAAAGAGACTAGACTCCACGAGCACTTGGCATTAGGAATGATGATTGACTCCATTTTAGTAACCTGATGTTTTGTTGGTATTGATAGCTCTGGATTTTTTTTTAAGCATATTTATCGTCTACCTTAGTTTATTCACTAAGGGCACTGAATTTAGGTTAGAACAGCATCCCAGGTTTGAATTGCATGCCTACTCCATATTTGCTCTGTGACTTTAAGCCAGTTACTTAGCCTCTTTGAGTATAGTTTTCCTCATTTCTAACATGAGAATACGACCTGCCTTCCAGGGTTCACTCTAAGGATTAAATGTCTATGCATAGTATGAATGCAATAAATACTATTTATTGTCATTTCCCAATTTTAGAAAACCTAGTGTGAGTTTATTTCCTGGGCTGAAGGAAGTTTTTAAAAATACTGGATTCTTCTTTCTTTGAGCTGGGTCTCACATAGTAGCTACATGATTGTTACCATATTCATAATAGAACTTGGTAGTTAAGTATGATGAGTATCTTGGAAAACATTGTTTGTTTAACGATACTCTTTAATTCTTTGGAATTCACTTGGCTGTAATTATGTGCTGTGAGCCAGGCACTAATGTCTGGGGGTGGGTGCCTGGGTCAGTGTCCCCAGAAAACACTGGGATTGTGCCGCACTAGCCAGGCAGAACCTTTCACCCCAACACCCTTACTGAGGAGAGCCCTTGCTGAATTACACAAGGAAAGGGAAATACGGTAGCAGCCCCCTTCACCCTTTGCCCATTTGCCCCGAAAATACTTGCTGCCGACACTTGCGGCTGCAGCTGTTAACCCGAGATAACTTTGCCACAAAATATCTCACTTTTATTATTATTTTTCTATAAATATCCTATAAAGAGAATGATGTCTTCTGTTTCCCAAAACATTCTGTTTTTAGTAGTGGTATTTACATTTACAAAATATAGTAATTCTCAATGGCTAAAAATGTCAAATCCTAGAGAATGTTGCATTCCTACACATGATGTTAACATCATTCTCAAACAGTTGTTGGCCAAAGATTCGTTTGATGAATCCGATTTTTCCAAAATAAGCGATTCTGACGATTCAAACAATTTTGATGTTAGTTCTGTTTTAGAAATAACTCCAAGAACAGTTTTTATATTTTATTTTCACATTGAAAATCAGTCAGATTTGCTTCAACCTCAAAAACCGTGTTTATGCAAAATTAAATGAGTGCTGGCAGCAAGCTGCACTTTTTTTGTTGTTTTTCTAAACGGGAAAAGGGTTAATTGGCCACAGCTTAACTGACTCAGTGTCAGTTAAGCGCCCTTGGCAATGCAGCCATTTGTGCCTGTCGCCCACAGCACCCTGGACATGTGATCTGGAAGGCCATTCTGGTGCACGAAGCATATGTCTGTTCCCCATGCTTGAGTTGCAAGCTTACTTGAAGTCAGTTGTCTTCATTCCCAAACCTATTGATGCCAGTGGTAATTTTATCATAATTGTATAAATGAATTAAATATTATTTAAACCAACAAATTGTGAGTATGAAAAGAAAGTCATTGTTTCTGTGAATCTGTAAATGAATGCTTTGGAAAGACTGTAAAGAAAGTTGCTAAAAAATTACCACTGTGCTGAATACGGGCAAAGCAACCATAAAAAACTAGGGAGAAAAAAAACATCTTCCTTGCATTCAGAGAAAACTGATGCTTAATTTTTCTTTCCTTCTTTCTATAGGGTAATTTTCCTTGATTTGTTTGTGTCATCCTTGGTTGATGTGGTGGATCTGGGGGCTGGGTTAGTGTCTGCTTTTTCTCTTATTGTCTCTTAGTGGCCTCGGGCAGCTGTGTACTCCAAGAAGGAGAACAGATCTTTCCAGACACAGAGAGAGGGGTCACTAATTGGTGTGTGAGCAGCTGTGATTTCCATCTAGAAACAACCAACACACTCCCATTATGTGGGTCAGCATCACCTGTATGGCTCTGCTAGTTCTCTACTGCCCTTTAACAAATCAGCACAGACTTAGTGGCTTTAAACAGCACAAGTGTATCATCTCCAGGTTGCCATGGATCAAAAGTCTCAGCACAAGTTAGGTGGATCCTCAGCTCAGGCACTCACAAGGCTACAAGGAAGCGTTGGCTGCACTGCAGGTCTCATCTGCAACTCAGGGGCCTCTTCTAAGCTCATTCAGCTTGTTGGCAGAATTCAGTTCTTTGCCCGTATAGGACTGAGTTCCCATTTTCTTGCTTGCTGTCAGCTGGGGACCACTCCCAGCTCCCAAAGGCCACCCAAAGTTCCTTGCCATGTGGCCCCTGTAGGCTGTCACACAATGCTGTTTGTTTTCCTCCAGCCCAGCAAAAATACATCTCTCTGATGCTTCACTTTCCCTTAAAAGCTTCTTCCATTAAGTCAGGCTGACTCAGGATCATTTCTTTTTTAATTAACTCCAAGTCAATTGATTAGTAATCTAATTATACCAGGGATATCCCATCAGCTTACACTCAAGGAGAGGGAATTTGATGGGGTGTGTACTTGGGGCAGAAATCTTGGGGGCCATTTTTGAATCTTGCCTACCCCAGTGGTCTCTGTCCATGTGCTCTGGTCTGAGAGGGAAAGATAATGCCAGAAGGAAATGCAACCATATCTCCTGCAAACTGTCAAGAGAAGGTTTTAGGATAGCTATGTCCATTCTTCATCATAACATTTCTACTTAGCACTGATGTTTCCCAGAGGAGCCTGGTTCTCTTTGTTATATTGCAGTCTGAAAGGAGCTGTGATTCCTTTAGGAATCAGAAGATCTGTGACCCTGCTGATGTGTATTATTTCTACTAAATACTAAGGGAGTAGGTAAGTATTTGTTGATTATCTAGTATGTTTGGACACTTGTACCCAAAAGATGGCTTAATATGGTCTGACTCTTCTTTCTCTGTAATTATCTGGGTAGTTAAGGAAAAGGAATTCCTCTTTGCTTGACTCATCAGTTTTTGTGGCTGAAAACCCAGCAGCAGTAAATATAATTATATAACTGATTTAATGCTTAAATAAATAGCTTAAAAATGACCCGTGAGTATAGTGCTTTCGCTATTAATTATACATTGATCCATAGTTTTGGTTCTGGACAAGTTCAAGATAAAAGTTTAGCTGTGAACAGAAGCTGAGTTTGGGTTCTTGCACATGAGAGCCAATCATTGCATTTAACCAATTCTAGAATCAGAAACTGACAAAACTTCCTTTCAGGGCCCATTCTCCCTGCTTGTTGCTACCAGTCTGATTAAATATTCTGTTTCCTGCTTGGCTGTTCTGTTCAATTTGTTTTCCTGGTGAAATCCAAATAAATGACTTAATGTTAACAACATTAATTATGTTGAATCTAATAAGATCTCATGTATTAATTGACAAAACAGCAAACACCAGAATTCTGAAATTCATAGGCCTCTCATATGAATACAAGTCATGCATAGTCATTATCTCTTAGGTGCAGAGCAAAAAATCATTAACAATGGAATTTGTTCCATTTTAAAAGCAAATGACTTGTGCTTTGGAGTTGGGTCTTAATCAGCTTGGGAATGCTATTCAACTTGCTGTGCAGGATAGAACCAGTATCAAACCAAGGAAGCATCAGCATTCCTGATCAGCCCCTCCAGGGGAGTTTACACAGACCACAGTGACACGCAGAAGGGAAGCAAAGAAATGTTTTAGAAACAGTGGGAATGTGACCATTTAAAATAATGAGAATTCATTATCAAGCCCTCTTGCCCCTCCCGTTTGCTGGTAATGCAATTCAGTAGGCAATTTGTAGGAACTTTTCAAACCAATTTAGTTGCATTTGCAAATTGGACCTGTATCCCTCCTTCTCAGCCCCCACTAAGTCCAACTTGGAGAAAACACTATGCATTTGATAAATTGCACATTTGTTTCAGTTTCCCATCTAGGAATGGCACCTAGGCCATTTAGGAGTCATTTGGGTGATTAAGCTATAACCTCTTACTGCCTAGAAGCAATTAAATGGGGTCAAAGCCATCCTAAGGATGTTCTTGGGCTTGGAAATGGAATTTACAGTATTTTTCCAAGACACTGCTGCATATCAAAGAAGTTCCAATCGTCAAAACAAAGAGACACACGTAAAGAGAAACATAAACCATCCTGCTGGGTTGTGGAACAGAGAATGCCATCTGCATTACATGGCAAGGAGGAAACTGATTATGTTGGGACCTCTATTTCATAGCAGATGGGTTCATTAAATTTAATAGCCTCCAGAGCCTTTAGAAACCGTGTTAAAAACATGTGGAGCATGCTGTGACACTTCACTTCTGGCCCCGCAGTCATTATAACTCTGGCACAGACTATAAATATTACAGTACTTTATTTCCATTGAAACAGATTACTGTTATGATTATTTTTTTCCAGGAGATGTTAAAAATATGAGTGTATTCCTGATTTTTGGTACCACTTATATGCATCCAAATATTTTCCTCTTCCATTGATTCTAGAGTTTTCTATTAAACAGAGTTGGTATTATAAAACCATGAATTGATGATATAAAATTATTATCTTCAGAAAAGATGTCCTAAAACTCTATATGGGTGACTGTCAACTAGTAGAAAAGCTTAGGGCTAAAAATGAAAATGATTTCTAGATTTCAGGTGTTTATTGTTGTTTCTGCTTTTATGGATTAATGATTTGCAACTGTCTGTAATGAAAGAACAGCCTCTATCCTCTGCCATACACCAATGGATAAGAGCATCTAGCCTGAATAATCATACAACATGATGGCTTATTCAGCACTCTTTGTTTACAAGTCACAGCTTCCAGTGCAAAGTGGGAATGGTCAAAAAGGCAATTTGATGACTCTTGGAACCAGGATGTCTGTGCAGTTCTGTCTTGAGGCGTGACTAGATTCAGGGGTTGTATTAGTTTCTTCTCGCATCACTATTAATATAAAGAACTACCCGAGACTGAGACTGGGTAATTTATAACGAAAAGAGGTTTAATTGGCTCAGGGTTCCGCAGGCTATGTAGGAAGCATGGCTGAGGAGGCCTCAGGAAACTTACAATCATCGTGGAAGGCAAAGGGGAAGCAGGCATGTCCTATATGACTGGAGCAGGAGGAAGAGAGAGAGTGGGGAGGTGCTACACACTTTTGAGCAACCAGATCTCGTGAGCACTCACTCACTCTCAGGAGAACAGCAAGGGCGGACATCTGCACCCATGATCCAGTCAACTCCCAGCAGGCCACTTCTCCAACACCGGGGGTTACAATTTGATACAAGATTTGGGTGGGGACATAGACCCAAACCATATCAGGGGTTAATCCCAATATTATTTTGACTTGCTCTTTGACTATTTTTTTTTTTTTTTTTTTTTTTGAAATGGAGTCTCACTCTGTCGCCCAGGCTGGAGTGCAGTGGTACGATCTTGGCTCACTGCAACTTCTGCCTCCTGAGTTCAAGTGATTCTCCTGCCTTAGCCTCCTGAGTAGCTGGGATTACAGGCGCCCGCCACCACACCTGGCTAACTTTTTGTATTTTTAGTAGAGACAGGGTTTCACCATACTGGCCAGGCTGGTCTCGAACTCCTGACCTTGTGATCTGCCTGCCTTAGCCTCCCAAAGTGCTGGGATTACAGATGTGAGCCACCACGCCCGGCCACTGTTCCTTGACTCTTATTGGCTTAATTCCCAGACAGGATCTCTCTACATGGTGCCAAAAATGGCTCTACTGTTTTTGGTATCTAACATAATGTTGTTAACTTTCATTACATTTATAAACCTTAATTTATTTGCCTTTCAGCATTTATATTAAGCCTATGATAGATAGGCCTGTTTGAGTCACAGCCAAACGTTGAGAGATGAGACAGACCTATGACTTAATGGCCTCAATCTCACAGAGTGAGGAGAAATCAATCCAAAAGGAAATTGATCCTGGGAAGACCGAGAAGTACCAGAGTCCTGCACAAAACTTGTTGGTAGAATCCGAAACCAATCCACGCCTAAGATCATGTACCACATCAGCAGGGTATTAATTATGATACCATACTGTTAAGCTATGGAGCCCTTTAGTTAAATGTCTTTGTGGACCCTTTCATATAAAGCATATAGAAGCAGAGGTCCTCTGGTAGGTATTGGGAAATGGAGACACGAAGCCCAGTTGCTTGGCCACATCCCAGGGAGACTCTGAAGCATTGTTTTCATCTTTCCTTGCACTGCAGAGCCTAGGTAGTATTCTAAGTAATCAGGTGTCAACCTCTGAGAATAGTCGTATAGGATTCTCTGCTGTGGATTCTCTGTTGTACCCTTTAGTTTACAACAGAGTGCTGGGTTGAGTCCAGTTAGGAAAGATGGCTATGGGGATTGGCAGGTTGTGTCTGTATTCAAAAATCAAATTGAGAAAGTTAGTATAGTAATATGACTATTTTATCATATTTCGGCCTTATTTTTCTTCATCACTTCTGATGATCAAACACTGGCTCATTGTACTTCTGTCACCTCTTAGAAAGCATTGGCTGTAGGCAAGAGAACCCACTCAAGCTGTGAGAAATTTACTGGATGGCTCAGGGGCAGCCCCAGGAGGGATAAGGACCATCAAGGAGCAAGAAGCCACCAAGAGCAAATGACCACTCTTTTTGTTCTTTCTTCCTTCTTCCTTTGTTCTTTTTTCTTGTCCCTCCTACTTGCCATCCCCAGTCATCGGTGAAACACAGTTTCCTGGTCTCCTCCCAGTCCTGGCTTTACATAATGCCCCAGTTGAGATCCAAAAAGGATGAAATCAGTGTGTGTTGTGTATCTGAGTTTACATTTCTGAGCAAATTATATACACAACTCACTCTAGCCCATGGTTCCATTGAGGTCAGATGTCCATCATTTATCCAATCAGTTATGTCCCAGAAGGCCAAGGGATAGAAACAGATCAGCCAGGGCTATGGATAACATTTTCTAAGAGGTCGGGAGGCTGCCTGCAGTGGCTTATACCTGTAATTCCAGCACTTAGCGAGGCTTAGGCAGGAGAATTGCTTGAGCCTAGGAGTTGGAGATGGGCAACATAGTGAGACCCCCTGTCGCTACAAAAAATAAATTGAAGAAATCAGCCAGGCACAGTGGAATGTGCCTGTGGTCCCAGCTCCTCGGAAGGCTGAGGTGGGAGGATCACTTGAGCCCTGGAGATCAAGGCTGCAGTGAGCCATGACTGCACCACTGCACTCTAGCCTGGGCAACAGAGTGAGACCCTGTCTCCAATTTAAAAAAACAAAACAGCAACCAAACAAAGACAAAACAACAAAACAAAACAGTAACAACAACAAAAGAGGCCTGGATAGGAGGAAATGCCTAGAGTCTGAAGGAGTTGGCATTTCTAGACCTCTGTCTTTCTGTCTGAGGTTTCTGTAACTTACAGCCCGGCTGAGCTCTGATCCTAACTCTCAGGAGTGGGTCTTCTTTCCTATTCTCTGAGCCCCAGGCTCACATCCTCCTTTAAGCCCCAGTGGACCCAAGTGTCCCCACAGCCTCCCCCTGGCCCCACATCCTGGAGGATGCTGCCCTTCCTCCATAGACTATCCCTGCTGTGTGGGTGGTGGGAAGCCCTCTCCCTTGTGCCTTCCGAGAGCTGAGGAAGATATTTTGGCCAACACAACCAAATCTGTACTGCTTTTCCCCCACTTCATGGCCCAGATATTTGGGTAACTTAACTTCTCAGAGCTGATTCTCATGCTTTGACATGGTTTAGACTAAAATGAACACATTCCTCTTATTACCAGCATGAAGAACAATTAAAATAATCCCAGAGAATCAGCCTGTGGTTTGATATCAGCTGCCAGTTTCTCTTCTGTTACTGTACACAGGATTTTCTCCATGTGAAAGATTTCATTCTTTCACCTTTACTCCAAAAGAATCGATGTGCCAAATATAAATGTGTTATCTATGAGGCCATGGCACAAAGACACCATAGGTAAGGACATTTCACCTGACTTGGCCTCTTAGCCTGCTTCTATTTAAAAGTAGCAGAGAATCACTCTTGCCTCCCCTGCCTTCATGACCTTTCACACCCACTTATGAGTGAAATGGCCATTGAGGGCTCCTCCTAACCTTACTCTGCTGGTGACACATGCTCTTATTAGACGTACAGAGCAGACATGACTAAGTCTATCTCTCAGTGCAAGGTCCTTAGGAGAAATTTCTCTCTTGTTCTGAACAAAGAAAGGAAAAGCAAAGCCAGTAGTTTATTCAGGCAGAAGGAACATGCTTTTAAATCAATTTTCATTATGTTTAATCTAAAAATCTGGAACATCAACATCTTTTCTGGTTGATAGAAACAACTATTAAACACGCTTGTCATTGATTTCTCTTCTGAAGTGATCAAATTAAAGGCAGCCCAAGATGAAGCAAGGCTGGAGTACTCATCCTATAGTCTGTTTCTCTGTCACTTAGCCAGCTGTTAAAGGAGCAGTTGTTTCCATGGAAAGAGCCTTCCTTTGAGGAACATGGGGTTCAATGGACCCCCATGGTATTCCAATAGCAGGGACCAGTGGGAAACACTGTCCACACACCTTATAAGTGCAGGGACATCTTGAGACCACATTAGATGACTTTTTCTGTCTGCCTCTGGAAAATATTTGAAGACCCAATTTGAAAAGTTTTCATAAATAATTGAGCTATTTTAATTGTCAACTAATAAGTTAGAGAATCTAAAGGCTCACTGCTGGCTTAAGTAGGATCACCACGGGCTTAAAACCCTCCAGGGGAGCCTAAATTCAGAGCATTTGAAGACCTTGATGACCTGACTCCAGTGAACATCTCAGTCTTTTCCTTCCACATGGCAGAAGGCAAAGGGGAAGCAGGCACGTCCTACGTGGCTGGAGCAGAAGGAAGAGAGAGAGTGGGGAGCTGCTACACACTTTTAAACAACCAGATCTTATGACCACTCACTCACTGTGAGGAGAACAGCAAGGGGGGACATCAGCAGCAATGATCCAGTCACCTCCCGGCAGGCCCCTTCTCCAACATTGGGGGTTACAGTTTGAATGGGGCCTTTCCCCATTCCGTGCCGCCATCCTCCAGCCTTAACCTACTCACACATTTATAGTCTCTAGAACCAGCCCTGTATTCTCTCACACCGAGACCACTGTACCTGCTTTTCTCTCTGCAGGAAGTGATCTCTTCCTCCCACTCCATTCAGAAGCCTCTGGGCTTATCCTTTGGTCTCAGTTTCATCATCTCCTCTGACCTCCTTGGATGGACCTCCAGTCTAGAGTGGGGCATTGATGGCCTGTTTCCAAAGCATGTAGCACCATCCTAGAACTTCTTGTACTATTATATTAAGAAGTCCAAATAAACTTTTTGCCACTGAACTTTAAATTCCTTGAGGAGAGGGATGGTGTCTGGTTAACTGTCGCATCCTCAATATATGATCAGGCACGTAGTAAGTATATGTATAGAATCAGATGTGTAAATCTCATAGACTCAGAGATCCAAAGGTTGGAGGGCATGTGAAAATATCTGCGTTTTCTAGCTGTTAGATAAGAATGGCATCTTCTCCAACATTTCACTCAGCATGTAGCATCCTTGCTCAAGGCCATCTTCATTAGGCATGTGATGAGTGGATGCATCTTCACCATGAGACTGGGCTTCTCTCTCAGGTACCCAGCACCACCAATCCAACAAAGATTTTGCCACATTCATCAAAAAGATCTGAATTCATGTGTCCACGGTTTGAGGAGCTAAGATAATGGCATTCTGACATATCAGCTGTGTCATTGTTAAGATAAAATTGATATTACTTTTGCCCACCGTTATGATGTTACTTTTGCCCACTGTTACAACAGAAGGGCTTTTTTTTTTGAGACAGAGTCTCCTTCTGTTGCCCAGGCTGGAGTGCAGTGGCACAACCTCAGCTCACTGCAACCTCCACCTCCCAGGCTCAAGTGATTCTCCTGCCTCAGCCTCCCAAGTAGTTGGGACTACAAGGTGTGTGCCACTACGCCCAGCTAATTTGTGTATTTTTAGTAGAGACGAGGTTTCACCATGTTGAACAGGCTGGTCTTGAACTCCTCACCTTAGGTGATCCACCCACCTTGGCCTCCCGAAGTGCTGAGATTACAGGTGTGAGCTACCACTCCTGGCCCAGAATGGAATTTTTAAACAAGATTTTGGCAAGATTGGAATCAAATCTGGCTGTCAAGTAATGGGCATTCAGGAAATCCTTGAAAATAATCCCTTACAGTTGTACTTGTAATGTGCTTTTTTCTGTATTTCCCCCAAGTTCTTACCATGGTCAATAGTGCCTCACCATCGCTGGCCATTCTCCCTCACTCTCAGAACATCAGCTGTGCTGGTCACCTTTTAGTTGCCTGAACAACCCAAACTTTCTCCCTCCCCTGGGCTTTTGAACATTCTTCTCCTTCTGAACTGGAAAGACTCCCCTGCTGCTCTGCTTCTCTACTGGGGAAGAGGCTCTTTCCCATGTTCTTTGTCTCAGCTAAAATGTGTCCATTGCCTTTCCATCTCAGGTCCCCTATAGGTTTTCTTCATAGAGATTATGATCATTTAGAATTATCTTAATTAGGTGCTTTGACTTTTCCCTCTCTTTTAAAATTCTTGTTTTGTCTATCTCTTGAACAGTAGCGTAAGGACTGGGGCAGTCTGTGATGTGTCTCTATAACCTGATACTGTGCCTAGCACAGAGTAAGTACCCAGGATGAATTCAGAGAGGCCAAGTGGCTTGCTCTCAGTCCTACCACCAGTCTCTGTTTACTGTGCACTACAGTTTGTTTGTTTCTCCCTGTCTGTACTATACTTTTCCTAAAAAACGGTACAATGAGACCCCAAGGCTTACAGAAGAAATAATATAAAGAATATTGCTACAACATGGATGGTGGTACTAAGAGAGAGTCTAAAATATTGTCTCCAAAATGCATGTGTCATATTTGTCTTTCCTTTTGAAAACCTAGCTGAATGATCAAGTTTAGGTCTGAAGCAACTGACTTTTATGAATGCCACCTCCATCTAAGCAGCAGTTACTGATTTTGAAGGAAGAACAGGGACATTTGGGGGATGAACCACATTTCTGCAGTGCTCCTTTTCTGTGCATGTTGCTAAATGCAATATGTTGGGGAAAAGATTGATTGCTTAAGGCATATTGTTTATACTGTATTACTTGGGTCTGATGGAAAAGTTCCTAACAGTGGTTTTCTTGCTAAAGATATGGTTTATGGGGAAGTGTGGAATGTGATTTTTTGGTGGGACATCATCATGATTTAGGTGAACTCCAGAGAAATTTGATACTGGGAGAGGCCAGGAAAAACATGCAGGTCCATGAAGCTTCTTTAGCATTAGCCCTCAGTTCTTCATCAGATTGTAAATGCTCTCTGCTTTTAATTACCATCCTTATTCAGGCCAAGCTAATTGCTCTGGGCCAGACTGGAAAGGAAAATTCCCAGAAAGCCTGATATCTTGATAGAATGGTAGTGAGTTTCCTGAAGAAGACGCTAAGAAATCCTTAATGAATTAGCATTTCAACTTTTGTAACAGTATACTAAAGGAGTGGGGGGGTTGGAATCATAGATTTTTGACAGCTGTTTGCCATCATAGCACTTGACAATCTGCTTCTTATTTGGCTTTCTGGTATGTAAAAGCATGAAATTCTCAAGAAGTATTGATCACTGTATGACAATACGTATGTAACAAAACTGTATTGAAAAAACTTTCTTTTAAAAATGATATTCCTATTTGGTTACTAAAATGTGTGGGTCTTTTTATTTAGAAAATGTTGTGGTTTTGTTAAACATAAGTTATTTAAGGGTTAAAATAATCTTAATTTTAACTATTAATGTTACTGAGAACAGATTTTCAACCAAGTACAACTGAGTGCAAACAGGAACAAACTTGGAAAAGAAGATTAGTGGTTGGGAATGCAGAGACACAGCAAGGGCTGGGCCTTGGCCACAGTACATACATTCACAGAGGCCCTTTGCTATATTAGCAGAGCCAGACATTTTTGTAAGGTCTGGTGATTTCCCCAGACTTCATGGAATCTAGATTAAGTTTGCCAATTTCCCATTTCTCTGGAGATGATAATCCAACATAGGGCTGAATTAGGAACACTCAGAATGTGTGGGCTTGATGGTTCTCTTATTAAGCTGGATTGCCCTTCTCTGTCTGTAGCTGGTCAGTAAACAGGAGAGTCTACTCTTTGGCCATCAGTGTTCTAGGGACACTTGCAGAACCAGATGTAAAGTTACCTAGTTCATTGACAAAAGACATCTACTGAGCTAAAGATTAGTCCCTATGCTGGCCAATGGGATAAGTGTTCATTTTTAGGAAATACAGCCTAAGTCCTTGCAGTGAACAATCCAAGCCAATTCGGTAATTTGTACATGTTAAAATATTTTTAGTAGTTATTGGCATCCTCCAACATTTAGCAGTGAGGCTGTAACAAGTCTCAGGCCAATTCTGCCATCTATGCAGATATTTATTAGCAAGTATGCACAAAAGCCAACTGTTTTAAAGCTCAAGGAGGTTCCAGCTCTTTATCCTTCAGGTGTTCTGATGGCCCCTTGCATCAGAGCAAATGCATTATTTGCAAGAGTCAGCTAACGTTCTATTTGGAGTCAGGTAACTGAGAGGCCTGAGTCAGCAGCTGAAGGCAAGACTGTTTAAAAATCTGGCCAGGGGGCACTATTTCTAAAGATAGAGCTCCCAAAGTACTTATTTGGGTGTTTGCAGAGAAAGGCAAGGCTCCTGCAGCATATTGAACCAATCCACAGAGTGGATATGTCCAGTTTTACCAGTAAGAGTTCACTTCTAATATCCATTGTGGTAATTGAGAAAATTTTTGGTGTTGGTCAGAGATAAATACCCATAGCACATGCAACCATTTGTTTAAATACTAGCTGGAAGGTATATTCCTAATGAGGTCAATTGACCATTTTTGATATATAGACTAAAATTAGCATTCACATTTGTATCAAAACATCTACTCTGAAGTATTCTACAGTAAATTCCATAGCATATAACAATGCTGTATTATATACTGTTAAGGTTTCTTTTGTGAAATGGAAAGAATAGTGGTGGTGATCTCATAGAATTGTGAAGATTTAAAAACATAATATTGTTTAGCACTATGCCACGCCTATATCAAGTGCTCAATAAGTGCTAATCATTATTATGTAGAAATTCAGGATAACATTATTACTTATTGTTCCATATAGAGTTTTTGTGGAGTGAATTCTTCCTTCGTTTTATTTTGGACTTGCCAAGTTCTGACACTCTCCAAAAGAAAAGGGAAAAGACTGGGCCATGCATGTGTTTCCCTTCCCAGCAGAAGAGCATTCAGAGTCATCTTCACTCTTTGCGGTCAAGGCCCCTGCTGTAGGTCGTGTGTCCAGCTTGTCCTGCCTAAAAGCATCATGCCATGCTTGAGAAAAAGAAAAAAAAAAGTCTACTGAAGCCATCACCTCTCCTTGTCTCAAAAGACTTTATGACTACATCATTTAGAAACGACTAGAGTAAGAACCAAGAAGCTTGAGAGGAAAGGCTGAGCTGTGCAAATTGATGATGCACTTCTGAAGCATCCTTCCTAACGGTGGAGTAGGGCAGGTGTCATCTGAGTAGCACAGCAAGAATAACTGGGGTACTAAGAGCTGCCATTATGGGGCAGGTAAAACGCACACCAGACCCTGTGTTACGAGCTTTTGCATGTGTCAGATAGGCCCTATTATCTCCATTTACTTGATGAGGAAGCTGAGGTTTAGAGAGATTGAGGATTTTGCCTAAGGAAATGGGATAATTCATGGAACAAATGGAATTCAACCTTGGGTCTTCTGCCCAGGTGTGAGACTGTGACCTCAGATTCCATGTTACATGCAAGAAGGTCTCCTGCATACGTGTGTGTCCTCTGAGGCCGCTTTTAAGGAACTGCCAAAGTCTTTAGAATGCCTAATGGGAGATTAGAAATGTTGTTCCTGTTCCCACAAGTTTGAGTTATATCACCTCTACTGAATTAAAAAAAACCCATGGTACCCACTTTGAGATATGAAAACACTGGAGCCAGCCGGGCACGGTGGCTCACACCTGTAATCCCAGCACTTTGGGAGGCCAAGGCAGGCAGATCACTTGAGGTCAGGAGTTCAAAACCAGCCTGGCCAACATGGCGAAACCCCATCTCTACTAAAAATACAAAAATTAGCCGGGCATGGTGCCGTGTGCCTGTAATCCCAGCTACTCGGGAGACTGAGGCAGGAGAATCACTTGAACCCGGGAGGTGGAGGTTGCAGTGAGCCGAGATCGTGCCACTGCACTCCAGCCTGGGTGACCGAGTAAGACTCCATCTCAAATAAATAAATAAATAAATAAAAATAAAAATAAAAATAAATAATGAAAACTCTGGAACCTAACTTGTCCTGAATTATGTTTCCCATAGCCTTGGCAACCCAAGGTAGGAAACTTTAAATTTTGCAACATGTATCTCTTACATGGAGAGTTCTCTGTGCTATATTAAATGACAGAAGGAAAACTCAGCTCATCACACTTGTAAAAGAAACCACAGCATTCCTAGGTTTAAATGTTGAGTCATAACAATTCTATTTGATGGGCTTTTAAATATCTTGGAATTTGCATTTTGAATGTGTTAAACATCACAAAAGGATTTTGATGGTGTTATCACAGCAAATACTGTAATCACATCCTATAATTTATATAACCCCAACTGCTGTCAGTATGTCAAAAATCATGAAATGTTATTCATGATACACACAACTTCTCTACTGAAGGAAATTGAGGGTCCTGAATCAAATTCCTTGAGGGCATTTTTAATGACTTTGTATGGTAAGTCTGTCCACTGTGAAGGGTAGTCAGGCAAGTCAAGCAGTGGGTTAATAAGTAGATCAAAGCTTCAAATACTCAGTTGAACAAGCCAAGGTGTCCGGAAGGCAGGCCAGGGCAGAGAGGTAGACCTCTGAACGGAAGCAAGTTTAGCAGCCTGGGAACACCTGCATTGCAGAGTGCAGCAGTGATCTGCGGCTCGTGCTGGAGGCCTTCCAGGAAGCAGGCCAATTAACCTTGGGGCTAAGAGTTGGTATCTTTTAGAAACCTTGCCTCTGGTCTGAACTTTTGTACCCAGACTACTCTAGATGGGGGCCGGAAGGAGAAGCCGTGACATTGTCAGACTTTTTTTTTTTAATAACCGAACTCTGTTTTGCTCCCCCCAAATAGTCACTTTGTCTTATTAAAGAAGAGATGATCAAATGTAACCTCATCCCTCCATGCACAATTATTTGCAAATGTTCACCTCCAAATCAGTCTTATATTCAAACATAGTACCAAACTTCTGCAGGAAAGGAGTTGGGGCCATCAAGATGTGAAAGGTGTAGGGAGTCCAGTGCAGAGTTGCAATGAAAGAGGGGAAGAACAGAAATGTTCCGTAGAAGAAGATGGGACAAATGAAAAGAGCAAGTTTGCCTCCTGAGAGAAGAGGGAGCAGCAGACTTCGTGAGCAGGCAGGGGACCTGACCCCAGATGGGCAAAGTGACAGGATCTTTTCAAGAGCAAGGATAGCTCCTATTTAATTTCATGCTATTTGCTCTGCTATAGTGAAAACCTCTGCACCTTCCTGAAAGTCCACCACATTTTCACAAAGGCCTCCAAGAGTGGTTTTTGGAGGACATCATGGGAAGTTTTAGTTTTGTACCTCTCTACACTCTTGGGAAGGGGGCCAGAGAGTGTGCATTAGGATGGTGAGGTAGTTTACAAACAGAACAAATCTAGCAGGAGCTCAGAACCAGAGTAACTGCACAGCTGCAAACACCATCCTTCCGCAGGACCACAGTAGCCACCAGCAGAGCCATGGAGCTTCTTCCCACATGGGATTGGTTGGGATAAGTTACTGCTAGTCCCATTGTTAGAATATCTTGACTGAAAGATATGTTTCTGCCAAATGTTCAATAGGTTATAAAATGCAGTGATTTTAAAAAGGGTCAGAAGATGTCCATTTTGATTTTTTTTCTCCCCTCCTATGTTATGTAACATCTGCTCCTCAGCTTCTCCAATTGAAGAATGGGAAGATTGGCCTTCATTAGGAGATCTCAAAAATCTGACATCCAGCCATGTGTGAATTTCAAGCAGTCTGTGATCCCTCCCATCAAAACTTGTACATGTGCATGTCTTATTATTTCATTTTATTTATTTTTTTTGGTAGAGGAGGCTGTCATCCTCCAAAATGTTAAGAACTATGGGAACAGATCTCTTATGTTTAGTCTAGCTATATGGGCCTCTCTTGTTTTCTTTTGTTGTAAATTGCTTCTCTTTGTCTACCTAAATGACAAGCAAAATACATGAATTATTTTCTGTAGGGAAATTGAGAAGCCAACAAGCCTGAATGCAAATCCTGCATGACATGTCTTATTGTACAGAAATGTCAGTGACTAGGAGAGAGACAAATCCACTGAAGACAGCCTTGGTTGGTACCAAAAGATAGTGGCCCAGATCCTTGTTATATCTTGTCCCTGGTAAATGAGGCAAACACCATGTCACTGGGTTTGAGACACAAGTCCTATTGATTCCACTCTCAGTATACATCTCATATATTTTCCCTTCTTATCATTAGCAATGTGCCATCTACCCTGTCTCCTGCCTGGAACATCCCTGCAGACTTCTAAGTGATCTTTTGGGTTCACTCTTAACACTTCCAGCCTTCTCCCTGCCATTATTTTAGTTCCTGGGAGGTGAGCACCCAGCCACCCTCTGCCATCATGGTCCTTTCTTGTTTCCTGGCTAACACTTACCTAATCTTTATGTTTCAAGTTACAAATCCCTTCCCTAACTCCTCAAATAGAAAGGGACCACCTATTACTCTCTCATAGAACCACTTCTTGTTCTTGTTAGCACTTAGCACAGCTTATTATTATTACGTATTGCTTGGGCTATTTTTAAATTATGCGTGGTAACTCTAGAGTAACGGTCACTAAAATAAAGTCTGGGTCACTAACTGACATTTTTTTGTTTACCACTCTGTTCCCAGTACCTAACACAGTACCATACAAATGGTAATATGGATGAATGAATGGTAAAATAGTGTCCACTTGGGAGAACCTGATTTTACTCTTGTTATAGTTGAATCTATTTACCTAATGCTTCTGCAGTCCTTTAAGTCTCTTTTTAAGTACTGCCTCTTCTGGAGTCCCCTCCCTGCACTGGCTCCATGGGCCAGTTATTATACAATACAGTATGGTTATCTTTATTTACTCCTGTGTCTCTTCACTTTGTAAGCATCCCAGGACTGAATCATGCCCAAGTCTCTCATGTCCACAGTCTTCCTTGGCCTAGGCTTTATAGATATTTGGTAGGTAAATAAATAGCAAATAACTATATTATTAGTCCTGATAAGTTTAAATCTTAAAAAACTGTGAATGTAATGCACTTATCACTTAGCTATAACCTAGTTGATAAACAGTATGTAATTTCACACCCATCTGATTTATCCATGGTTAAAAAAACACACAACTGATTTTACATATGGAATGTTGAAACTGGGAGCACATACGGTGACACCTCAGAGAGCCTGCATCTTACATATCTTTGCATGTGGCTCACATGCCCAATACTCCTATAAATGTTTGTTGTGTGAGTGAATGAGTCCATGAATGTATGACTTCAACTTGCTATCACTTTTGGTATTAGATTTTCAAATTTCCCAACATGGAGATATGGAAGCCATTGTTATTTGAAATAACTCTGTGTTTGTTACTCATTTTAGTTAGCAACAAAAAGATGAAAACGATCAAATTTTACCATTCCCACATGTTTCAGAGCTTTTCCCTTCTTGTGGTTGTTTCCTGAACACACATATTTGAGGGAATATTCAGTACTCATAACGCGTTTAAAGACAATTGCCTTGAGTTTTGGAGCAATTGAATTCTGAAATAGCTCATTTGTATTAGTTATAGGTAAGAAGCTATCCAGATAACAATACAGTCTGATTCTGTTGGTGTAAACCACCTTATCAGTTGAAATTCATTGCTTCATAAAATCATTTAAGCCCCCTCATATATTAATTTAGATCACCGTT
Source organism: Homo sapiens (assembly GCF_000001405.40). Taxonomy (NCBI): domain Eukaryota; kingdom Metazoa; phylum Chordata; class Mammalia; order Primates; family Hominidae; genus Homo; species Homo sapiens. Next base: position 54,787,337 of record NC_000003.12, read on the forward strand.
AGGATTTTTTAAAAAAATCTAAATCATGATGTATCTTTTATTTTCCTTAAGAATCTGGACCAGAAGCACAATTGATTTCTTCACATGAAACTGGAAGGTAGCTGTTCTAGGGGAGAAAGGAAACTTTTCATCTACCCTCTTAGATTCAGTGACCAAAGCTGATTAATTAAACTGACAAAAACAGATTATTAGGAGAAAGGTTTATTTCATATGCACATGGGGGGCCACACAGGAAAGAAGTGAAAACTTTAAAAATTAGTTAGGCCTTTGAGTTTATATACTGTTTTAACAAAGGGTAATAAATTATGGAGAAGTGACAAGACAAAGGAAAGGAGGTTTAGGCTTCTAGGGGTGGCACATTGTGGGAAGGTAAATAGGGAAGACAAATGGATGATAAGGATTATTTAGTAAAGTTTGCTATGCAGACGAAAGTTAGTGCTGTTTCCAGTGATAAGAGTTATTGCCTCTTCCTGGTACAGGAGAGGGGAAGGCAAACCTTCACAACAGGAAATTTGTGTCCAAATTTTAGGCAGAAAAGGTAAAGGACACATAATTCCTCCTGCATCTGCTCTTTCTCAGTTGCCTTCAGCTGAAAATAATCTTTATGACAAAGTGGCATATTTTGGGGTGGCATATTCTGATCCCTGTCACTGTTTATAGTCTTCCACTTATTAGCAACTTCCTAATCATTGCTGTTGGCTTCTGATGGCCGCCATTTTATACTGCTCTGTCCCCAATACTGTTACTGCATTTATATACATTTCCTTATTAATTAGCATCCTGCTGTATTCTGTGACTTCATATTTTCTTTTATCTTTTAACTGAGTAATCTCATCTGTCAGTCATGATATTACTGTGGGTCATAAGGGTTTGAAAACCTTTTACCTTTTTTGTACCAGTGTTGGACATGGTAATCTTAAGGAAGGCTGTTCCTCAATATAGCCTGTTGAGGTGAACATGTTTGGCTGATTTTCTTAACTGGTTTTGTCTAATATTCCTTGCCTGATTGTTCAAGATGTCTCACCACCAGTCCGTGACTAAGTGTGGGGGAAGATCTGTCAGGGCACCCAGACACCTTAGAGCCCCAAGTCTCTAGATGTCTTCTTTGTGGTAATTACCTTCCTCTTAGTATCCATTCAAGGAGCCAGTCGGAGGTGTCCAAAAAATCACTTTTGAAACTCTCCAAATGAGGAGTGGAAAGCCTGGGGATACTGAGGAACTGACCTTTGTCCCTTTCAACTTGGTGCTATCAGTGACCACACCCCAGAATTTCTGAGGCTCCTTGACAACTCAATGGACATTGACGAAAGAAGTTTGAAGACTGAGGCTCCAGCCTGTGCTCTGCCATGTGCCCTTATATAAATCACTTCCTTTTTCTGGGTCCAAGTTTCTCTACTTCATTGGGTCAGGTGCTATAAAATTTATATTGTATAACAAAGTTAAAGTGCTGATACTGTGAATATTTAAAATATTCATGTGAAGATAATCATTGCAGTAATGACTCAGTGGGTTGAATTTGCCTACTCTAAGTATTCTTAGGTATTCATTTCTAAAATATTTCTCCAGAAATTCTTAGTACCTGGTATGTAGGAGACATTTAATAAGTTTTGTTGAGTGAAAAGAAAACCTTACCTTTCCCTGGGTTCATGCATTGTTGATTGAGCGGCCAAAAATAATGATAAAAATTACAGCTGCATTTATTGAATGCTCACAGTTGGCCAGGCACAGTTCAAAGAGATTAACACATAACTATATGTCAAGAATATTTCTAAATAAATGTAACATTAATATTTTATTTAAATATAAGCATATCATTAAGTATAAATATATAACAGTCTTATGAGATAGGTATTATTGTTATCCCTATTTTCAGATGATAAAACTGAGGCATTGAATAATTGAATAACTTTCCCAAATATCTATTCCAAGATATGTGTTTTAAAAAAACTGTGTCCTTTCTGAGTAGAATGCAAATGTTCAAAAATAAAACTGGTGAGTTATTAAAGCATTAAGACATTTGCCCTTTATCTGAATAATCCCTGGCTTGTCCTTTGCTGAAACTTTGAGCAGCATGATGTTGGAATTCCTTTATGATAACCAAGTGGAGATTCCTGACACCGTAAAGGTATGATCATGTGCTTGGTGCTGAATAAAGTTTGTGAGCACAGCCAAGGCCCAAATGCTTCTCAGATCTGTGTGCACTACCATATTCAGTAAGTAGGCTGGGAAAATCCATGAAGCTATTTCCAAAATCAAACTGTTTTGCCAAGCTTGCTTTCTCTCCTCTTAATTGTGAACCCAGGGTTATTTGGACGGAAAGTTGATCTATGCCTCTGTTTCATTTACTCATTACTCATTAAACTGCTATTTAATTCTAGGTATATGAGTTGTCAGAGCTTTCTCTAAAGCTCCTCTAAACCAAAATTTAGATTTTGGATTGAGGCAGTGTTCACTGAGGCCAGTTTGGCTCACATCTAAAGTGAGCCCGAGCTTAAAATGAGCTGGGGCTTGAGGGATCTCCAGGTCAGGCCGAGCAAGTTAAGGTGACACAGGCTGTTTCAGGGGTCAGAGCCCATTCCTCTGTTTTGAGATTCACCCTCTGTGTTCTCCCAAAGAATTGCAATATGGAGCTATTCGAGAAAGAGTCAAATAAACATCTTGTATAATGAGGAATGATTTCACTTTCCTTCCTACTTAGGTATTTATGTCACTTATGGAGTGATTCCTGGATTACACTTTCCTGGCTGGAGTGTACTAGGGTAGTTAGGAACACAGGCCCTGGAGCCAGAGGACCCGGTTTCAAATGCTTGCTTTGCCACTTAGCAGCTGTGCCATCTGAGACAGCTTGCATAACCCTTCTGTGCTTTTTATCACATATAAAAGGGGGATAATGATAGATACTGCCTGGCTTGCTTGTTGTCAGGGTAACTGGTGCGGTGTCCTCTCCTAGGGACCTGCCTTCTCCCCTCTCATCTGCTGGTGCTGTGGCAGCCAAAGTAGGGTTGCCTGCTGCTATTGCAAAGCAACAGTCTAACACGTACATACTGTTTAGCATCCATGTGAAAAGGAAAAGGTTCCCATGAGCCAAGCTGGTGAAGTAAGTGTGCAGAGAAGACTGAGTATAACACAATGGGGGTAAGGGTATATGTGACCTATATGTAGCATGCATGTGTCATCTAAAGGTATTTGTTTCACAAACTTTAAAAACAGCTAGGGCCAAATGAAACTCTACAGGTGCACCTTCTAGGTGCTCGGAATTCCTGATGCCTGATTATGCCATTCACACCTTTTCCTGTACTCCAGAACTTCAACAGCTAGAATAGCAGCAGAACACATCTCAATCTCTCTATACCTAGAGCCCACCTTCCAAGTTCATTGTCACTCGCACCTCTGGAGCCTGATCATGCTTGAGCCTGAGCCCCTAGTGACTCACTGAGCTGGTGCTGTCACTGTGTGCCCTCCTACAGTCCACCATCCAGAAGGGGCTTTTCTTTCTTGGCCATGCTCAGGGCTGTCACTATTGCTAGGCAGTGTCAGTCAAGGTGAAAAGGATTGTGGAGTTTCAGGTTGAGTTTGCCCTGAAAAGCACCATCTCCACAGTCAGAAATTCTCACTTCTGTGGTGTCTCCTGCTGTGCACTATTAACCAGCCCATTGGCCTATCGGTACTTCATTTCCCTGTCTGATTTTGGCACCTTCTTTGTATTTTTTTTTTTAACTTTCTGTTATGGGTAGTCTATGGATGTTCCTCCAAGAAGAGTTTCTTTCTCTGAGCTCTGCTCACTCAGCAGAATGCCTCCACATGACAGATGCCTGGGAAACATGTCCTAATCAATTGATTCCATCTTAGGTCCATCACCAGGAATTTGCTAACATCCGTGTGCATATGACATTATATGAGGACTGATACAGATGTGGGTTACACCCATTTATTATTATTTCTCAATGTTCAGTAGGAATATAAAGGGTTCCCAGAGGGTGTAAGAACCACCTTAGACCCTGAGAAACAAGGGCAGATGTATTCAGAGCAGATGCAAAGACAGAAATATGGAGGGAAAATAACAAGGAAGAGAAATGCAAGCTAAGTTCATATGTGATTAGACATTTTCCATTTTTAGCCTCATGGCTTACATTTGCATAATTCTTTTAAAAAGAAAAATTAATTATTTATGACTCTAGCTTTTAACCAAACCGTGCATTTAAAGTAATCACTCTGGGTAATTTAAATAAAATCTTTTCTGTAAATAGTTTATGCTCATTAGAATGAGAAAACTGTTGGTTTATTCAATTAAAAGGACATTATTGCCAGTTTGGATTCTCTCTCTTTTTTTCCACTTCAAAACAGAGGGCAGTCACATTGAGACAGATGGGACTTAATTAAGTTGTCTCAAAAGTAACCAGATTTTGCTTTAAAAAAAAATTTAAAGAGGACAGATTCCAGAAGACTTTTCAAAAACCAGATCACCATTTTAGAGTTCTGAAGTTTTTACCCTTTACTCTGATGGATAGTCAGTACAAACATAAGTTTGTTTCCTGGCAAGCATGTAGGACTTTTCACATGAGCCCAGCAGCAATCAGAGAAGATGGTTCTAAACAAAGCTCTGCCCTACTGTGATCTGTAAAGAATGCAAAAACAATGAACCTGCTTGGTGCTTCTGAATGTAGGTAACACCATTCACTATGGTAAAGAGGCTTTTCCAAAGAAGCCATCTGTATTTTCAGGATATTATTATCTTTTGTTTACTGGTTAGTTCCCTGAATATCCATGGTTCGTGACAGCTCCTGGAGAGTGTGACACCTGAGTGTTTTCCCAGAACATGGCAGGTGTGTAGCTCTGCACTGAAGGGTGAGCAGGCAACTGATGCCTGAGGTCTATGTTTGGCCCTCCTTTGCTGTAACATGAACAGTGTTACAGTAATTCTGATTGAATTGGGATCAGGGAGCCCTCTCACTCAGTCCCTTTGGTTCACCTGTGGCATGCAGAATTTTGGGACTCCATAGAGCAGAGTTCATGAACCACTGGAATAGATAACTTATAATATGTTGACATAGTGAATCAGGCTTCTTTGGCTGTGACAGAATTCCAGGTTGGCCAGACTTGTGTGATTAAGGAAAATCAATTGAATCATAAAACTGAAATGTCAAAGTATAGCACTACCTTCAGGTGTGGCTAGCTCTAGGTGGCCAAATGCTGTCAGGAATCTGCCTCTTGCCATCTCTTGGCTCTGTTTTCCTCTGTGTGGTTTTATTTTCAGATGAGGCTTTTTCCCCTGTGTGCAGTCAAGATCGTCATCAGCAGCTCCAGATTTTTATCCTACCAGTATAGCCCTCTGCCCTCAGAAGAAAGAAATCCGTTTCCTCATGGTTCCAGCTAAAGCCCTGGTGCCCACACTCAGGGATTTTACCACCTGCTTATCTCTAACTGAACCAGTCATGTGGTCAGCAAGATGGAGAGTTCTGATTGGCCAGGCAGGAGTCGCGTGTCTACCCTTGGATTTAAGGGAAGGTGGAGTCAGCTCCTTCCAACTGCAAAATCTGAGAGTAGGGGCTGGGTTTTACCTCAAAGGCAAATCAAAATGCTGTTGCCAAAAGGAGGGACAGATTCAGTGCAGGCAAAAAACTGCTGTTTTCTACAGACTCCTTTTAGATAGAACAGCCTATGAGCCTAAGCAAAACCTGTTACTTTTCTTCTACATCCATGGAGATTTTGTTTATGTCCAGTGATGGGAGACTTATACCTCTGAAGAAAAGAAACTGATGTTTGTATAAAGAGGAAAAGGACTGGGGAGTGAGGGAGAGTAGAGGAGATGACAGAAAATAGAAAATGCCAACCCATCTCAACCATCCAAAGTTCAGTCATCTTTCTAGGAAGGAAGTGAATAAATTATATTTTTTCCTGTCGTCGTAAATACTTGTTGGTTTACCACCCGATATCTCCTGTGAGAAGTGAAGTGAGAGCCAAGACTGTAACAGGTTTTATCCCTTTACTTCCTGTGCTCTGTGCAACTGTTTGGCAAGGGTTTTTTAAGCTCTTGTTTCAACCAACTTCTGTCTAAATGCCCAGAATTCGTGGCTGTTTGAGCTACTTAAGCTTTTCAAATGTAGGCAATGGGGATATATCTGTGCGAGAGGTTTAATAATGAGATGGTTTGGCCTGTGTGGCCTCAGCATACCAAATCTTCATCTCAAATGTCTTTCAGAGAGAGACAGAGTAACGGGGTCAGGTTAGAGCAGCAACCACTCTTGGTGATGATGGGGCAAAAGCCTCTTACAGCCCTCGCCTAGAACTCTAATGGATGAGGCCATCCCCCACGTAACTCCCTTTGTCTAGGTCAGTGTAGTGCAGTGGCTTTGTAGAGAAAGCTGGGTTGTATTTGTTTGTCGGGTTTTAATAATGCTGATGTAATAAAATGAGTTGGGATGTATTTCCTTCTTTATTTTCTAAAACATGTTTTTGTTAGATTGCTGTATTTCTTCTTGAATGTTTGTTAGAATTCATTAATGAAACTATTTGAGCCTGGAGCTTTCTTTGTGGGGAAGTTCCTCATTCCAAATTCATTTTCTTTTGTAGATATAGGGCTATTTAGATTTTTTATTTCTTAATATCAATTTTTCTCATTTGTGTTACAAGGAGTTTGTTCATTTCATCTAAGTTATTGATTTATTGGCATAAAGATGTTCATAATATTCTCTTAGATTTCTTTTAATGTCTTCAAGATCTATGGTGATAACTCCTCTTTCCTTGATATATAAGAGCAAATTTTATATATAATGATCACACATATATACATGCATGTATCTATATATTATGTTTTTATTCTTTTTCTACATCATTTTGAATTGAATGTTTTAACTTCCATTTTATCTCCACTTCTGACCCAATAATAGCTACACCTCTTAGTTGTTTCTTTTGAGTGATTGTTAATTATTTGTGCCTTTAACTTCTCACAGTCTACCTTACTTATAGTGGAAGAAACTTACAACAGTATACCTGCAATGCCCCCCTTTCACACTATACGCTATTATTAAGATACTTTTTACTTCCACATATGTTATAAACCTCACAATACATTGTTTTTATTTTGCTTCAAATAGTTAATAAAGTGAGGAAGAAATCTTATAGTTACCCACATGTTTTTCATTTCTGGTGCTATTTATTCTTTTGGATATACTCAAGCTTCCAATTGGAATAATTTTTCTTCAGTCTGAAGAATTTCCTTTAATTTTTCCTATAGTTCACCTCTGCTGGCAGTGAGTTCTCTCAGATATATTTTTTTTTTTTTTGGTATGAAAGCATTTCTACTTTGCCTTCTTTTAGAGTGTTATTTTCACTAGATACAGAATTCTAGTTTACAGTTGTTTTCTTATAATACTTGAAAGTGGCTGCTCTAGGGTCATTTGGCTTGTATTCTTTTTGACGGGAAGTCACTGATAATTCTTACTCGTCATCCCCTAAACCTATGTGCCTTTATTTTATTAGCTGCTTAAGATTTTGTTGTTATGATATGTTTTCAGCAGTATTACACAGTGCCTTGGTATTGTTTTCTTTTTGTTTATTTTTCTTGAGGTTCATTAACCTTCTTGGATTGGTGGGTTTATAATTTTTATCAAACTAAAGATATTTAGTCATTATTTCTTCAGATATTTTATTTGTTCTGCACTGCTCCAAAACCATCCTGGACTTTTAACTGCACATTTATTCATCTACTTGATATTATCCTACTGGTTACTGAAGTTATTTTTCAACTTTTTTTTCTCTGTGTGCTTCATTTCTTATTGTTTCTATTGCTGTGTCTTCAGGCCGATTACTTCTTCTGCCATGTCTCATCCTTTGTTAGACCCATACAGTCACTTTTAAAAAATTTTAAGTATTGTATTTTTAAACTTTAGGAGTTCCATTTGGTTTTGGTTTTTATTGGTTTTTGATTTGGCTTTTAATTTTTATTTATCCCTTTATTGTGTTCATGTTTTCTTTTAAGTCTTTTATTAAATTTTAGCAGCTAATTTAAAGTCTGTGTTTGTGAATTTTATCATTTCTGTGTATATGTTACCTATTGATTGTTTTACCACTTATGAGTCACATTTTCCCATTTATATAGTAATTTTTGAACAGATAATGAGCATAATGACATTGTGATGGTGGGCATTATGTTTCTGAGTGTCTGGATTTTGTCTATTTTAAAGGAATGTTGAGTTTTGTTCTGGCAGTCAGTTAACTTACCTATATATCACCTTGGCCCTTAAAAAGCTTGTTTCTAAGTCTTGATTAGGTGGGTATGGCATATCTTTCACTCTAAGGCAACCATTTTGTTGCTCAATTATTGAGAATCCAATTGGCATTTGGATTTCTCTAGTTTTTAAATGTGAACTTCAGAAGCAAATCTGCCTCTTTGAGGTTTGGGCCCAAGAGCCACTGATAAGACCTGACTTTCTATACTAAGAGAAAAAACTCCCATTGAATTGTAAACACCAGTAGGAAATACCGATATTTGTTAAGAGTTACTCTATTTCATGATTTAATTGTAAATTAATCAACGGCAGGAAAAATTCCACTGAAAATACACATAGATTTCAAAATCATAGGAACATGTGTTTGGCAAAGTGTGCTTGAAGATTGCCAAACCCCAGACTTGGGGGCTGGGGAACAAAATGTAGTTTGAGAGAATCAGCAATCCCAGCATATTAACAGACCTCCCTTTCACATAGGACCAAAATAAGCCTGAAGTGGTATGGTAGTCAGTGTGTCAGCAGGCTTGAGTGGAGAACAAAGCTCTTTGCTAGTCTACAAGGAGACCACTTCATTTTTATTTTTACCTTGTATTCCCTTCATTATCCATTAACAGAGTACTTTAAGTTTTTAGGGAAAGAGCAGCCAGACTATTTGACTTGATTATACTATCAGATCAAAAAACAGGCTTTGGAGTCAGTCTCAGTGTCCTCATTTGCAGAGTGAAGATGATTGTACTTGAACCCTAGAGTTCTCAGGGGGCTTTCTGTGAGCATGCATAGATCCCTTAGCACCTGGCCTGCCTTGGAGTAAGCACTCAGCTTGTGTGAGTTCTCATTGTTAGCCACTGGATCCAGTCTTGACTTTGAGAAGTGCTTATGTGCACAAAGAGAACTAATATCAGGCAACACATGGCTTTGGTAGTTCTTTCTCTGGCCCAGTGAACATAATATATATTTACCAATGGGCCAAGGTAAAAACAATATGTAAGAGAATGAAATGTTCATAAATTTTCCCAAGAAAAGAACTTCACTTAGACTAGAATCACAGCATTCTTCACAGACTAAAATTATAGAGCTGAAAGTTCCCTGAAGGATTCTCTAATCAGGAGCATCTCACAGAGGACTGTCTGTCTCCCACAGCTCACACCTCTACTCTGGACTGGCCATTTACTGTGTTCACTTCCGTGAGACACAGACTTCATGGATAAAAGAGCTACATAGTCACTTACTTTTATTTAATAGCTTATTACGTTTTTCATAGGAGTAAGGAAATGGAAGGACAAAATTGAACCTTTCAGTTTACATAGAGATAGGGCTGCCACAGAGCTCCGTGTGAAGGCATCATTTCATCAGCTGTATCAGCTGTTTTCAAGAGCAACAGGGAACCCATTCTTCTGGAGATGCTTCTCCAGAGCTGTCTTCTGAATTATACCCCTAAGCCACTTAGTTAGAGCAGACAGCTTTTTAACATGGGATTCTTTAAGATCATCTTTCAAGTGACCCTAGAAGATGGACTGTTGTCATCAGACCACTTGTGATTTGCTAAATGATGCTCTCTGTCTTGAAGGCAGCCATTGGTAAATTTACACTGGAACAAGCTAAAGTGACATTGTGTCTTTTGTTTCTAGGGTAAGTTCTAGATCAACAAGAGACACAGGGTTGTCTTTCTTCCCCTGGCTGATGATATACTGAGACAGTGTTTCCCAGGAATGTATCTCTCTTTGTTCAGGAATGTTCTAACAGTAACCATGCAGCCAAGGAGACAGAAGAACACAATGATGAACCTGGCATTTGCCCTTGCTGTGGCCACCTCCTATTGTACAATTTCAGTAGGTGGTAGAAGCCCGTGTCACTGTGATTAACTATCTTTAGGGAGGCCTCTCTACACAAAGCCACTATTTTGAGAGGCTTACGATTCAGCCATAAAAATCTGAGGACAGCATTTAAAGTTGTGGAAGATACGACAGTATCATATGGTATCATACGGTTTTTTTGGTCTCCCCACCACCCCCATTTTTGAGCCATTTCACTTTTGCAAGTTCTTTTTGAACTTTTTTAACTTGAGACATAGCAAAGCACAAAACATGATAAAAATATTTAAAGCACCTTACTGATTGTGTGACTTCTTGAGTTTGTAATGTCCTCTAAAGATGAGTTCCAGAGCTTTTGCACACCTTTTTGTCATTCTCTCAGTGACTCCCTTAAGAAAAAAGACTTTTATAAACCTTATGATAGCTATGTGATGTTCACCTTAGAGCTCTTACATCTAAAAACCTGTTTGCAAACTAAACCATTGCTATGCAAATGTAAAGCTCCATTATTGTTAAGTAAAAATAAGTAAGCCAAATAAGGAAGCAAATATAGACTCCAGGGAGTTGCTTGAGAAATCTGGAAGATCTGCTTTGTAATATTATATTTCATCCTAGAAGGTCCCACACCTTTGATAGGTGCCCCTCTCCAACTTTGAAAATCCCGTGAAAAGTGTGACACTTAAAATATTACTCACTTCAGCTACTGTATTATAAAGTTATCAAATATTATCTGTCTTAGAAAATTCATAGCTTTGCTGCTTTTTGATCATTAAACTTCTCAAACTTTGTAATTCTTCATTATGGCTACCAAGAATGTTAAAGCTATTTTACCCCAATGTCTTTACATAGTGTCATTTTCTATGAAAAGAATGGACCAGGCTGGGCATGGTGGCCCACACCTGTAATCCCAGCACTTTGGGAGGCTGAGGCAGGTGGATCGCGAGGTTGGGAGATTGAGACCACCCTGGCCAACATGGTGAAACCCCATCTGTACTAAAAATACCAAAAAAAATAGCCAGGCGCGTTGGCATGTACCTGTAGTCCCAGCTACTCAGGAGGCTGAGGCAGGAGAATTGCTTGAACCCGAGAGGCAGAGGTTACAGTGAGCCAAGATCATGCCACTGCACTCCAGCCTGGGTGACAGAGCGAGACTCCATCTCAAAAAAAAGAATGGACCAGAGTTTAGTAAGAAGAATGTCACCTCTTCCACTACAGCATGTGTTTCTATAATGTGAATTAGCTCCCACGTAATTGGTAAATAGAGAATGATGTTACTATAAGACAGAATCTCACTGCGTCATAGGGCATTTTTCCTGGACTGCTAGAGTTTTGCACCACTGAGGAAGCAACAGGTGATAGCAGAGTATACCAACCCACTAGCGAGCAGCAGCCTGCAGAGGGGCACATTTCAGCACACAAGAGTTTTTCACTTAAATCTTTTACTCTGGGCTCCAGCTGGTCACATGTTCTGTCTTGGGACATGTTCCCTGTTTGTTTCACCCCAGACCTGAGCCTTTTGCCCTTGCTCCATTACTCAGCTGCCTGAACTCTTCCTTAAACTTCCTGCCTTCAAGTTATTGACTCCTTCTTTAAAAAATGATAGAGTAATTTATTTTTTTAATCAAAACATGTCATTTTAATTGTGCTAATAGTTTATGAAAGTGGTGATTGTTTTTGTTTGGTGTTCTGGTTACCAAGTTTCTAAGAGTTTGAGCTGTCTGTTCTAATCCTATTTTTCCCATACATTCTGTTATTTTTAGTGTGCAATTTTACAGAAGGTGAGGTTTCTCACTGATATATATCATAACATAGCAGAAATGCCTGGAGTTGTACTTATTTCAGGCTAATAGTTGTTTTTATATTATAGACCAGGTCTGTGGCTAAAAAATATGGCACCAGCATAGTGCCTCTTGCTTTCTGAATGTGTAGATTGCATATTTATTTGATTCTGCCACCTCTGATATTTTTTGCTATGACAAAAACTGTTTATATACTCTTCCCACTGCAGACATGGAGGATGACTGAAGATTTTGTTCACTTTCCAATGAACAAAGTGTATGTGTTGGGGGAAGTTCTTTCTGTTTGTCATTCTTGGGGGCCCGGTATTTCTAGTTAAGTTACTATACAGATTTCTTTGTGGTTCAGCAGTTTGTCAGCTCTCTGCAGGTTCTCTCTTGAAGACATCTGTTGAGTGCAGTAATGGCTTCATTGCAGACTCTTGAGTTTTCACTAATTTTCTTCTGAAGGATTTTAATGCTGCCTTTTGTAGGGAATATGAAGACCCTTTCATCTTTTTGGAGAGTTTCAAGTTCTTTGGCTCCCATCTCCCCTGGTGAGGTTTTCCTTGGAGGACCATTCTGGCCATTATTGACTCTCTGGGTTCTCCATGTCTATAACCTGCCAAACAGGCTGTCTGCCTCACACAGCAAGTCCCATGTCTGTCCCAGGTGGCTGCAGAGCCAGGTTGACAGGAGGCTGAAAGGAAGTATCAGTACCTTCCTCTACTGTGTCCCCATTGGTACTTCTCTTCCTCTGTCCCTTTCCTCCCCTAACTTTCTCGGCATAGTGTTTCCTTATATAGACCTACATTGGCTCCAAGCTCACAATCTCAGAGGAATTACATGACATGCATAAATTATGAAACATTTTTTTGCAAATTAAGTTTTAATTAAAACCAGCAGCTTAGAGCATCCAACTGGAAGCAGTCACAATGTTGAAAAGTGACACTGGTAGGGTGGGAGTTCAGGAGAAGGTCTGAGTGGCTTTGCATCCTGTTTGGATATTTCCAAAATGAATGCTGCAGAAAAGAGCTTCCTTCCATATCAGACCCTCCTTAATCTACACTGCCGCCTTCGATGAATCCCTTTATGTCGTTAGACCCTGGACTGCCATGGGGACCAATATAATTTTCAAGCAGGAAATACAAATGCATCCTTATTGTAGTTTTATCTGGACTTTGCCAAATTTCCATCTGGTTCTACCAGTCTGCATTCTCACAGAGAACTGGCAGAACCTCCAGCTCCCCCACATTACCAAAACTCCAATTCAGATCACTTTTCAGCCGGATGATCACCCACAATAAGGCTGAAGAATGGCAATTTTAATTGGAACCTTATTTTTCAGATACAATGCAGAGTGAAAGCTTGATGAGAAATGACTTCTAATTGTGAGAATTTTCAGGACATTATAATGAGCAAAATGTGGGGGGCCTTCCCTCCACTGATACTCCTTAGCTATATGTAATATGAGACTTGTTCTGGTCTGCCCATTAATAATGCACATTTTTCAGCATCTCAAAGAATGTCTGCCATCAAATGAGTAATTTATGCAGGCTTGCCTTTCATCTAGGCAGGGCTGTACTACTAGAACAAAAACTCCAGATCTTTTCATTCAAAATTAAGTTTGAAAATATGACCTTCAGTGACCAGTCCACATTGCTGCTAACTAATCTGGTGTGGTGGACGGTGTGGTGCTCTTTGTAGACCTGTAGCAGAGCTAGCCACTTGGCCATTCAGGAATTTTGAAGTTTAATATTCTCTATGCCTTTAACTCATTCAGACCCTGGGAAAGGCTTATCCAGATAATCTGTATTTTAAAATTACTGGAATATCTTTTTTTTTTTTTTTTCTTAGACAGAGTCTTACTCTGTCACCCAGGCTGGAGTGCAGTGGTATGATCTCAGCTCACTGTAACCTCTGCTTCCCAGGCTCAACAGATTCTAACGCCTCAGCCTCCTGAGTAGCTGGGACTATAGGCACCCAGCACCACGCCTGGCTAATTTTTGTATTTTTTATTAGAGATGGGGTTTCACCATGTTGGCCAGGCTGGTGTCAAACTCCTGACCTCAAGTGATCTGCCCATTTTGGCCTCCCAAAGTGCTGGGATTACAGGGGTGAGCCATCATGCCCGGCCTGGAATATCTTTAAAAATGAAGGTGTTGGCTTGGCGGGGGTGGTACAATGAACATCAGAAAGAGAGAACCTTGCTCAGAGTGTAACTTGGGACAACTTTTCTTGAGAGTATTTGGACTGAAATGTGCAATACCCTTTAACCAGTAATTCACCTTCTTGAAAAGTTGAGAGGGTGCCTAACAATTTGACTACAAGGATGTCCATTACCGTGTCATTCATGTTAGTGACAGCCTAGATCTCTAATAATAAGAAATTTAATAAGTAACTTATTACATATTCAAATAATTTAAATATCATAAAGTGATTTAACATGAAGTTAATTGAGATCAGCGGTGGATATTAGCATCATAGGGAGCTTTAAATGTCTTTTTTTGGCCTATCTTTTATATCTAATTTTCTACAAAAAACCGGCATTACTTGTGTGATTTTTAAAAAGAAACACTTAGGAAAGTATATGTGTTGCCAAGAAGGGTCTTTCTGTTCATCTTTTCCTTGCTTTTAAACATACCATTGGAAGAAAAAAAAAATTGAAGTCCCATCCATACCCCAAACTAGAGATTGAGAAATCACTATTAAATTATGTATGTCCTGGTAAGATAATACCCAATTTCATAAAAGCAAGAAAATTTGGAATACATAGATACCATTTTACCCATAAGTCTTTCCAACAAAATTGGAAGGACTTACTGATATGCAGCAAAAATTAGAATGAGGACATGACTAGTTTTAAAGTAGTAAAGTCAGCTATGTTTGTTTGCTTTTATTGACCCTGTTTTTATCTTATCTTACCCCCTGCAGGGTTATCTCTCTACCTGTGTTCCTACTCTTTCCTCCTCCTCCTCTTTCAACATCACCATAATAGCAAGGGGTTAGCTGAAGCCATGCAACTGGGAGAGGTCACTCAATTAGGGATTATGGAGTGAGCAACAGGGTGCCCACATTTAAAGAGCTAGAGAAGGAAGGTGGAGTGAAGGAAGTAGCAGACTGGCACTCATGGGAAAGCTGGGGTAGGGAGGGGAGAAGATTCCAAGGAGAAGGATATTCAGAGAGATACCTTTTGTGTCCCTGACCTATCCAATATTATTATAAAAACCAGAATAGCTTCCAGACTTTGGAGAAATATGATGTCCCATGTGTTTGTAAGGAAATTTCATGCATAGCATTGGAAATCTTTTGAGGAAATTACTCCTGAGTATTTTTGAAGCTGAGCAAAGAGTTACAGAAATATTTTGTTGAATCCCTTTATTTGTACAAATAAAATCTAGTTGTGATCTGCCATGGTGTGTACCTAAGAGATACCCAGCTGCAAGTTTCTATGAAAATAGTAGTCCTCTGGGGGCAGGGCACAGACAAACAAAAAGACAGCAGTAACCTCTGCAGACTTAAATGTCCCTGTCTGACAGCTTTGAAGAGAGCAATGGTTCTCCCAGCATGCAGCTGGAGATGTGAGAATGGGCAGACTGCCTCCTCAAGTGGGTCCCTGACCCCTGACCCCCAAGCAGCCTAACTGGGAGGCACCCCCCCAGTAGGGGCAGACTGACATCTCACACGGCCGGGTACTCCTCTGAGACAAAACTTCCAGAGGAACGATCAGACAGCAGCATTCGCGATTCACGAAAGTCCGCTGTTCTGCAGCCACCACTGCTGTTACCCAGTCAAACAGGGTCTGAAGTGGACCTCTAGCAAACTTCAACAGACATGCAGCTGAGGGTCCTGTCTGGTAGAAGGAAAACTAACAAACAGAAAGGACATCCACACCAAAAACCCATCTGTACGTCACCATCATCAAAGACCAAAAGTAGATAAAACCACAAAGATGGGGAAAAAACAGAGCAGAAAAAAAGGAAACTCTAAAAAGCAGAGCGCCTCTCCTCCTCCAAAAGAACGCAGTTCCTCACCAGCAACGGAACAAAGCTGGACGGAGAATGACTTTGACGAGTTGAGGGAAGAAGGCTTCAGACGATCAAACTACTCCGAGCTACAGGAGGAAATTCAAACCAAAGGCAAAGAAGTTGAAAACTTTGAAAAAAATTTAGACGAATGTATAAGTAGAATAACCAATACAGAGAAGTGCTTAAAGGAGCTGATGGAGCTGAAAGCCAAGGCTCAAGAACTACGTGAAGAATGCAGAAGCCTCAGGAGCCGATGTGATCAACTGGAAGAAAGGGTATCAGTGATGGAAGATGAAATGAATGAAGCGAGAAGGGAAGTTTAGAGAAAAAAGAATAAAAAGAAACGAACAAAGCCTCCAAGAAATATGGGACTATGTGAAAAAAACAAATCTACATCTGATTGGTGTACCTGAAAGTGATGTGGAGAATGGAACCAAGTTGGAAAACACTCTGCAGGATATGATCCAGTAGAACTTCCCCAATCTAGCAAGGCAGACCAACATTCAGATTCAGGAAATACAGAGAACGCCACAAAGATACTCCTTGAGAAGAGCAACTCCAAGACACATAATTGTCAGATTCACCAAAGTGGAAATGAAGGAAAAAATGTTAAGGGCAGCCAGAGAGAAAGGTCGGATTACCCACAAAGGGAAGCCCATCAGACTAACAGCGGATCTCTCGGCAGAAACTCCACAAGCCAGAAGAGAGTGGGGGCCAATATTCAACATTCTTAAAGAAAAGAATTTTCAACCCAGAATTTCATATCCAGTCAAACTAAGCTTCAGAAGTGAAGGAGAAATAAAATCCTTTACAGACAAGCAAATGCTGAGAGATTTTGTCACCACCAGGCCTGCCCTAAAAGAGCTCCTGAAGGAAGCACTAAACATGGAAAGGAACAACTGGTACCAGCCACTGCAAAATCATGCCAAAATGTAAAGACCATCGAGACTAGGAAGAAACTGCATCAACTAATGAGCAAAATAACCAGCTAACATCAAAATGACAGGATCAAATTCACACATAACAATATTAACTTTAAATGTAAATGGACTAAATGCTCCAATTAAAAGACACAGACTGGCAAATTGGATAAAGAGTCAAGACCCATCAGTGTGCTGTATTCAGGAAACCCATCTCACATGCAGAGACACACATAGGCTCAAAATAAAAGGATGGAGGAAGATCTACCAAGCAAATGGAAAACAAAAAAAGTCAGGGGTTGCAATCCTAGTCTCTGACAAAACAGACTTTAAACCAACAAAGATCAAAAGAGACAAGGCCATACATAATGGTAAAGGGATCAATTCAACAAGAAGAGCTAACTATCCTAAATATATATGCACCCAATACAGGAGCACCCAGTTTCATAAAGCAAGTCTTGAGTGACCTACAAAGAGACTTAGACTCCCACACAATAATAATGGGAGACTTTAACACCCCACTGTTAATATTAGACAGATCAACGAGACAGAAAGTTAACAAGGAAACTCAGGAATTGAACTCAGCTCTGCACCAAGCGGACCTAATAGATATCTACAGAACTCTCCACCCCAAATCCACAGAACATACATTTTTTGCAGCACCACACCACACCTATTCCAGAATTGACCACATAGTTGGAAGTAAAGCTCTCCTCAGCAAATGTAAAAGAACAGAAATTATAACAAACTGTCTCTCAGACCACAGTGCAATCAAACTAGAACTCAGGATTAAGAAACTCACTCAAAATGGCTCAACTACATGGAAACTGAACAACCTGCTCCTGAATGACTACTGGGTACAGAACGAAATGAAGGCAGAAATAAAGATGTTCTTTGAAACCAATGAGAACAAAGACACAACATACCAGAATCTGTGGGACACATTCAAAGCAGTGTATAGAGGGAAATTTATAGCACTAAATGCCCACAAGAGAAAGCAGGAAAGATCCAAAATTGACACCCTAACATCACAATTAAAAGAACTGGAAAAGCAAGAGCAAACACATTCAAAAGCTAGCAGAAGGCAAGAAATAACTAAGATCAGAGCAGAACTGAAGGAAATAGAGACACAAAAAACCCTTCAAAAAATTAATGAATCCAGGAGCTGGTTTTTTGAAAGGATCAACAATATTGATAGACCACTAGCAAGACTAATAAAGAAGAAAAGAGAGAAGAATCAAATAGACGCAATAAAAAATGATAAAGGGGATATCACTACCGATCCCACAGAAATACAAACTACCATCAGAGAATACTACAAACACCTCTATGCAAATAAACTAGAAAATCTAGAAGAAATGGATAAATTCCTCAACACATACACCCTCCCAAGACTAAACCAGGAAGAAGTTGAATCTCTGAATAGACCAATAACAGGCTCTGAAATTGTGGCAATAATCAATAGCTTACCAACCAAAAAGAGTCCAGGACCAGATGGATTCACAGCCGAATTCTACCAGAGGTACAAAGAGGAATTGGTACCATTCCTTCTGAAACTATTCCAGTCAATAGAAAAAGAGTGAATCCTCCCTAACTCATTTTATGAGGCCAGCATCATCCTGACACCAAAGCCGGGCAGAGACACAACCAAAAAAGAGAATTTTAGACCAATATCCTTGATGAACATTGATGCAAATATCCTCAATCAAATACTGGCAAACTGAATCCAGCAGCACATCAAAAAGCTTATCCACCATGATCAAGTGGGCTTCATCCCTGGGATGCAAGGCTGGTTCAATATATGCAAATCAATAAATGTAATCCAGCATATAAACAGAGCCAAAGACAAAAACCACATGATTATCTCAATAGATGCAGAAAAGGCCTTTGACAAAATTCAACAACCCTTCATGCTAAAAACTCTCAATAAATTAGGTATTGATGAGACATATCTCAAAATAATAAGACCTATCTATGACAAACCCACAGCCAATATCATACTGAATGGGCAAAAACTGGAAGCGTTCCCTTTGAAAACTGACACAAGACAGAGATGCCCTCTCTCACCACTCCTATTCAACATAGTGTTGGAAGTTCTGGCCAGGGCAATCAGGCGGGAGAAGGAAATAAAGAGTATTCAATTAGGAAAAGAGGAAGTCAAATTGTCCCTGTTTGCAGACGACATGATTGTATATCTAGAAAACCCCATTGTCTCAGCCCAAAATCTCCTTAAGCTGATAAGCAACTTCAGCAAAGTCTCAGGATACAAAATCAATGTACAAAAATCACAAGCATTCTTATACACCAATAGCGGACAAACAGAGAACCAAATCATGAGTGAACTCTCATTCACAATTGCTTCAAAGAGAATAAAATACCTAGGAATCCAACTTACAAGGGATGTGAAGGACCTCTTCAAGGAGAACTACAAACCACTGCTCAATGAAATAAAAGAGGATACAAACAAATGGAAGAAAATTCCATGCTCATGGGTAGGAAGAATCAATATCGTGAGAATGGCCATGCTGCCCAAGGTAATTTATAGATTCAATGCCATCCCCATCAAGCTACCAATGCCTTTATTCACAGAATTGGAAAAAACTACTTTAAAGTTCATATGGAACCAAAAAAGAGCCCGCATCGCCAAGTCAATCCTAAGCCAAAAGAACAAAGCTGGAGGCATCACACTACCTGACTTCAAACTATACTACAAGGCTACAGTAACCAAAACAGCATGGTACTGATACCAAAACAGAGATATAGATCAATGGAACAGAACAGAGCCCTCAGAAATAATGCTGCATATCTACAACTGTCTGATCTTTGACAAACCTGAGAAAAATAAGCAATGGGGAAAGGAATCCCTACTTAATAAATGGTGCTGGGAAAACTGGCTAGCCATGTGGAGAAAGCTGAAACTGGATCCCTTCCTTACATCTTATACAAAAATTAATTCAAGATAGATTAAAGACTTAAACATTAGACCTAAAACCATAAAAACCCTAGAAGAAAACCTGGGCATTACCATTCAGGACATAGGCATGGGCAAGGACTTCATGTCTAAGACACCAAAAGCAATGGCAACAAAAGACAAAATTGACAAATGGGATCTAACTAAACTGAAGAGCTTCTGCACAGCGAAAGAAACTACCATCAGAGTGAACAGGCGACCTACAAAATGGGAGAAAATTTTCGCAACCTTCTCATCTAACAAAGGGCTAATATCCAGAATCTACAATGAACTCAAACAAATTTACAAGAAAAAAACAAACAACCCCATCAAAAAGTGGGCGAAGGACATGAGCAGACACTTCTCAAAAGAAGGCATTTATGCAGCCAAAAAACACATGAAAAAATGCTCACCATCACTGGCCATCAGAGAAATGCAAATCAAAACCACAATGAGATACCATCTCACACCAGTTAGAATGGCAATCATTTAAAAGTCAGGAAACAACAGGTGCTGGAGAGGATGTGGAGAAATAGGAACACTTTGACACTGTTGGTGGGACTGTAAACTAGTTCAACCATTGTGGAAGTCAGTGTGGCGATTCCTCAGGGATCTAGAACTAGAAATACCATTTGACCCAGCCATCCCATTACTGGTTATATACCCAAAGGACTATAAATCATGCTGCTATAAAGACACATGCACACATATGTTTATTGTGGCACTATTCCCAATAGCAAAGACTTGGAACCAACCCAAATGTCCAACAATGATAGACTGGATTAAGAAAATGTGGCACATATACACCATGGAATACTATGCAGCCATAAAAAATGATGAGTTCATGTCCTTTGTAGGGACATGGATGAAATTGGAAATCATCATTCTCAGTAAACTATCACAAGAACAAAAAACCAAACACCGCATATTCTCACTCATAGGTGGGAATTGAACAATGAGAACACATGGACACAGGAAGGGGAACATCACACTCTGGGGCCTGTTGTGGGGTGGGGGGAGGGGGGAGGGATAGCATTAGGAGATATACCTAATGCTAAATGATGAGTTAATGGGTGCAGCACATCAGCATGGCACATGTATACATATGTAACTAACCTGCACATTGTGCACATGTACCCTACAATTTAAAGTATAATAATAATTTTTAAAAAATAAAAAATAGTAAGAAAAATTCAGTTCACTCCAGATGCCCCAATAGCTTATACTGAGCTGAAAGCCATTAGAAGCTAGGTCTCATGGATGTGGGGTCAGAAGACACCATGGGTGCTGAGCTCTGCCATGTCACTGCCATGCCCTCCCTGCTGTTGACTTCACTCTTAGGCCTATTTGATGATCTTTCCCCAGTAGTTTAGTTCTAGGTCTTTCCTCACAGATTGTAGTCAAGAGGAAAGCTAGCAGGGGAAAAGTGGGAGAGGGGTGTAAATGAAAAGTCTCGATTAGACTAGATTAGGTCACACGTCTACCCTGAGCCAGTTGCTGTGGCCGAGGGAAAGCGATGAGTTGAGTTGATGGCTTGGGTCTGGGTAATGTCCAGATCATGGGGCTTGGCCTCTTACCTAGGGCAAGGGACACTGAAGGAAAGGGGTTAGATAATGAACATAAAGAGATAAGTGTTCTGGATTTCTCACCTGTAAAATTGTAGTAATAACACTATTAGTAGAGATAGGAGTCACACTCTGCCTAATGTACCTTGCTCAGACCCTATCATTTCTTCACTAACCCACTGTGATGCAGCAGTGGCTCAGTGAGAGGGGTTCTGATACCAGGTCTGTAGGGTCACCTGTGGACCATGAGGTTGGTGATTACTGTAACCTCTCATACGCTATCGGATTGGAGCCAGCCCTAAGTACTCTGGAGGTTACGAAATCAAAGGATGAAAACAGCAAACTGTTATGGGCCAGTTGTTTTCGTAAAGACTCAATATGCATTAGCTCGTTTAATCCTCACATTAATCTCATGAAATAATGTTATTACTACTGTTTTACGGATGAGACCTCTAGAGTTCAGAGACGCTATATTGTTGTCCAGGTTCTTATGGCTACTAAGTGGTAGAGGTAGTATTTGAAAGGTGGTCTACCAAGCTCCAAGGCCCTCCTTCTTTCATTGCTTCTTCCTTTCTTCCTTCTTTCTTCTCCTTCCTTTCCTTCTGCTCTCATTTCTCTCTTTCTCTCCCTCTCTCTTCCTTTCTTCCTTCCTTCCTTTATCTCTTTCTTCTCTCTTTCTTTCCTTCCTTCCTTCTTTCTTTTTTTTTTTTTTTTTTGAGACGGAGTCTCGCTCTGTCGCCCAGGTCGGACTGCGGACTGCAGTGGCGCAATCTCGGCTCACTGCAAGCTCCGCTTCCCGGGTTCACGCCATTCTCCTGCCTCAGCCTCCCGAGTAGCTGGGACTACAGGCGCCCGCCACCGCGCCCGGCTAATTTTTTGTATTTTTAGTAGAGACGGGGTTTCACCTTGTTAGCCAGGATGGTCTCGATCTCCTGACCTCATGATCCACCCGCCTCGGCCTCCCAAAGTGCTGGGATTACAGGCGTGAGCCACCGCGCCCGGCCCCTTCCTTCTTTCTTTCTTTCTTTCTTTCATTCTTTCTTCCCCTCCCTCCCTTCCTTTGTTCCTCTCTTCCTCCCTTCCTTCCCTTTCCTCCTTCCTCTCTCCCCCCTTCCTTTTTTCTTTTTCTCTCCCTCCCTCCCTGATCTTTTTTTCTTTCTTTCCCATTTCCCTCTTTCCCTCCTTCCTTCTTTTCAACAAATATACACTGAATTCTTACCAAGGGCCAGGCATAGGTATAGTCCCTAGGAATACAACAGTGAATAAGATAGATACAGTCCCTCGGTAGATCTTATATGGAGGTCATCAAAAAACCTAAACAAGTAAAGAGGAAGATTACACAGTGCAACAAATGCTAAGACAGGAATAAACAAGATGATATTATAGAAAGACACTTGGGGTAGAGATAATAACACCTGCCAGAAGAGGTGCCATCAGAGCTGAGATCTGACGCATGGGTAGGGAATCAGTGAGGCAGGGAAGTGGGGTAGTCAGAGAATTGACGTGAAGTTGTCGGGGCAGAGCATTAACCAACCAGAGGAAAGAGCCCCACAAAGGCTTTAAGGCAAGTGAAATTTGAAGCACAGGCTGCCAAGTACCAGGCTTATACTTTCAGATCATTCTGGGTGCCATGTAAAGGAAGGATTGGATTGGAGGGCTGGAGTGAACCTGGAGAGACCAGATGAGCAGCAGTGGTGGCATGGTGTGGGGTGGCAGAAGTGGAAGGATGTGAGACAACCTGCACTGCCAAATCTTAGCTCATCAGAGACCCCTTGGCATAGGTTTTAGAGTTTGAGCCATTTAACAGAACTTTCTTTGCTCTATAGTAGAGTGCGGATCTTTATCCACATTGCTTAATGAAGAAGAATGGAAGATTATACATGCAAGCATCCACAGGGAAAAAAATGAACACACAGAACCTCAGCAGCAAGCAGGGATTGATCATTCATTCATGAGGCCCGAGGCAAAGGGCCAGTTTTACAAATGGAATAAAGATATGTAGGCCAGGCTTTTTTTGTTTTACACAGTTGGCAGGAAAATACTTTGTTTCTTATTTGGTCTTTACATATTTCACAGTGAAATGTGTTGTTTTGATCAATAGATCTTTAATTGGAGTTTTATGTTTGAAAAAGGGTCCACTCAAGTTTGGAACTTCGTTGAGCTAGAGCACTAGATGTCCCTTCAATCACCCCCATGGGTCTGTGTGAAACTCTGAGGTAGAAATGAAGTGAATTAGGAGAATTAAAACAAAAACATGTCCCTCTGCTCGGTGGGTATTTTTCTTTTTGAAATACCTTTATCAGGGCCTCAGATCTCTTCCTCACATCTCCTTTGTGCCTCACCTATTGTTCCTCACAGGTTGCCTGCGCTGGTCCCATCTCATCACATGGGCTCTCCCTGGTGGGATGTCCCCGATTGAGTCCTGGGCTCTCGCTGTCCTCTGCCTACACTCACCCCTTCGGTAACCTCATCTACGTGCAGACAGTAACCAAGCTCAGGCCTCCTCCCGGGACATGAGCTTCATATTTCCAGCTGCCTACCCTACACCTCTGCCTGCAATCCTAAGAGACATCTTGAACTTTTCTTAATTTTGGACAAAACTGAGCTCTTAGTGTTTTTCCTCAACTGTGCTTCTCCCATACTCATCTTCTCAGTATGCCTCTCCCATAGTCATCTTCTCAGTAAATGGCAGCTCTGTTTTTGCATTTATCAAGGACCAACCTTGGCCGCATCTTTTATGTCTCTTCTATCATGATCCAGGCTATCATCTCGATTCTCAACTCTACCTGGGGTCAGACTATTGCCTGCTGCCTCCACACCACCAGTGTGCTGATCCTGTTCTCCCTCAGTTCTTTTTTTTTTTTTTTTTTTTTTTTTTTTTTTTTTTTTTTTTTTTTTTTTTGAGACAGCATCTCACTCTGTCACCCAGGCTGGAGTGCAGTGGTGTGATGTTAGCTCACTGCAACCTCCGCCTCCCAGGTACAAGCGATTCTCCTGCTTCAGCCTCCCAAGTAGCTGGGATTACAGGCACACTCCACCATGCCCAGCTAATTTTTTTTGTATTTTTAGTAGAGACAGGGTTTCGCCATGTTGGCCATGCTGGTCTCGAACTCCTGACCTCGGGTGATCTGCTCACCTCGGCCTCCCAAAGTGCTGGGAGCACAGGCATGAGCCACCATGCCCGGCCTCTGTCAGTTCTTATCTAGACCATTCAATAGTCTGGTCACCGGCCTTCCTTCTCAAATTCTGTCTTTATTGCTCTCTGGCTTTGTGACCTTGTAGTTTCAACATCTGCAGAATTAGAGTAATAATAGAGCTTACCTAATAAGATTACTGTGAGTTTTCAGTAAGTTAATATAGGTAAAGCACTTCAAATGGTGGATAGCATGTCACAGCTGTCATAATCACCTGTCATTACTGCTGTCTTCAATATCCTAGTGCATGGCTGTTAGCCTTAAGATAACCTCATAGGCCAGAATGACTGCTAGAGCTCTAGTCATCACATTCACCTTCCTGGCAGTAGGATGGAGGGAGTCCTTTTAAAGACACTATCTGGAAAAGCCACATTTATGCATACCTCATTGGCCACGACTGAAGCCATTTAACTGCTTATATCTTTAATAGAGTCATTTAGCTAAGCTTGGCTAAAATTAGGGTTTCTGGTACTGAAAAAGAAAAGCAGCATGGCAATAACTTTGCTACCAATTGCAGGTATGTGGTACTAGGAAGGCCTGCGAAAAGAGCATATGACAAGAGAGGGTAAACAAGTCTTCTTTGAGACACAGACAACTGACCAGAGAAATAGGTGTTTGCCAGGCAAGTGGAGAGGGGTCTTAGGAAGAGCTCCAGGATGAGAGGACAGAACAAATGTCTGTGACCAGAGAGAGCACGGACAGTCTTCATGTTGCACCATCCACCTGATACACCACATATTGAAAACCATGGTGGCTGGGTTCTCTGTCCTCCATCCAGACTCTTCCATAAGGAGTCGTGCCAGGATTTCTCATCCCTGCTTTCTCTTCTGGGTGATGCCCAGATGGAATGGCCCATGAGGTCCCCAAGTCCTTTGGGGGTGTAGGTTTGTGCTGCTATTGTGTGGTCGTGTGAGAAGTAGCACTGGTTGGAGCAGACGTGGGTCCACACAGAGCCTTGTCCTTGACTTTCAACAGGAACATTTCCTGACTGGGGTGACCTTGGTGAGATACTTAACCATTCTAAATATTGTCTGTTTCCTCACCTGTAAACTGAGAAGATACTAATATCTAATCCAGAGATTCACTACAAAAAGCAAAAGAGCTAAAACTGATCAAGCATTTAGCCAGGTCCCTGGTTTAAGGAAAAAGTCCAATCAACAGTGACTATTTCTGTTATTGCTGTCACCTTTATCTTCATCATTTCCTCTCCTTCATCCCCTTCTGAATACACATTCTCCATGTTTGAATGTGAAGTGTCACCTGAAATGTATCCTGCACCCAGCTTTTTCTCAGGAGTGTGTAAACCCACAGCACACCACAACTTTTTTCTTTAACCTTCTTTTGGAAAAATGACTTGAGGATGTATTCAGTTATACAGAGAATCCTACAGTCTGCGGTGTGGGCCAGGAAGGAACCCAATGCTGCCTGTCCAGACCCCTCATGGAGTAAATGAGGAAATAGACCCAGCAAGGCAGAGCCTGGTTGGCAATGCCTGACAAGGTGGCTTTGAAGAAGAAAACATCTCCCCGGTGTGTTGAGGAAGAGATGTGACCTCATCTGGAGCCTCATGATGATGAGAAGTGCCCAGGCTGGTTTTATGCATATCCAGGGGTCACTGAGACATCACTCATAGACAGACATCTATACCAGGCATGTGGGAATGTGAGTTTCAAATCTATTCCTCTAGCAGATATATTTTTCTCTTGAAGGCCATCAGCTTGGGTGATTAACATGGTGGTGGGGGGTGTTGATTCAAGGATTCAAGGCAGTTACCCCGATTATCTTTCCCTGGCATCAACTCTGGGCATATCCTAGTAATAAGGTAGCTTATTTAACAAGGGAAGTACCAGTCACAGGTTAGAGGACTTCACACGTACATATGGGGAAGATGTCTTCTCTGCCCTCATGGAGTTTGTGACCTAGCAGGATAGAAAGGCATTACTTGAAAAAATTACATAGTCACTAGAGTTGTGCTCAGAACTATAGAAAAAAAGCGCAGGGAAATGTTTTGCCATTTCTTATTTATAACAAATTCTGCTATTTGGTTATAATATTCTTTTTTTTTTTTTTTTTTTGAGACAGGATCTCACTCTGTCGCCCAGGCTGGAGTGCAGTGGCATTATCAGGGCTCACAGCAGCCTCAACCTCCTGGGCTCAGGTGATTCTCCCCACCTCAGCCTCCCGAGTAGCTGGGACTACAGCCATGTGCCACCATTCCCAGCTAATTTTTTTTGTATTTTTTGTAGAGATGGAGTTTCACTATGTTGCCCAGGCTGGTCTCAAACTCCTGGACTCAAGCAATCTGCCCAACTTGACTTCCCAAAGTTCTGGGATCACAGGTGTGAGCCACTGCACCTGGCTGGTCATAAAATTCTTTCCAGTGAAACTCAGGCATGACTTCAGAATCCTTCTCAACATAGCCCTTCATCCAGCCGTTGCTAATTAGTTAGAGCTGGGTCTCAAGGTAAAACCTAGCGGCCATCCAAGACCTGGCCTTTCCCCAGCCCTCTCTCTATCATTCCACTTTACAGGCAAGCACACTGGCCAGAGGCTGGAAGGCATATGCCTCAAGACTTGAGTCAAAGGCCAAAGCAGAGCAGGTATCTGGCTGGTCTGGCCCCTAGGGCAGGGCCCTGCACGCAAGTCATGAATGCTGGGTGACAATGTGTTGGGGAGCCAGCTCCCAGCAGCAGCATCTGTGGCCACAGAGGATCTGATCTAAATATGTGCTATTCTACCCTGAGACTCCTTCAGAGAGGTCCAGCCTGGTGAGGGCATCACAAGCTGTAATTTACATTATTTAAAAGCTCCAGTAGGAAAGTTGCTCTTTGTTCTCGTAAGTTATTTCTTGAGGAAAATATATGTTTTGTGGGGAGGATGAGGGCAGTCTTAAACTGAGGACATCACCACAAAGGCCTGGTCTGTCATTTTCCTTCCCAGGATTTCTTCCCATATGCTTAAATGGATGAGTCAAAAAGAGGTGTTTCCTGCTCAACAAAGATAAAATAGAGAGAGAGAGAAAGGACAGCTCTCCTGTCAGAGAGGCCTGCAAAGTCCAGCAGTTTGTGCAGGGCTTCACTTTGGTATTTATTTTGCAGTCCATCAAACATTTGTCATACTCATGGCCCCTTGCTTTCACAGGACATAGCTGCGATTCGACACAAACACTTTCCTAAGAAAATATACATTTTTCATTCCACAATGTTCATGTATCCAAGGTTTGTTTCCTGTTGTGTGAAAAGATGTTTAATATTTGAGAAGCTTTTTTAAAAGTGATTCCTCATTTTAAACTCAGTTTCTCATCTCGTGGTCTATTTTTTTCTGAACTCTTGAAAAGCACTGGAGGAGCTTATGAGCTTCCTTTCTGAATAGTTCCAGCCATAAGTAGGAGGAACAAATCAGGAAAACATCCTCATATTTCCGTCTTCTTAAATTGGGAGACCCGTATAAGATAAAAGTGTTGGAAATTGAGTGTTGGAGAAGTTGGAGTCTGCTTTTCATAGACATTCTCAATACCATTTTGGAGACATCTCTGAGATCCAAAACATCTTGTTTGTTCGGTTCTACTCTTTGTGGGCTCCATCCACAGGGGCAGGGGTTTAGGGCAAGTTTAAGAGAGCCCTGGTCTTCTTTTATCAGAAGAGAAAGCATTCTTCCCAGAGTAAAAAGAATGGGAAAGTCTGATGATTCAAGTGGAGACCTTAAGATGTCTCATTTAGTTGCTTTGCATTTTCTAGCACTTCTGATGTCATAAGCTCTAGAGAGACAGAGAGAAAGTCTACTGTCACAATTCCCAAGTGTTTGGGGTCTTTATTTATGTGTGAATTGAGTTGAATTAGTATGTTCTAAAGTCAGGCAGCACAGTCCTATGATTGTTTATCTATGGGACGTTGTATAATTACTTAACCTTTAAGTTCCATTTTAGTTTTTCTCTGTAAAACAGGGATACCTAGCATTGGGTTGTTGTGATTTAATGGGATAATGCAAAGACGTAATACAGTGCCTGGTGACAAGTTCACACTCGATAAATGTTAGTCCCTATGTTGAGAAGTAAATCTTCGTAATGATGTAATTCTTAGATTGGGTATTTAATACATGGATCATGTTAATTCCATTCCAGATTAGAAAGATGCTTTCAAAAACACTGCATGCTATAATGGCAGTCATAATACTGTGGAATTAAACCGTAGCCTAATACTCTCAACACAGAAATATAGACAAATATGTCTCGTAAATGTTGATCTTTTTCCACATACCTATTAATTTCAGTTCCTCGCCTGTGCCATTGGGAAAGCTGTTATGTCTTATTTTATGGATTGACTGACTGCCTTTTCCTTGTTCTTAGAACATCAGCTTTACTTTAAATGCACAAATCCTGGTGCATACTTCCTTAACCATCAATAAAGGGAACAGTTAATGTGCTACAAAGCAAGAAAAATTGACTTTAAAAACAAGCATTTTTCTAACAGTCTTACCTTTATATACAGCAGGGTTTCTCAACTTTGGCACTATGGATATATGGGCTGGGCAGTTTGTTTTTGTGGGGGACTGTCCTGTGCATTGTAAGATGTACCACAGTGTCCCTTGGCCTCTACCCTCTAGAGGCCAACAGCTCTCGCTCCCTTCCCTTTCACCCCCTAGTTTTGACAACCCCAAATGTCTCCAGATGGCCCTCATCCAGTTGAAAACTGCTGGTCAAAGGAAGAAGGAACTGGGTCATGGAATTGTGCCCTTCGGATCACTGGGCAGAAGAGCCTCGGTTCCAGCTTTATAGGAGTTTACCAACTGCTTTGGATGTGGTGATTCCCAAAACACATGCTGGAAAGCTCGTAGATTATCTGTTGATACCACAAATTCAGAAAGCAGGTCAAATAATCAGCACTGTAGCTTCATTTTGAAAAATAACTTGCTTTACCTCTTTTTCACTTGTCTCCCCATTTTGGTTTCTCCATTTGCAAATGGCAAGAAAATGAAGCTTTACCATTAATTACTTATATAATGATCAACTTTTTTCTTTTTTGTTTTGTTTTGTTTTCCCCCTTCAGCTCCCTCAGGCACAAAAGGTAAATTCTCTTCTGTCACATTCCAGTCACCCCCAGAACTCACGAGTCATGCATGCCTCCATGGTGTTGTACATTTGACACTGTTCATGACCAGTGAAATGGTTTTTTTCCACAGCTTCAGAAACCTGAAGTTGGGCAGGAACAGAGAGGCCAGCAGACTCAGTTGTCCACTGCTCCTTTGCTGAGTTAGTCCCTCCAAAGGACCCTATAGTGGCCAGTGATTGGGAGGTGAATCTGTGCCCAACTGTTTCTCTAAGAATTATCAAATAATAGGTCAAGAATAAGTTTGACACATTCCTTCCAATGTAGCATTCCAGGCCTTCTCTGAGGTAATTTTTAGGGAGACAAATAATGTGAATAATTAGTAAGGCGTGGTAACCAAGTTTAAATTTGGGGCTCCTAAGCCAAATCGCTGAAAACTTATTGGATTTTATTAATTGTAAAAATCAGCAGCTCCTTTGCTAGCTTCATCATCCCAGAGACCATTAGAGCAGATTTCTTGCCAATGGCCAGACCCTTTCACTGGTCCTCATTGTCTGAGATGATCTAGTTCCACCATCTAGAATGTTCTGTGTCCAGAAAGACTCCATGTGGTTGCAGTGATGGCTTTGCTGTGTCACCCTCATAGCATGTCGTTGTATCCTAAGGACATTTATGGCAGAAAATATGTCACTCAGTGCCTGCTGCATTGTTCTTGTGTGTTTCACAAATTCTGGAAGACACAGCAATTTCTGGGGGCCAGATGTTGTGTTTCAAGAGTCAAGGTAGGGCACCCCCCTGAAATTTAAACAGCATCTCCTAAGCTCTCCAGTTTAGAGCAGAGGTGATTTGGTTCCTTCTCATTGAGAGAGAGCACAACTGCTCTACTAAAGACAGTCTGTTCAGACCATATGGACAACCAGAGGCCTAGAAATCATTACACAATTACTCAGATATATTTGAGGTATTTAAACAAGGCAAGGCATGCTAGTGTGTGACTTGGCTTGTGGTAATGTTTGATTACACTTCAATGCCATCACAAAAGGACGGAATACTTCATTAAAAGTTAAAGTATTCAAGGCTCACAACAGCTTCCAGGGTAAATAAATGGTCAGAATTCCAGATTGTTTGGAAGGCTCAATGTCTTTGATAGGACATGCTTTCTTAATTACCTACATTTGAATTTTTTTGATAGAGAGACTTCACAAATTCTCTGCCTAAAAATGGACCAGCTTCCACTTATTGACATTTATTCATCAAATTTCCACTGATCCATATACAAAGTATTCCTGTTACAGAAAATAATTCATGAATTGGAGGTGCCATCAGCCGTAGAAATTTGTTTTATTTTATTTTTTGAGACAGAGTCTCACTATGTCACCCAGGCTGGAGTGCAACAATCTCGGCTCACGCAATCTCCACCTCCCGGGTTCAATCGATTCTCCTGCCTCAGCCTCCTGAATAGCTGGGACAGACATGCGCCACCGCACCTGGCTTATTTTTGTATTTTTAGTAGAGACAGGGTTTTGCCATGTTGGCCAGGCTGATCTTGAATTCCTGACCTTAGGTGATCTGCCTGCCTCGGCCTCAAAATGCTGGGATACAGTGAGCCACTGCGCCCAGCCAGCCATAGAATTGTAAAACAAAGTTCAAAACAAAGCAACACAGAATACAGAAGAACAAATGTTGCTGGGCTATATAATACTTCAGTAGCACTTACTTCATTGCATTCACTTCTTCTGTCATCATATATTGACTCACATCACATGCCCTGCAAAGTGGAGCATATTATTGTGGTCATATAAAAGTCAAGGAAGGTACCTCAGCTGGCTTCCTAATTTTTTTCCCTGTCTCCGAATGATGTCAGACATCCCAAGGGACTTGTTCTATAGCCCTATGTGAAAAGGAATAGCTTTGCCTTCTGTTCCTATCATGGCTAGAAATTGTCTTTTTTCTGTTAAAATAGAGAAAGGCACTTACCTTACAAAATATTAAGAGATCTATGCGACATGGTTTCAGAACACTTTGGGGGTAGTTTGCGGGAAATTCAGCTCTTTGAAGAAGGAGTTTGAACGTAAACCTCAGGTATCTAGGCTGGAGGGTAAGAGGAGTTGAGGGAGAGGTGCACCATAGATTGAAGGCATCCTCCCAAAGGCTGCAAGTCTCCACCTGGTAATGTATTAGCATCCCTGCCCCCAACTCCCCTTCCCATCCCTTCCCCAGTATTACCTCAGTGACACTTGCAAGAGGCCTTTGCCAGAAGAATGAGGTTCTTGCAAGTGTCAGCTTTCCTTAGATTTACTGTCTTGCTGCTTGACCAGCAAAGGAATGTGGTGGTTCCATTTTGGCCTTCATCCATTTGTTACCATGGGTAAGTTACTTAACCTCTCTAAGCCTACATGTTTTTATTTACTTAAGGAGAATGATAAACTAACTTTCCACTTTTGTTTTGAAAGTTACTTCTCTTACCTGTTCCTCGCACAGAGCCTGGCATATGGTAGACCCTCAAAATATAGAGTTCTTATTACGACTTGGCTTGACTTGACCCCTGGTGCTTCATAGCACATCAAGAGAGCAGTCATATCTGAGGGGTGGTCTGGGACCTCTGCCCAATGTTTTGTGATTCTGACTCAAGCCTAATGAATAACTGGGAGAGGGCAAAAGAGCCCAGCAGGTATGGGTGCTCCCCCCATTTCATTAGAAACTCTGTTGTTGGGCCAGGCATGGTGGCTCACGCCTGTAATCCTAGTGCTTTGGGAGGCCGAGGCAGGTGGATTACGAGGTCAGGAGATCGAGACCATCCTGGCCAACATGGTGAAACCACGTCTCTTCTAAAAATACAAAAATTAGCCGGGCGTGGTGGCGCACACCTATAGTCCCAGCTAATCCAGAGGCTGGGGCAGGAGAATTGCTTGAACCTGGGAGGTGGAGGTTGCAGTGAGCCGAGATCACACTACTGCACTCCAGCCTGGTGACAGGGTGAGACTCCACCTCAAAAAACACACACACACACACAAAACCTGTGTGCTTAAACTGACTGCACCTTCTTCATGTAGTCAGAAAGAAATGGAGATTGGTCTTGAAACCCCAACAAAGCAAAAATTTGTCGGGAGAATTGTTTTGAGAGGTTTCTTCCTAATGCCTTTGACATTACCCATAGATTTCACTCATCTGTGGCCATGATTCTAATGAGCTCTTTCCAAACCCCTGAGTTTGTTGTTCCAGGGGTGAAAGAGAGGCACCCCCAGCCACTACAGCTTTGGCCTACTTTTCACATGAGGTCATGAGCGCATACGTTGTACCATATGGTGTCTGCATTTGCGCTGTGTTTTTGTTGGACTCTGCCTTTGTATCATCTGCAACTATTTTCTCTATAAATATTTTAAATAGTTACGTCTCTGTAAACATACTTATTTAAATCTCTTGGCTGATCTGCAACTAAAAATGTCCCATTTGGGTGTCCCTCTTATGTGTAGCAGCCATTAATGACTGTTGTCTGTAAGTTATGGTTTTCATGATTCTAATATTTTGAGGGTCTTCCAAAACTTCTAGTCCTTTATGACAATGTTTTAGAACAACAGTTTGAAAAAAAATATTATTTTTTCTGTGGTTCTTAAGCATCTCTAAGATAATTCCTAGACTCTATAAATTTCAAGCCTTGATATAAAATTGGAGTGGCACTAACTGGTGATGAACCTGATAAATATTAAATATTCTTAGCAAATATGGAGGTAGTGTCCTGAGGTTTTGGCTAAAAAATATGTAGCAATACAGATGCAGCACTTTCAAGGCGTCACAAATTCATTCTTCTGGGTGGAAATTGGACCAGTTTCTTGGGTGGATTGATTGTCCCTGAATTCAACAATGAAGAGAGGTCTATGTGTAAGAAAGGTCTGCTTTTTAAAAATTCTTCTTTACTTCTACAGAAGTGTCCGAGAGATCTGATTTTATGATAATAACATAGCAGAATTACCCAAAGCCATTTACAAATATATGTTCAATAGTAATACTATTGAACAAAATAGTCCCTTTTTCTAGCTGCATTTTTCTTCACGTAGATTCTGTCTATAGGAGCTAAACATCAGTTATTCACTGCAGGATTAATTTAATCAATGTAGGTTTAATCAACGTAGAGTGGGCCCGAATGTTTAAAGTCAAAAATACTCTTCAGGGAGTTCCAAACGTGGCTATTTATGTGGATGAACGTGTCCAGACTCTGGTACCCTTTCCCTTCATTTTCTGCTGCATCCACACAACTTTGGAATTTGCAAAAGAACATTTCTTAAAGGTTTCCTAGGTGCTCTATGTCTTTCCTGACACCGTATTAGTTAATATCAACCTGAGAATTCTGAGTAGGCATAAGCATTTTTCACAAAACCATAGTTAAAGCAAACCACATCTCTAATCCTGTTTGGAACAGCAATTGATGCATTCAGGGCTGCGCAGTATGGCAAAATGATCCCTGTTTAATAGCCCGACTGCGTGTTTTGTTTCCTGTTAGGAACAGCTTAACTTGCCTCCTTGAACAAACACAGCAGGGTTCAAGATCTGTTGTTCTATGCCTGCTGTGATTTTCTGTGCTGCTTAACTTGTATGAGGACTCAGGAGTGCATAAATTAGCTTCTTAAATGGAGGTCGATTTTTGGTCTCTTTTTCAGAATGGAACTGTTTTATTAATTTCTCCCCCTGAGTGCAAACGGCATCCTGAATCTATTTGCATTTTCTTTGTTTCCTTGTTTATATTATATTTTGGAGGAATAAATGGAAGCCTTCGTTTTTCTAGAGTCTTTCGTTCTTTCTTTCTTTCTTTCTTTCTTTCTTTCTTTCTTTCTTTCTTTCTTTCTTTCTTTCCTTCCTTCCTTCTTTCCTCTCTCTCTCTCTCTCTCTTTCTCTCTCTCTCTTTCTCATTCCTTAGGTACAAATTTGTACAAGTAGAATTTGGCCTAGCTCTTATCTCAGGGTAATCAGATTTCAGCAATTGCGAGGCATCATTTATCATTCTTTGCCTCATTTAACTTCTATACTTCGAACAGTTGAATTAACTGTCAATGAAAATTGAAAATTGAAAGTTTGCAAAGCTGCTGTTTTTGTAGAACTGCAGGTCTAGTGATTTCAGTGTTTCATTACAGTTATATAACCATCTAAACTGATGCAAATGAAGTGCAAAACTGAGAACTGATAACTATTTACATTTGGTTCTGGTTTATGACTCATTTGCTTTTACCTGTACTTTGCTTTGCATGTAAACTATTACATCTTGTTTTGAAAACCCTATTTTTCTCCTTATCATTTACTATTTTATAGTAACATGTAAGGTACTTTTTATATGCATTCCCAAGCCGGGGGTGTTAAGATTGATATACTCACAGTCTGAAAAATGATAGCAGCACAGTGGACTACAGTTTAAATTATTGGATCTATTTTATGAATAAGGCTATGGTGCTAGAAACCAGAGAGCAAGTCTAGTCACTTCAGCTTTTCCTGTAGCCAGCGTGAGAGGCTCTGTGGAAATCTGAGTGATGGCATATTGCCCAACCCTAACAATGGTTATATAACTAAGTATTTTGTTCTCTGCCATAGTTCTGTATGAGTGTGTCTGTGGCAGCCCAGACAGGCTGCTCTGCTGCTGAGGAAGGAGGTGAACTTTGCAAGTGTACCCATGTGAGTCTTGGCTGACCCCTTTTCCATGGCCCTATCCAACTTTGCACTTGAGGCCTGAAATAAATGAATGCAAGACCCTCAGATTCAAAGTGCATGGCTTCCTAATGGCAGGATAGCCAGCAGGACAGCATATAGGCACTCCAGCCGAAGCTACGTGTGGGTTCCTGGGGGTCATGGAGCTCTGTTTGGAAGCAAGATGCTATTTGCATTTCTTTTTTATTTTCTTTCTTTCTTTCTTTCTTTCTTTCTTTCTTTCTTTCTTTCTTTCTTTCTTTCTTTCCTTTCTTTCTTTCTTTCTTTCTTTCTTTCTTTCTTTCTTTCTTTTCTTTCTTTCTTTCTTTCTTTCTTTCTTTTTAAATTTGAGACAGAGATTAGCTCATGTTGCCTGTGCTGGAGTGCAATTGCGCGATCTCGGCTCACTGCAACCTCTGCCTCCTGGGTTCAAGCGATTCTCTTGCCTCAGCCTCCCGAGTAGCTGGGATTACAGGCACCTGCCACCACACCCAGCTAATTTTTGTATTTTTAGTAGAGACAGAGTTTCACCATGTTGGCCAGGCTGGTCTTGAACTCCTAACCTCAGGTGATCCACCTGCCCCAGCCTCCCAAAGTGCTGGGATTCCAGGTATGAGCCACCATGCCCAGCCTGCTATTTGCATTTCTTATTGAAAGGAAATAATCTCTTCATATCAAACAACCTCATAGTGTGTGTCTACTTGTGTGTAAGGGGAAAAATCAGGGTTTACTCCATTTTCAGATTTATTTGAACATTTGACGTGTTCATGTACTATTTTTATGCTTTATATACTATTTTTCCTGATTATTCAGGAAAAAAACAAAGTAAAAACAATATTACATTTTATTATTAACTTTTTTAAAAGTTTTTTTTTAGCTTTTACACTTTTATGCATGAAAATTGATAAAAGCCTTCAATAAAACATACCACTACATACCAGTAACTTTCACACTTTCAGCCTTTGACTCAACAACCCTCTTTTGCAGAATCTAGCCTAAATTGGTCAGTGACTTGCAATTTTATTTATAATGAGGAAAAGAAGAGCCAAAATACCTGAAATGAGAAAGTGGTTGAAAAAGTCACTGAACTTCCAAAAAACAGAATATTAAGAAGCCATAAACAAAACCATAGTTCAAAAGGATATTTAATAATGTAAGAAAATACATCATTTTAAAATTAGAGTGTAACATTTTATGTACATTATGCTCCTGTTGTGTGTGTGTGCGTGTGTGTACAAACAGATGTACAAAACTGTATTGGAAAGAAATGCATAGACATATTTAATAGTGGCTATTTCCTAGTGGTAGGAGAACAAATATGTATTTTGTTTTCTTAATACATTTTTGCATATTTCAAATTCTGTATTATGAGCGTACATTATTTTTATAAGTAAATGATTATATTTGTAGTAATGAACTAATTGTTTTACTCATAAATACACTAAATGAAATAGACTACCAAGAGTTAACCTAACAATAGTCTGCTAAGCCCAACTCTCCCAAGAAATAAACAAATGAAAAAGTGGGAAACCCAAACTCTGTTGTAAAAATACACATGCATAACATGCATTGATTCTTGGTACAGACAGCTATAATCAGAAGGACAAAGGTTTATAAACAGTGGGTTGTCTTACGTGGGACAAGTCTGAAAGTACCTTAGCTTATCAGTAATCCTTATTTTCTACCAAAGGCGATCTACCAATCTTTAATCAAAGACTCAGTCCATGTCAGATGCTTAGAGCGACATTGATCTGAGCATGGGAAATCCACAAAAAATGGTAGGTGTGTGGTTACACCGTGGAGGTCACCCACCCAACATGAGCCTCAGTCAGTAGGTGTTCCCTGTCCTCCTCACACCTCTGGTTGGGGGAAGGACTACCTTGGCTTAAAAATGGAAAAAATGAAGTGGGGTGAGAATGACATCTGCCCAACTTGCTATTTGGAGAGTGTTGTACCAAGTTGTGTAACCTCTGGTATTGCATTCATCATTGCAGAAGGGACGCATTCCACTCCTACAGGTGAGGCAAAGGAGCCCATCGCTCTTAAGACTAACTTGAGTCAGCTGGATATGGAGTGGAGGCCCCACCTGCCAGTTCTCACTGGTAACCTTGGACCCAGGATATGGACCCAGGATACATCGTCCTGAGCCTCGGTTTTTCTTGTTTTAATGGGGTACAGACACGTCCCTTATGGGATTTTCCTGAGAGTACAGGAGCAGCACCTGCTCAGGGCCCATCCACGCCACATGCTCAATGAGGGGTAGTGTTGGCCATGGCAGGGACAGTAATATTATTAATAATGCTAGCAGCATTATACCTTGTTTAATACAGACACATTTAATAAAGTTAAAGCAGAAATGGTTTCTTTTAAAAATAGGCAAAAAGAACTTGGTGTTTATTAAGTTGAAAACCAAAAATTGATTTTACAGTTCCTTACATCTCAGTGCTTTCTAGTTTCAGACTTAATTCTTAGTGTCTTAGAAATCCAGTGTCTTCTTTCAAAAATTCTCATTTATTTAAATATGTGACTGTTTTCTATTTATTTAAATCAAGCACAGTTATAAAATATGACTCTTTTAAGGTGCTAAAACAATACAAACTGTACTCACAACATTGCTGCAATGAAACTGCCTTTTCTTTTGAATGTTAAGGAAACATCTGAGTAAAAACAATGAAATTTTTAAAGTTGTTTTCATCTCAGTTGTTCTTACATCCTCGAAGATATAAAAACACCCTTCTTCCTTCTACACAGAAGGGAAGGTAGAGGATCGAGGAAAGTTATTTCACAAAGCCCTCTGAATTGGGATACCATGATATTAATGTCAGTATCACCAGTATTTAGCCTGGGTGGTCTTGAAGGGGACATCACAGGACACTCAATGTTCTGTTTCCTTGCTTATAGATACAATTCTGTAGGTCATTTTTATTGACACAAAGTTGATCTTGAACTCAATGAGTTGGGTTTTCATTTTGGGGTCTCTTCCGTATTTCTTGGTAGATTTAGAACACCTGTATCCATCACTTGACACACTGGATGTTTCCTGAAATCAACAATGTATGAATCTACACTTTATGGCCAAGGCCTTGGAAGAGGCCAGCTAAAGAACAAGTTAAAGGACAACTGCCAGTATCTTAAAGAGATAAAGAATTAAGCAACCCAGGAAATAAACATATTTTATTTTCTAATTGCATTAGAGAAAGATGACACAAGAACACCATTTTAACACTGAGGTAAATCAGATTCAATACAATTTAGTTACTAATTTGAAAACCAAATCTATGTAAAATATAATAAATGAAGTCTATATCAAATCAATGTGAAATCATCATCAGTGATTTTAATCTGACTTTATTAGTTCTCATAGGAAGGGATTTCCTGTGTGGAAGATATACTAGATTAATATGATGAGTTACTCAAGAGAAAACACACATACCATATGTGCATATGCATAGCTTTTCTTTACTTTTTGGCAAAATTTTTTTGATACAATACAAATCGAATTTTCTGACAAAATTTGTCTACCTGTATTGTTTGTGCACATTAAAACTAAAAAATTAATTATTTTAAAGAAGCAACTGCCTTTTGGTTTTTCTTAGTAAATTGAGCCACATATTTAATGGTCTGGTCATGTTCAGCTGCCTGATGCTTTTTCCAGTCATGTTACTCACTGGTCACATCCCCAATTAATGGATATATATCCATTACAAACCCAAATGTAGCCCACTTCCATGAGAACTGAAGGAATGGCTCTGGATGCGCTGCCAGACATCTCATGCCAAAGGATTCAACTGAAATGACCCTCTGGGGTAAACTGGAGCAGTTGTGCAATCCTGTACATCAGTGCTACCAAGAAGTTCAAAAACAAAATGTTAGATGTTTATCCCTTCAAATTAACTAGAAGGATTTTGGAAAACCCAACCAAGTTTCATGAAGTAGAAAATGTCAAGCAAAGACTAATGTCGTGGTATGGATTTTCTTTTTCCAGAAATGACTCACGAAATTGAACCACTTGCTGAATCATGAGCCCTGTGTGCTTGGATGGGACCCATCCATATTTGCCCAGGCCTGGAACACATTAGATGATTTACAGGCTGGGTACTTCTGAAGCATCTGTCCCTTCTTCCCAGACTCCCTTCCTCTATAACAACTTCCTTCCCAGTGTGCATCCTTCCTAATCTCCTTTAATATTTATGATCATAATTAATTATAATTAACCACTCCCCACCCCCACCAACTGCTTTCATATTATTTAACTGTTAAGACCAAGATATTTGATCATGGGATAAAGGAAACATGTCTTCCTATTTTATTTATGCAATTCAGGAGATAGATGAAGTTCAAATCTTTGGATTTCAAAGAAGCATAAGAATTTCTCTGGCCTAGTCTGGAATGGTCTTTATGAGATTAATTGCACTTGTCAGATGTCCCAGGCACTGTGCTAGGCACTTTATGTCTATAATTCATTTAATGCCTCCAAGAACTCTAAGGACTTTTCCTATTTGAAGGATGATTTGCTTGATTGCAACCTCCTTTGCTACACTTCAAACTCCTGAGGGCCAAACATGGCATTTGTCTTTGCACCCCAAAACAAGAGTCTGAGGGTGGAGTGGTTACTACACAGGCTCTGGCATCAGGTAGACCAAGACTCAGATCTCTACTCTGCTGTTTTCTGTACCTGAAGCAAGGCACTTTGCCTTTTTAACTCCTTCACTTGTGAAATGTGCGTAGGCACTTGCAACGTCTTTGTCAGGGTTCAATTTAAGGCTACGTAGATGCAAAACATTCACAGCAACGTTTGGTAGCAAGTACAAATGATATTTGGCAATGGATATGGAAAGGTAGGCGTGTGGATGGATAGACAGAAGGAAGGATGGAAAGATAGATCAATAAAAATGACTCAGCAAGTTTGAGTAACCTTCTCCAGCATGTTAATGCAGGTCTGTTTGCTTCCGTTTGCTTGTTACTTTTTGTCTTCTCCGTGCTGCTAAGCACATTGCAGTGTTCAACTAAGCTGTGTTTTTTTTAAGTCCTTTTCTTTTATCACTGTGACATCAGCTGGACGTTGTGCACCAGCTTCTCAGCACTTCCTTACAGTCTCAGTCCAACCACATTGATACAGGCAAAATACACAAAGATATTCAGTGAAGGAGCCGTGAGCAAGGAGAGACTGTATAATGTGAAAGAGGGAGCACTAGCCCCAGAGTCTTGCCTGAATTCTGGTACTAATTTTCTCTGCCTTCTTTACTCCCTGGGCCTCATTTGTGAAATAAATTAAACGATAGTGTTGGAATAAATTCATTTAAGGACCATTTGCTGGGCATGTCTTGTGTACCAGGCTCTGTGCTAAATGCCGTGGATGAAAAGAGGAATCTTTCCCAGCTTCTGCCCTTGGAGTTCACAGGCTTTACACAATTCCCAGCATTTCTTCCAGCCACAGTGTTCAGTGACTTTGCTTCATTAACAGTTTGCACAAATTTTGGTCCTAGATGGTATCTTTGGTTGTAGAATAAAGATGATTATCTTTGTAGTGAAGTTTGAGAACATCTGGTTCTCATTTCCACTTAGTTAGGGAAGGTTTTATGGAGGAAGCAGCATTTCAGGGGGTCTTTAAACAAGGAGAAGGTTTTGTCCCAGGGCCCCAAAGCTCTGACAGTTGCCTGTGTTTTCAGGGCATCTACTTGGAGGTGTCTAAACCACGTTTGTGAAAATATGAACATTTGGCCACCATGGGGGGTCAATTATGTGTCATGGCTCATCATAAATATTGACCAAAATCCAATGCCTCATGATAATTTTCATTGTCATTAGTCCTGGGCATTCTTGAAATAAGCAGGTTATACCCAAATAAACCAACAAAGCGGTTTCCAAGACAGCTTTCAGATATGTTAATCAGTGATATTCTCATGACCATGGCTTTATTTATATATGTTCATGGTCAAAGGCAGTATCCTCCCTCTATCTAGAAGTTTACTCATAAAACATATTCCTTTCTTAATGACATATCCTAGAATCACTGGAACAAAAGGACAGAATATCAAAATGTTCCCGAATAATAACAATTTTATTAGAAGAGGACTGTTTTTAGATTCTCATATAGATGTTCCAAGATTGTCCAGCATTATATTCACAAAGTTGTCTTCAGTTTGTTAAGAAGAGAAAGAGAACAAACAAATTCAACAATTTAGCTCATACAAGATGCAGTTAAAGTTCAAAGAGGGAAATCTGTTTACTTTTGTATTTAAACAAGTTAAAATGCAGTGAAATCTCATGGAAGAATATGGAATCTCCAGATCTCAAATGCAAGTAATAATGATTCAGTAAGAAGAGGGAAAATGTTTTGGCTAAAAGCAAAATATCTTTTTTGTAGCATTCTCAAGATTTAGTGATTACACTTTACCAAGACAATCAAGTGAAAAGCAAGAGGACATGTTACTTGAAAGGTTTACTTATTTCTTATTCTTGTTTCTTATTCTAATTGTAAAGTCTCTCAATTAAAACTGCTCACAATCAGCAAACCTTAAGATTATCACTAAAAGTAGTGGAAATCTAAAGAATATAAGAGCAGAGCAAAATCCACAGCCAGAGTCAGATGATGTTAACATTAGCCAAGTAGGCAGAATCAATACTGTGGTCCCTTTCCAGGCATGAGATGCAATAGGATCTCCCTGCCCCACGTTTCAGTGGATTTTCACCTGTGTTCTTCCTCCAAAAGGTGTCTGTATCTCTACTGGGGGTGTGTCTCCAGAGAAAACATCCTCCTGAACATGCCTAGCACAGTCTTACTAGATTCTTTCCCTGACATGTCTGCCCAGTGTTGAGGATAAGAGATGTTGTGATGATGGAAGTGGGTGGGAGATTTGGGGGTGGTGCAAGTAGTTGGCCATTGAAAGGTTAGGTACAGAGGACTTTTTTGGCTGGTGGAGGAGGGAAGGGTGCAGAGACTTTGTTTGGGGAAGGTATCTAAATTGCCACATAGTCTGCTTACATCCCCTTTTCCAGATGTACGTCTCCCTGCTGTTCTCCCTGGTGCCCTCACAAACTAATTGTACAGAGAGCTGTTCTGATGGCTTTCTGTTGTCTTCCTCTCTCCTTGCCATGGAGTGTGCAAACTGCAGGACATGGGTGACATTTCTTCCCAGCCTCACCCCATTAACCCTATTATGTGCTACCCAGAGAATGGCCCTTAAGAATTCCCAAGTCATTGATAAACTTAAGCTCATGGGGAGAGGTGAAAGTGCCAAGGAGTTGGTGTCCCTTTTGTTCAAGCTGCATTTGAGAAAGTGGGTGTGAAAGAACCTCTCCTTTGCTAAGCTCCCCTGTCACATTCTCAGATTCTGCATATCTTTTCTTCTTCTTCTTCATCTTTTTTTTTTTTTTTTTTTTTTTTTTTGAGATGGAGTTTTGCTCTGTCACCCAGGCTGGAGTGCAGTGGCAAGATCTCAGGTCACTGCAACCTCTGCCTCCCAGGTTCAAGCAATTCTCTGCCTCCCGGGTTCAAGCAATTCTCTGCCTCCTGGGTTCAAGCAATTCTCTGCCTCAGCCTCCTGAGTAGCTGGGATTACAGGCACCCATCACCACGCCTGGCTAATTTTTTGTATTTTTAGTAGAGACGGGATTTCACCATCTTGGCCAGGCTGATCTTGAACTCCTGACCTCATGATCCACCTGCCTTGGCCTCCCAAAGTGCTGGGATTACAGGCGTGAGCCACCACGCCCAGCCCAGATTCTGGTTATCTTAAAGAATCAATGGTTCTCTTTTCATAATGTCTCGTCTGATTTATAGATGTGCACAGCTGTGTTTTTCCACCTCTTAGTACTACTCCTTTTCTGTCAAGGCAAATGTTATTATCAGACCTAATTGTTGATAACCGCCGGTCTTTGCTTCAGTTGGGTAGGTAACTAAACGACATCAGCTGGCATTTAAATACTTTTTTTTTTTTTTTTGAGATGGAGTCTTACTCTGCAGTCCAGGCTGTTGCACAATGGCACGATATCGGTTTGCTGCAACCGTCACCTCCTGGGCTCAAGCAATTCTCCTGCCTCAGCCTCCCAAGTAGAGTAGCTGGGATTACAGGAGTGCCCCCACCACGCCCAGCTAATTTTTGTATTTTTAGTGCAGACGGGTTTTCGCCACGTTGGCCAAGCTGGTCTCAAACTCCCAACCTCAGGTGATCCGCCCTCCCAAAGTGCTGGGATTTGGCCACTTGGCCTCCCAAAGTGCTGGGATTACAGGCGTGAGTCACCGCACCTGGCCCCTAAATATATTTTTGTTTGTAAGGCCCATACTCTGGAAATGGCTTTTTGTCGTCCAGGACCTCGTGCCTGCAATTTACCCTAATGGCCACTAGATGGTGGCAGTGTCTTTTCATAGAGTGCAGGTTGAAGTTCCTCGCAGGTGTTGAAAGGAAGCTAGCAGAAACACCGCTGCGTATTCACAAGTTATACACACACATATAAAATATTTATGTATTATAGTATTATACATTTATATTATTTACTAACATAGTCAATATGTTGATCAATGTTAATAATAAAGCAACACAAATGTAAGAGGAGCAAAATATAGAAGAAATATGATATTTGATGAGAGTTAGTGGATTAGCTTTTGTTCTTGACTTGGAGCCAGTCCTGTATCTGAGCTGAGTCCACCATTTGTGCACAACCTTCCCTTTAAGCCCAAGCCTCTAGGGCTGAGCAGATCTGGCAGGCGGCTCCGCTGAAAACCACCTGGCAGTCCTCAAATGGGCTGCCAAGAGTGCTGTCCTTGGCTTGCTCAGATGCCTTCCAGGTCCAGCTTGCCTCCTTTCTCTGCAGCTTGGCATTCACCCCCAGGGGCTTCCAGCTGCAGGAGAAACAGAGGCTTCTGCCACCAGTCCTGGCAAGCTTCCTCTGAATAGAGTTATGAAGAAGGCAACCCAAACAGATGTCCTTCAAAGGTGGAGGCTGCCCAGACAGCAAGCACATAGCCACAGCTGCTCCCCACCATGGGCAACCACTGGGGAAGCAGCCAAACTTCTACTCATTGTGAAGGCTTG
The DNA here is from genome assembly GCF_000001405.40 of Homo sapiens. NCBI lineage: Eukaryota > Metazoa > Chordata > Mammalia > Primates > Hominidae > Homo > Homo sapiens. The sequence continues at coordinate 54,831,558 of NC_000003.12, forward strand.
ACATAAAATTCTAGTGACAATAGTCTTTTATACCATCATAAAGAGTAGTCATTACCATCAGTATTTGGGTACTTTGCAGGTACCTAAATTTCTTCTCTTGTGGGAAAGATATGCAACCATCCATCTTGGGAATGTTGGTACCCTTTTGCCTTTGGCCTTTTTGGCCTCAGAAATTTCTCCTTTGTGTGGATTGTACATGGCACTTGGGACCACCTCAGTGGGTATCTAGAGCTGCCTAGGTCATTTATGGCCCAGATTGGTATGTCTAAGAGTTACAAATCCATTTCATGCTCATTGAAGCTAAAAGAGAAAACTTATTGGCTCAGGCAACCCCATAATGGAAAAGGGGCATTGGTGGAATTGATCTTGGGAATGAAGGCATTCAGGGACAGGTACCCTCCCGCCCTTTCCCTCTTTTTTTTCCTCCCTCCCTCTTTATCTCTCTCTTCTCTGTCACACACACACACACACACACACACACACACACACACACACACACGTCTCTCCTCCTCTCTGTTGAGTTTATTTTATTCAGTCTCATCGCCTCTCTGTGGCAAGGGGACACGGCTGTCAAGCTGACATTCTTATAGCCATTCACAAAGGAGAATAGGTAGTCTTTCCCATTTGCTCCTGGTTAGAAAAAGAAAAACATCTCAGGTAGCCTAGCCTGAACTACATGCCTAGTTAATAAACTTACCAGTGCAGCTCGCGCAGAGTGTGTGTGTGCACACTTCTGTGTGTGAAGTGCTCTGGTTAACACAGCCTGGGTTGGCTGTCCATCCCCACACTCAGGATGGGAGAGCTTGACTGCTAAGAAACCTTGTGGTTGGACGGGGTGAAGAGGACTTTCCTAAAGGAAGTGGGTGATACCTGCAGAAGAAGGAAAAGAAAGGGGCCAGGCAGTTTACAAGATGTCTACCCCTGCATTGTTCCATTTACCAATATCCTTAAGTATAAAGCAATGGAATGAAATCACTCTGCGGCAGACTACTTTCTCCTGCGTTTGTTAGACTGGCTTTCAGGAAGCATTCTGAATCTGTCATATAAACCCTGACAGATATTGATAAACACCAGGCATTTTCACTTTAGTTCATGCTGGACTTGGAAAAGAGAGCCTCTCTGCTCACCGAATGAGAGCCAGCATGCCATTCCCAGCTAGTTCTTCCTCTGCCATGTTAGCTTTTCTTTCTCCCTTAGCAGACTTGAGGCTCCTTGGGGATAAGACCCATGCCTTATTCCTAGTTGTCTTCCCAGCACATGGCATGGAACCTGGAACATAGCTGATGCTCGAGGAGTGTTTATTAAGGAAATCAATGAGTAGGTGACTAGGCCAGCAGCAAAATGGATGGGTCACAAGTCCTGTGTTGTTATACTCTCTGGGGTCATGCCCTAGGTCTAGCCATGTTGCCAACTGGTGCCATCAGTGGGAAACTAATCAAGTATTAAGGAGTAGGCCTGGCATGGCCACGTGGACCTTGCACATGAGTTCAAATGCATATTCATATGAGCCTACATGCATGATTAACTTGGGAAGCTGACAGGAAGCAGTCAATCTGTTGAGCAAGTTTGTGTTTTATAAACCAGATGTTCAGTATTATTATTCATCATTTCCTTTGATACCCAAATGGTCCCCATTATGTAGCATGGGAAATGAAGGATATGGAATAATATATACTTAGTATACAACAGAGCACCACAACCACAGGTTTCAGAGGCCTGCTTAAAGCCTGGGCAAGTGTAATTGCATAGCAGTTCATTTTAAGATTCCCACTTGGACTTAAGTTAATGGGATTTTGCCCAGATGGACCATGGTGACCCCCACCTCCTGCTCCTACCCCTTGGAAAATGAATGTTGACTCTACGTCTGCATTTTTCTTGGAAGCCACATGTATGAATCATAAGCAGCACCCTTGCCTCAGTAGCAGCTACAGGTTGGGGGGCCACAGAAAAGCAGGGACCCCCCTAGCAACGTGTTGGGGGACAGAGGGTTTCTGGCCATAGTTGGCTGCATAACTTCTGCTTGGTGGTCTGGGAAAAAAAAAACAAAACTTGCCATTGACTGCTATTTCCTATGGCAAGAGTATAGAATGCCTTTCAATCATAAAGTGCTTACAGTGCAAATGAACTTGCAAATTGATGTGTTTCTCCATGAAACGTTTAAGATTCACAGAGTCCAGACCTGTGGGGACTGGGAATGATGGAGCTGGTGGGTGCAGAAGAGAGTCTTAATTTTCTGCAAATGGTATTTCTGTGTTCCTGCCAGTCTTTGTTGCCATAATGATGAACTGGTATACATAGGAAAGCCTACGGGTTAGGGTTCTGGCCAAGCCAGTTCAAATTGGGGCCAGAACTGCCCCTAGGAGAGGTCCATGAGATCATTGGCCCACATGTGAACTGTTGCCAGACTGAACTGAATGCATTTCCTTTGTTTACCTGGGGCTGGTTACAAATGAATGGTTTCAGTACAAATGCAATATTATGGGTTTCTTTTTTAAAGTAATGATGCAGTAATTACATTTGGAATTAGCTCCTGAGTGAAGTTGATACTATATTCTGGCTTAATATTTTGAAGTTAGTTTCTCATAATCTTGTCTTTGTGCCAGGACAATTACTAGTAATTTATAACTGATTTTTACTGGTTGCAGGAAAAAGGCTTCATTTCTCATTATTGTCAATGGTATGTTTTTATTTCATCCATGTTACATGTTGGCACTGCTTGAAATTTGATTTGAGTTGCAAAGTGGAAGTTGTGCGGAGTTATGGATCAGCTCAAATCAGTTTTCTTTATAGCATTAACGATTAATCAAGGAGTCAGAATATGGGAAGACTTCTAATTCTAAGAGAACTATTTACCATGGGCTGGTTCTGCCTTTGAAAATGGCCTTGCAGGTTTCCAGTGGTGGCCACAGTATGCTTTGAGTATTTTAAGCAAGATGTTAGAACCATGTTTCCAAAAACTATTACAGACTGTATATACTGGTTGACTTGGTTCATGGCAACACTAACTGTCAGCATCATCTCATAGTTAATATTTTTTGTTTATTATATTGATGAATTAAAGTTGTTTACATATTCTTTCACCCAAATTAGGGTGCCCAAAATAATCACTTATATGATTACCATGTATATTATTAGTCATGGTTCTCTAGAGATAGCCTATAGAGCTAGAGATAGGCTATACAGATAGGGTGGGGAGGAATTTAGTTTAAGGAATTGGGTTACACAATTGTGGGGCTGGCAAGTCTGAAATCTGCAAGGCAGGCAGTCTGACATGCTGGAAATTGCAGCAAGAGTTGATGTTGCAGTCTTGAGTTTGAAGACAGTCTACAGGCAGAATTCCTTCTTTTGAGGGGGGCCTTGTCTTTTCTCTTAAGGCCTTCAATGGATTGGATGAGACCCACCCACATTATGGAGAATAATCTGCTTTACTACTGATTAAAATGTTAGTCACATCTAAAAAACACCTTCCCAGCAACATCTAGACTGGCAGTTGCTCAAACAACTGAGCATGATGGCCTAGCCAAGTTGACACATAAAATTAACCATGTCACCATGAGTTCCCAGTCCTAGACAGACCAGGAGATTCTTGCTTCATTTTACTTGTCACGGAGGGATATAGGACTATCTTGATATCCATGTAAAACTTATAAAAGCATGGCCCCCTCCACCCCTGTTGGGAGTTTTTTTCCAACACCTGCCAGCTTCTCTTTAGCTGTCATGATTATTGGTGGAAATGAAATGGAAAGGATTGCCCTATACGAATGCTTCTTGCATTTTAATATACATACGAATCATTAAAATAATTATTCACATTCAGAGTGTTTGGAATGGGGCCTGAGACTAACAAGCACTTAGGTGCTACAGGTGCTGCTGTTCTGGGTACTACATTGTAAGTAGTGACACCCCACAGCTCTAATAATCTATTAGAAGAACAAGGCAAAAGAAAGACTAAGTTTAATGACCTTTACTCAAGAGACCAGCCAGTCAATGGGGGCTTCAAACGCTTAGATTTTAGGATCTTCTCTTTATAATGCCTCTTTCCAAGTAGATTGAGGGAGCAATGCCTGATTATTCTGTGGAACTAAAGCTATGGAAGAGAAGTGTCCAAATATCAGAAAACACGCTAGGTTGAAGATAGTGGATTCTAGTTCACGGATTGCTTCACTTGGGGCTTGAACAGGCTACGAAGCCAGAAGGACTTGCCTGGTCAATTTTGGTGCCTGTCAGCAGTGCCTCCAGCCTTAATCTCATTTTGGACTCTGCTACTTACTAGCTGTGTGACCTCGAAGGCAGAGAAAAGAAGCTGGCATCCTTTGAGCACTTCCATATGCCAGGTACCATGCTGGGCAGTTTTCTGTTTTGTCTTCATGGCAACAGTGCTGGGGAATAGTGGGCATTATTTCATATGAGCATGTGGAGACTTCACTAGTGCAGTTAGGAAAGATTCAGAGCTGAGATTTAGAACCAGATTTGTCTTGGGCCAAAGCCTACCATGTTCCAAGACTCTGTTTCCCTATTTGTTTGGGACAGAGTAGGGGTTCCTGCCTGTCTCCCAACACTGTGTAAAAAGCAGGTGCAATGGTGTGTCTCCATGTGTCTGTAACCCAATTGAGAGGTTTACAGACGTGAATCACATGCTGTATTTCAAGGGCCATTCTTTTTTTTTTTCTTTTTTTTTTTTTTTGTTTTTGTTTTGGGAGAGAGTCTCGCTCTGTCACCCAGCCTGGAGTGCAGTGGCACTATCTCGGCCCACTGCAAGCTCCGTTTCCCGGGTTCACACCATTCTCCTGCCTCAGCCTCCCGAGTAGCTGGGACTACAGGCACCTGCCACCACACCTGGCTAATTTTTTGTATTTTTAGTAGAGACGGGGTTTCACCATGTTAGCCAGGATGGTCTCAGTCTCCTGACCTCATGATCTGCCTGCCTTGGCCTCCCAAAGTGCTGGGATTACAGATGTGAGCCACCACGCCTGTCCTCAAGGGCCATTCTTATAAGAGAAATGATTACCTTCTTCATCATGATTTTAGAAGTCAGATAATAAAGTTATTATTTAATTTTGTTTTTGTTTTATTTGTTTTCCATCTGGGACTGGCATTCAGAGACCCAGAGAGGTAAAACAGCCTTGACTGGCTACCTTGGGGAAAATAAGTGCATCCAGATTCTGTTGTTTTTAGCAGGGGCAACTCACCAGACCCTTTATGTGCATGCTTTCTGATCCTCAATATTTAGATTACGGAGAAGCACTCTTAAGAAACATAAGTGTCTGGGAGGCAAAATAGTAAAATAAACCTGTGCTAATAAAATAAAATGAATCAGGAAGATCCAAACAAGGTTCTCTTTGAACCAAAGTGGCTGAAAGCAGAGAACAGATCTGCTAGAGTGACTAATGACAAATGATTTGTTTCCCCAGCTGGGGGCTGGGACTGTCCTCTGCAAATCCAGGACACACATTGTGCTCCGCGCTCCACTAAAGGCTTGAGTGGGCACTGTTCCATCTCAACAGCCCCTGGTTTGGAAAGGACATGATTGTCAAGGGGGTGGCCTCCAGAACTGTGGTTTCCAGACCGTTCCCCGGTAACTGGCTTTTCTCTTCCATCCAGCTGACTGATGATCAGGGCCCCGTCCTGATGACCACTGTAGCCATGCCTGTGTTTAGTAAGCAGAACGAAACCGTGAGTACAGTCGCTGAGCTTCCTGCTTGATGCTAGGAGGGTGGTTTTCTCAGACCCCCTCTGACTCCAGCTCTGGTGACTTTTGATTTTTAAGCATAGGATGTATGTCATTTTTCCTTATTGTTTGATCTTGCTGTTAGAATCACCAAATCAAAAACAGATGAGAGGAACCCAGGCTGGCATCATTTTAGAGTTGGCAACACCTTTCCAAAGTTTAAGTATTAGAGGACCAGAGGAGGAAAAGCCCCAGAGACCATCCATGATTATGGTGCACTGACCACTCTCATTTATAGTTACCAGCCTTTTATTAGTTTCCTAGGGCTGTTAGGAATGAAGTGCCACAAACTGTGTGGCTTAAAAAAATAGAAATTTCTTCTCTCACAGTTCTAGAGCCTGGAAGTCTGAAATCAAGATGTCAGCAGGGCCATGCTCCCTCTGAAGGTTCTAGGGAAGAATTTCTCCTTGCCTCTTTCAGCTTCTCGGGGCCCCCAGCATTCCTTGGCTTGTGGCAGTGTCACTCCAATCTCTGCCTCTGTTTCCATGTGACCTGTTCCTCTTATATGTCTCTCTGTGTCCTTCCCTGTTGTAAGGAAATCAGTCATGGGATTTAGAGCCCACGCTAAATCCACGATGATTTCATCTCAAGATCCTTAACAATTACGTATGCAAAGATGCTATTTCCAAATAGCATTATATTCTGAGGTTCTGGGTGGACATGAACTTGGGGGGACACTGTTCAACTCACCATAAAGCCTTAAAAAAATGGCCTTTCTGACACTGAAAAGTTTTAGCAAATCACAATGGCTACATGCCTTGGAAAATGGGGCTCCAGAGGCCTATTCCTTCACCTTGGTCCTCAGTTGGTAAAAGTGTTAGGGTTATTATATATTTCTCTTGCTATTTAGACTCTCTCTCCTGGGCACCAGATGGCAGTGTAAATTGAGAAAGCAGTTAACATGCTGTCTTTCCTGTAAAAAGCTTTCATAAGAGAAACTGGTGAACGTTTAGAGCCCTTAGCTGCTGAAACTCTTGTGTTTCTTCAAATCAGTGTTTAATTTTCAAGAGAGGAGAGGGAAGCTATTGTAGTATCTTGGTAGGATTATGCGTTGGGGACTGTAGTAGTTAATGGTTGGCCTGAGAAGCTCTCATTTTACCCAGTAACATTTTGGGTGGAGGGTGGGGGATAGAAGAGACCATTCTTGGAGATATGGGTTAATCCTCAATCTGTATCAGTTTGGGGAAGGCACCAGGCAGACGGTATGTGACTTCTCGTGAGATTCTATTTCTTTTGCCAAGTTAACTTACTGTTATTATAATTCAATGTTTATTTTCGACAGAGATCGAAGGGCATTCTTCTGGGAGTGGTTGGCACAGATGTCCCAGTGAAAGAACTTCTGAAGACCATCCCCAAATACAAGGTAATGAATGACCTAATCCCTGAAATCAAAGCAACAGAGATGCCCAGAGCCTTGTTTTCACAAAGTTCAGGCTTCAAACTCTACTTTGGAGCGATGTTTTTGCTCACCACTATTACAGCCTGTTAGCTTGTCTTTATACCATCTGCACAGTTATTTAAAAGGTTTTTTTTTTATTATTTACAATGACTTGCTGTTTTTCTTATTTACCTCCTCTAACCTCAGTTTAAAGAATCAATGTTATATCTTAAGTTTTGACATGATCATTGAATTTTTCTGATACACACAGGATATCAACATGACTGGTTTGCCTTTTAAAAAGATAGTCCAGGCCGGGCGTGGAGACTCACGCCTGTAATCCCAGCACTTTGGGAGGCCGATGCGGGTGGATCACGAGGTCAGGAGATGGAGACCATCCTGGCTAACACGGTGAAACCCCGTCTCTACTAAAAATACAAAACAATTAGCCGGTCGTGATGGCAGGCGCCTGTAGTCCCAGCTGCTCGGGAGGCTGAGGCAGGAGAATGGCGTGAACCTAGGAGGCGGAGCTTGCAGTGAGCTGAAATCGCACCACTGCACTGCAGCCTGGGCGACAGAGCGAGACTCCATATCAAAAAATAAAAAAAAAATAGTCCGGAGAGTTCTTAGACCCCATCCAGAAAACTCTCCTATTTCCTGGTGGGGACTCTTTGGAAAAACAAATCAAAAAGTGGGAGGGGGATGCCCTTGAGGCACAACCCAGGCACACAGCACTGCCCAAGAGTGCTCTAAATGTAGGCATGAGCATGTGCATGCCAGAGGCATCAGAGAGCAGCCCCCACCAGATCTGGTTGATTCACTGGACGAAGGGCTCCACTGGCTGCACAGGGGCGAACACCACATCCACCCCCTTCTCCCCCAGCACCAAGCTGACTGGCTAGCTGGTCTCCATTTCTGGCCCACTCAGATTAACGAGGGTTCTCTTTGTCTCCATCTAAAGGGAGCCCAGGAATCAGGGATTATTGGCTGCCAGGGGCTTCTTTCTTGGCACCACCCTCCCTGATGTGCTGGGGCCTGATTCACCACAGCTGTGAGGGGGACCTGGGCTTTCCTGGGCCTCAGGTGGAGGCAGGCAGTGGTTAGAGCTTGACTCTGCAGGTTCCTGGCTCCATCGTTGATGAGGTGGGTGTGGACAAGTCCCTCCAATCCCTCGTTCCCCAGCTTCATCCACCAGGGCTTTTATAATTGGAGTTAAGTTCCCAGAGGCATGAAAGGACATTTCATTGATCCAAACCCACATAATAAATATTGGAAACTGTAGTTCCTGAGAAACTAAAAGTCAAAGATGGAGATGAGGGAAGACTTTGAGGCCCCTAAAGATAGTGGACTTGACTTTTGATGAAATTGCCAGACCTAGGTGTCCAGAACTGCTGGCTCAGTTTCAGAAAAGGCATCCCACCTGTAGAGAACTTTTCCAAACAATTCTTGAGCCTCTTATTTCACATGAGGAGATTTAGAAACCTAAGCACCGAGCCACTACTTGATACGTGTCCAATAAATCAAGAAAGAAGGAACATGACAAGGAACCAGTAACAATTATCCTTTGTGTCCATTTCTCCAAGCTTCCTCTACCAGGCAATGTGCAGAGCTCTTTATGGCATTATCTCGCTTACTAAGTAAACATTACGGTCACCCCCATTTTATAGTTAAAGAAACTGAGGCATGGAAAGCTTAAATATCTTGCCAAATCTCACATCTTGCAAGCAGGAGAACCATGTCTTTTTTTTTTTTTTTTTTTTTTTTTGAGATGGACTCTCACTCTGTGGCCCAGGCTGGAGTGCAGTGGCACCGTCTCAGCTCACTGCAACCTCCACCTCCTGGGTTCAAGCGGTTCTCCTGCCTCAGCTTCCTAAGTAGCTGGGATTACAGGTGCACGCCACCATGCCTGGCTAATTTTTGTCCTTTTAGTAGAGATGGGGTTTCACCATGTTGGTCAGGCTGGTCTTGAACTCCTGACTTGGTGATCCACCCGCCTCAGCCTCCCAAAGTGCTGGGATTACAGGCGTGAGCCACTGCACCCTGCCAAGAGCCATGATTTTTTTTTTTTTTTTTTTTGAGACGGAGTCTCGCTCTGTCACCCAGGGCTGGAGTGCAGTGGCATGATCTCAGCTCACCGCAAGCTCCACCTCCTGGGTTCACGCCATTCTCCTGCCTCAGCCCCCCGAGTAGCTGGGACTACAGGTGCCCGCCACCACACCTGGCTGATTTTTTATATTTTTAGTAGAGATGGGGTTTCACCATGTTAGCCAGGATGGTCTCGACCTCCTGACCTCATGATCCACCCGCCTCAGCCTCCCAAAGTGCTGGGATTACAGGCATGAGCCACCGTGCCGGGCCCCAAGAGCCATGATTTTAACCTCTGTAACCACAATGCTACCAAGAACAATAAGAGCAATGACAATCATAATAGTAATAGTTAAAATGATAATAATAACTAAAATACACTAAAACATTTATTGAACTTCTTACTATGTGGTTGGTGTCATCCAAAGTACTTTACATGCATTATTCCTGTTGAATTCTTATTACATTCCCATGAAGTGGGGACCCTTCGGCCTCATTTTTACTTAAGGATGCTTGAAATAACTTTCTCAACATCATTCTGCTAGTAACAGATGAAGGAAACGAAGCATAACAAGGGAATAGAGGAAGAAGATCAACTATAGAAAATTAACCAGCAGTGCTTGAAATGCAGGCATGTGTGTTTTGTGCTTTTCCAAGGGTCAAGCTGGGAACCATTGACGTAGATATGGCATAAGTTAACCTAAGGCATCCTTCCCTCTGGTTCCCATACAGAGCTTTGTGAAAGGGGTACGTGTCAGCCAGGGACAGCCATGGCCAAATGGGCCCCTCTCATCCAGGAGAGGAGAGCTCCAGGGAACAGAGTTCAGGTCACACCTTGCCCTCCTGATTAACACCTTGTAAAGATGAGTCAGCTCTTGGCTCTTGGGGTTTTCCCAGAAGATAGAATTCTTTCTTTCTCCCTTAGCTTCATAGATTTTCCCACAAGCAATCAGACTTCCTGTAATTTTTATTAAGAATTCCAGACACCCCAGCAATAATTTCCAGACACCACGACCTCTGTTAACATAACGAGCCATTTTATAATTGGGTTCACTTCATTAGCCCAGACTCTCCAGTTGGAAGGGAAGTGCCTCCTTTCCCCAGGCTGTTGGACCACGTGGCTTCTGGCCTCCAGGAGAATATGCCTCTGGTCCAGGGCCCCTTTGGCAAGCCCAAGTGCTGGAAGGCCTTGTGTCCGATCTGTTCTCCATTACTCCATGGCACTGTACATTAGAATGGACAGGAAGACTGGTTCTATTTTGGATAAAACCAAAATTAGCGATTTCATCAGTGTATTGATTTGTGGCCAAAAACTAATGTTGGACTTCGTCATATAAGCTTTTAATTATTTGAGAGACTCATCCACAGAATGTGTTGTATTTTGAGATGTGGTCAGAGCTGCCCTTCCTTTGTCTACATTAGGATGTAGCTATATGCCATCAACCAACACACAAAACATTCTGATGTTATTTTCTCAGAATGCTTTCCTGGGGAGGATTTTAACCAGTTTCTGAATATCAGGAAGACTTTCTCAGGTACAGGCTTAAGAAGGACTGGCTGTGCATCTCCTGGAGCAAATTGGCTTCTCCTTTTCAGCTTGTTTTTAATATTTACTTTAGTTGGAATTTTCAAGATGAGCTAGGTAACATTTGAGTTAAGTGGCAAATGTCTAAAATACACAAACTGTAACTGAATGCCTGCCACATGCCTGACCTTGTCCTAGGGACTGTAGAAGTCAAAGGTAAGTGAGGTGGCCCCTTTCCCACAAAGAGCTCATTCTGATGGAGGAAGTACTGCCTCCAGTTATTTCTTTTTTCTTCTCTTTTCTTTTCTTTTCTCTTTTTCTTTTTTTTCTTTTCTTTTTTTTTTTGAGACAGGGTCTGGCTCTGTCACCCAGGCTGGAGTACCGTGGCACGATCTTGGCTCACTGCAACCTCTGCCTTCCAGGTTCAAGCAATTCTCCTGCCTCAGCCTCCAGAGTATCTGGGATTACAGGCACCCACCATCGTGCCTGGCTGGTTTTTGTATTTTTAGTAGAGATGGGGTTTCACCATGTTCACCAGGCTGGTCTTGAACTCCTAACCTGAAGTGATCTGCCTGCCTCAGCCTCCCAAAGTGCTGAGATTACAGGCCTGAGCCACTGCGCCCGACCACCTCCAGTTCTTTCTAGGACAAATCAGAGGAAGGAAAGAGAACTACCTAGGGTTGAGAGGCGGAAAAGTGAGTGTAGCTTTTTTTTTTTTTTTTTTCTTTGAGCCTTACTCTGTTGCCCAGGCTAGAGTGCAGTGGTGCAACTTCCACCTCCCGGGTTCAAGCGATTCTCCTGCCTCAGCCTCCCGAGTAGCTGGGATTACAGGTGCCCGCCACCATGCCTGGCTAATTTTTGTATTTTTAGTAGAGACAGGGTTTCACCATGTTGGTCAGGCTGGTCTCGAACTCCTGACCTCAGGTGATCCACCTGCCTAGCCTCTCAAACTGTTAGGATTACAGGCATGAGCTACTGTGCCCAGCCAAGTATAGCATTTTTAGATGCTAGAGTAAACATAGTGATGATGGTATGGAAAGGACAAAGCAAAGTGCAGGTCAGGAGAGCCTTTTTACAAGAGATGAGCTGAGGCTGAGCTTATAGCATGGGTGAGGATTAGCCACAGGGAGAGAGAAGGAGGGGTGCCTTGGGTAGCAGGCACTGTGACAATAAAGGTCTGGCTGGGAGAGAAAATTGCAGGGGGATTGTTACTGCCGTGTGCCTTGAGTGGCAGTGAGTGGAGGGAGGCAGGGTTGGGTACTCAGGCAGGGGCCAGACCCCAGGGAGACCTGATGAACAGGCCTATGGCTCTGTCTTACATATGAAAGGGGTTGTTAGTGGCTGTCACAAAGGAAAGCAACGTGGTCAGAATTATCTTTGACTTGGATCAACCTGGAGGATGGTTTTGTTGGGGTCAATCTCTGAGGCAGGAAGAGCAGTGAGGACCATTGTGGAAATCTATTGAATTAATATAGTAGTGGTACAGTTGGGTAGCAGGATGGAATTGGAGCAAACCTGGAGAAAAACATTAGTAGGATTTCATACTACTGATGCTGCAGTTTCTAACTGGGGAGTCTGTGTGGTTGGTGGTGCCGCCTACTGAGAGAGGAGGAAGAAGAACAGCTTTAGAAGAACTCCACTGTGACTGGGTGAGTCTGAGGTGCCAGAGCAATGGCCAAGAAGAGATGACCACTACCCTGTTGGATACTTGGTTTGCCACTGAAGGGGGAGACTGAGGCCAGCACATGGATCTGGGGAGCAGCAGCACAGAGGTGGTCACTGCAGCTTATTGAGGGAGAGGAGAGCTAAGGCAGACAGTAGGTACTGGGGACAGAATCTTAGGGAAAATGAGTACTTGAGGAATGGGCAAAGGACAAAGATCCTGTGAAAAGGAGAAAGCCCAGGAGTATGGGACCTGGAAACTGAGGGAATAGTGTCGAGGAAGAGGAAGCAATGGGCTAAGAAAAGTAGGAAGATTTGAGGGAGAAAATCCTGTAAGGTTTGGCAATGAAGAGGCCCCTGGCAACCGTAGAGAAAGGGATTTCCATGGCATATTTGGTGGTGGAGGGAGGGCAAAGGCAGAATGCAGTGGGTTGAGGCATAAAGGGGCAATAAGGAAACAGAGATGGCACTTGGTTAATGAATACAGGACATTGGGATGGGAAGATGAGCTCAGCGTCTGCATTCTGGGGGAGGAAGCAGAGAGTTTAGCTAAGCTGTGTAGAATCTGCACTAAATGCAGTTTCTTCTATTGTTTCCCTACTTCCACCTTTTTCTCTTTCTTCTTTCCCTTCTCATCTCTCTATTCCAACCACCCCGCCATATATTGTTAACCGCACGATAGGACCTTTGCCCTCATGAAACTTACATTCTGGTAGGGGAGGCAGGCATGAAATAATCAAAAGTCCTGATTACTTATACTCAACCCCACAGATAATTGATTATTATAATTTTGATAAGTACTATAAGAGTACAGGCATTAAGAGGAGTCCTGCCTTCTTTTGAGGATTGCTTCTCACAAGCAAAAGAAGAAGAACCAAAGTAATGTACATTAGAAGGTGCTGAATACATGAGCTGACTATAAAATATTATTTGTTTTGTTTAATTTTGAGTTTGAATTCCCAAATACAATTTTTGCCTTTAATGGAAAAAGCCAAACTCTCAAGATTTTTTTTTGACCCCTCCAGTCCATCTGAAACTAAAACATAATAATGGTAATTAATGCAGCGTTGACTGTGTCTGACATTTTTCCAAGAGACAAGATGAAAGAGACGATATACATCTCAAAGGATAGGAAATCTCTGGTTTATCTTTCACAGCATAATGAAATATACTTTTATCATTAGAGTCAAGTAGAATCTTATTAAGACTTGCTGTGCAAGGTAACTCCAGGGAAGACGTCTGTTGCCCTTGACTACCATGTGCATATTTGCTTTATGTAGTGCAACGGAAACTTTTAATTGCCAGTGTTAAATTCTCTGAAGTTAATTTCACATCACCTTGACGTTAAGCTAACAGGCAGACAGGGTCATTCCTGGTTTGTAAACTCTGTTGTCTGGATCATTTAATAGTATCATATTCAAGAATGTGAGTGGCAGAGAATTTAAAGAAAATTAACAGTGGGGCTCAGAACTGTGAAAAAACTCCTCAGGAAAAAAAAATAGAGGATTTCTTTTTTCTTCTCCCCTTTCACTGCTCTGGCAAAACTGGGTTACATTTTCTTTCTTCAGAGAGACAGATCAGTATGGGTTTTATGCCAGAGGCCGTTTTAATACATGAATGATTTGTAGGTAAATTTATTGTAGCCAATGGGTGCAGTCAACTGTGTAATAGAAATATTGTCAAAAAGCCGGGATTATTATTTAAATAAGTGCAGTGTTAAATTTGATTACATACTTTTTAAAGCTAATAAAACATTTCATTGCTCACAAACTATTTCCCATAGTCCCATTTAGTCAGAAAACATAAATCAAGTGAGGCTCCGCATAGAAAATTACCCAGGCTTTGTGTTGATGGAAGCATGCATGGAAAAGCTAGGCAGCCACACAATTTGAAGACGAAAGGATATGAAAAGGGTTGCCAGGCTCCTGTGTAGGCTGGGACAGGGGGACACTTTATATTTGAAGAATTATGGAAAATGACGGCCTAGGGGAGCGCCAATTTGAGATGGCCCCTGTGGGCGTGGAATTATACGAAGTCTAGAAGTGAGGCAGCGTGGGGACCCCTCTTTCCTTATTACAGGCAGAGAGAAGGCACCTCCATTGATAAAGTTCTGTGCACTTGGACATAGGGTCTTTACAGAAACATTAGCCACTTTCTTGTTAAAAAAAAAAGGTAATTGTTTTGTTTTAAATAAATCAAAATAAAGCCCTTGGATGCCAATGTGGGGATGTGACATTTTAAATTGTGCTATTTGTTGAGCTTATCCTCTGACAGGTCTTCATTTCCACCAAATGTCAAGGATCAGTGCCTTGCATTCATTTTAATGAAATATTGTGCTGATAAGGGTTATGAATGACAAGTTAAAGCTGTAAATTACTAAATGCCGGGCTGCTTTATGCTTTGTGAATTCACCAGGGAGCAAGCTAATGAAGGTTTCTTTCTTGCTTCCTCTTACAGTTAGGGATTCACGGTTATGCCTTTGCAATCACAAATAATGGATATATCCTGACGCATCCGGAACTCAGGCTGCTGGTAAGAGAAATTATGTACTTCTGCATTTCTGCTTTTATGATTTTAAAAGATTTCCTTCAATTCAACAGTGATGACACTTTGCTGCAGTTTTCACTTTTAAAAAACTATTGAATTCATAGCATTGTAAAGATTGTTATAGAGTTTATAAACTGGTATTTGGACACATAATACATAAATAATGTTGGATAAATATATTTACCATTATGATTTTGTATATAAAGCCATATATGTGTATATGCATTTATTTATTTATCTCACATCTGCCAACATATGGAAAATTTTTTTAACTCTAGACAGCATGAAACCTATCATAACGGGTCCCTTGATGTAATACATGGACACTCATACTCCAGCTCTAGACCCACTTACTGCAAGTCTAATTTGACACGATAAATTAGACCCAAGATCCCTGGAAATTTATTACAATGGGATTTGCCCCCAAATTACATTACTTAAGCCCAGTGTCTTGTGGATAGAAGCTATTCAACAGCTTTTTTGTTAAATCAGGGCAGCTGAGATTTTTCTCTGTTTCCTGCCTATGTCATATCCAGTAGCATTGCTTGGTGAACTGATATGTAAACCACTTTCTTTCTCTCAGTATCATTTTTACTGTCTCTGAAGTGAGTAGGGTTAGGCCAAATCCAAAACAGCCCATGGTAGCATCAACCCACATCCCTGGGCAAGGCTGCCCTTGGGGCATTGGCCACAAGTGTGCCACATGTTTGCCACCCCTGAACTAGTTGCAGTGTGTTGAAAAAAGGACATCCCTTTGGGTTTGTGTGTACTTAGCTAATTTTTAAAGAAGATATAGAATTATAAAGAGTAATGCAGTGAACACTGTTTTTTAAAGTTAAGAAAGTGTAGATCGTTTTCTTTAGCAATCAACAAACACACACGTACCTATATGCACATACACAAATGCATACATACCCATCCACCCCACCCATCTTTTCCCATTCATCAGAATGAGAAAGTAGCGGCAGTGCCTGCTATTCAAATGTTTGTTGGCAAAGCATTGTGGGGACCAGTTCACTTCTCACTTGCATCATTGTTTAGAAACAGTTCATGTGAGAGCTCCATCATCATGCAACTTTGCTCTAATCGCCCTGGTATTAATGGAGTCATGACCACATCATGTGGATGCCATATGCATGCTTTAAGATGGGCCTTATGGTAATATTCAATTTCAACAATCTTTTTATCAGAAAAGGACTGAATTAACTAGTTGGCTAATTCCAAATGTAACTCAGAATTATTGAAAAGTCTGATTGAAAAAGCGGCTGTCTTTTTAAAGACATTTAAGTCCAAAGACATATTGAAGTTTAAAACTCTTAGCACATTACCCATCTCCAGGTTGCCCAGTTGGCATCATTTGTTGGAAGTAAGAGAAGTTACAAGTTTGCGTGACAGAGTTTGGACTCCTAGTGTGTATTTATTCCAAATTGGAAAGGAACAGAGTCCATGAAACAATCAAACCCAAATCTTCTACCAGTAAATGGATTAATTTCCTATTTATCATTGCCTGTCATTTAAAGGAAAAATGAAATGGAATCAGATGTCAGAAGTCACCAAGGTAGCATCTTTCTCTCTGTGGCAATGGAAATGATTAGCTGCCCGCCACACAGTCGACTCACAATGTGAACTGGTCCCCACAGTGCTTTGCCAACAAACATTTGCCTAGCAGTCTTTTATGTCTTCTGGCCCTGCAGCAAATGGTGTGTTTGTAAATAGTCCATCTGATGCACTCTCCAGAGCTGTGGCCCCTGAGAGGGCAGCTGAAAGGCTCTTGGAAAAGCAGACCAACTCCATCAATGCTGTTCATCTCCTAAGAGTACAGATACTTGTAAACACATGCCATTGCTGTTCTTCTGTTGACACACCAAAAGTGGTAGTGGTTGCTAGGGTCAAAAGTGGTGGTGGTTGCTAGGATTTTGGCCATGCCATACATGGGGTGGCCCAAACAAATGCCCCATATTCTGTTTGTGAGAACCCAAACCATATGAACCATGTTGCAGCTGATCCATGACAAGAACATAAGGAATGATCAGACCTGTTGGTCATCTGTCCCATTCATCTGTCTCTCACCCTGAGGCCATCAGATACTTAGAAGAAGTTTAGGGTGATACCAACCGTTAAGCATTACATGAATTAACCCATCTGAATGTGGTCAATAAGTGTATGTTGACTCTGACTTGAGTTCTGCATTTTCCTTCTGAGCAAAAGACGCAGCATAGTGGGAGGGACTCAATTCCAGCATCACACTGTGAAGCTCAACTCCTAGTCCCACTACATCCACACTATGTGACTTTGGGCAATCACACAGGCTCCCTGAGCTGCACTTTTCTCTTGCAATCCTGCCATAACCATAGTGCATAGATCGTAGCTTGTTGTCACAGTAAATGAGATAATGCAAGCAAAGGACCTGGTGCAGAAAAGCAGGCCCCAGAATATCTCAGAGGCAGTAGTGGTTATTTGGACATCTTGTTTGTGTTTATTTTCTATTGTTCTGTCCTCAGCTTCCGTAAAGGTTGGAAGAACATGGTGGTAATGGATGCTTAAAGAGGCAACCTAAAGAGCACTTTTTGATTATTCAGGTGATTCAGGTTTTTGTGATAGACATTGGGAAGGGATCGTGTACATACACCATCAGTTTTCTTTTTGGTTCTACGGCAAGCTTGGCCAACTGTGGTCTAGAAGACAAGTAGACAACTTGTACTAGAGGTTCTATGTGAGTCCTACCATGTGAAGAAACCAAGGTTGTTTGTTTGTTTTAAAGGTAGCAATAAGAATAATACTAGCAGCCACAGTAGCTAAAGAATGATAGCTAAGAGTCAGCCGGCATGAATACCCGTGGCTCTGGCGTGCACAAGTTGTTTGTTCATCTCTGTTTTGTTCACTTATCCCTGCTTTCCCCCTCCTCCTTCCTTAACCACCAGTCCCCTCAGCACAGAGCAGGGACTCAGTAGATGAATAAGTGAAGGGATCCTCTAAAACCAGTTTCATTTTTACTTACTTTAGGTTCTTCTGGAGGTTGTAAATGACTTGTGAACTTACCTTGGAAATCCAGTGTCTTCATGGACCATAAATCCATCCTGGCCAGAGCTCTCAGGCATGGCTAGGAACAGCCAGCTGCTAGCAGCTTCTCTGGCTAGCTCAGGCAGGGAACCCTCATTCAAACTCCATTTGTCTCCTCGCAAGCCCAGCCATATAATCGAATCCTTATTACAAATGGACGATCCCCTTAGTTCTGGCCAAGGCTGCCAGATTAGCACGGTGAGTGTGAGTGTGGGGTTGTGGCCAGCATGGGGAGGACACAGCAAGCTGACTTAAAATAACTCCTATTCCCTCTCCATCTGCCATGGACTTTGTTTCGGCCCCTACAGCCAGAGGAAAGAGGTGGGTTTCTCTGAAGCACAATACCAATATTTTTCTAATTTGTCCTATAAAATCTTTCCCCTGAACTTAATGTTTGGCTTGATTTTATCCAGTATTTTCTTTAATCTTGTGTGATTTGGTTGTGAATCACAAAGTGTCTCCAAGAACAGCTCAGACATAGGGGCCTTAATCAGCGGACTCACTTTGGTTTAACTGGCAAAGCTGCTGAAGCAATGCTTCTCTGTGATCTCTGGGCTCTCCTTAGTCCTCCTCTAAGGGCTTCTCAACCTTTCTGTCCTCGCCACCAGCTTGTGACTTCCTGATAGATTAACTGATGTTGGTTCAGCAAGCATTGCCCTTGTGCCTGGTGTGGCTCAGTCCTGTGTTAGACTGAAGACTGATGAAGTAATCTTCAAAGGGGCCGGGGGGCTGCAGCACAAGTGGGGACAGACACCTGTTCTCAAGGTGGGGAATGGAACAACAGCACGTAGCAAGAGTGATTAAATGCTCTTGATCTTGAGAAATGCTTTTTGAGTTGTTATGATGCCCCTGGAATGTTTGTTTGTTTGATCGTTACCACTTGTTAAACATTGAAGTATAGCTACAGACTAGATTTTGTTTTCTTGCTTTTTATAATTCCTTTGTATTTGAGAGCTTTAGGAATTTTTCTTAGAATGTGGAGCCCTGAATAGATCTCCTTTTCTTTTGCCCAACAGCGGATTGGTCATCCATCTGTCCCTACCTTTTAGAATAAAGGGACAGCTAAATTGATTTCCTTCCCCCAAGGAGGAGGTCTGGAATGTGGACCTGGTCAAACCGACAGGAGAACACAAAGGAGGTTCCCTTTCAGCAGCTGCAGCAATGGCAGGGTTCCACAGAGGAGCCTCAGGCAGGCAAAATTTAGGACTCATTTCCATGAAGCCTGCATTGAAATTGGCCAGAAGCTGTTTGCTCTGTGTCTGCAAACCCAGGAGATGAGGAAGGATGCTGTAGGGTTTTCATTCTGGATGAAAATCTGCCAGTCACATGGGTCACATATGTGGGAGTGGATGAGATGGGAGGTAAAAATGATGGAGAGAAATTCACATTCATTCCTTCAACATACACTGAATGTTCACTATGTTGTAGGCTTGAGCAAGCTGCTCAGAGAGGTCACAGAGATGTGCCCTACCTCCAATAACTCAAACTCTAATAGGATGGATACGATACGTGTATCAGTAACTGTGGACAGTAGAGAAGATGCGCTTTTTATTTGTTTGTTGTTGTTGGTATTAGTATATTTTTCTAACATTCACTGATTCCTTTTTATGGGACAGGAACTATTCTAAGTGTTTCACATGTGTTAATGCTTTTAATCACTGACTAATTGAATAGCAAGCCTAGGATATTATGTGCCTTGGAAAGGCCTAGAGGCTTAAGGAAAGGATGAAGGGGAGGGGAGGTCCAGGTGGAAGATACATCTAGCAGCAGCCTGGAGTTGAAGTGAGGACAACTGTGAGTACTGGGCTGAGCAGCTGGGCTTCTCTAAGATGAAGGTAAATATCCTCATGTTACAGATGGGAAGCTGAGGCACTGAGTCCTAAGGTGACGTCTCCCAGATCACATAACTGGAAAGTGCCAGAACTAGGACCCTTAACCCCAGTCAGTTTAGGTGTACTAAGTTCACTCTGCTGCGTGGGTTCTTCAGGAAATGGGAGGCAGAGTGGTTGGAGGGTGGGAGTGACTGGGATACCTGGTCTTTGCAGCCATTTGGACCAGTACCGAGGTAATCATGTCAGAATCTGTCTAGACTTAACACTGTCCAGTAGGAATATAATGTGAGCCACAAACAGGAGCTGCCTATGTAATTTCAAATTTTCTAGGAGCCACATCTAAAAGAATACAAAAGAAACAAGTGAAATTAAATTTAAGAATATATTTTATTATCCCAGCATATCCAAAATATCAGTGTTTCAATATATAATCAATGCAGACATTATTAATGTGATATTTTACATTCTTTTCATGCTAATCTTTGAAATATGATGTGTATCCTACATGGCACATCTCAATTCAGGCAAGCCACATTGCAGGTGCTCAAGACCCACCAGTGGCTGTGGCCCCCATAAGGGACAGCACAGGTCTAGAGTGTGACCAGACATTTTGGACCCTTCTAGATAAAATGGATTATAGGACCTCCTCTTTCCTTAAAGTGGGTTAGAGCAGGCTCTATTTCCACCACCACCCGTCATTGTGCCATCCTGGAAGTCTGGGCCAACAGTTAGTGGCCAGTTAGCCTCCTCTGCCGTGGCCACCACCCCTCCCTCCCTCCCAGGCTGTAGCCTCTCCAGTGTCCAGGAGTGGAAGTGGGAGGTTGCCCAGAATTCAAGGGGCCTTGACTTGATTGCCAGGGCAGATGAGCTCCATAGTTTGGCCTGGAAACTCTGCCTATTCTAGCCATGTAGGTTCACCCCTACGCCATCTAGACTTCCGCAGACAAACTGTCATGGAGGCCAGTGGGTGGAAAGCAGTAGCCACACTAGGTGAACCTGAGCACTTAGGTCATCTAAATCAGAATGTTTTGATGCCAAAGCCATTTCTGTTGTTCTGGAAAACTCAGATGAACTCTTGAACGAGTTTAAGTTTTCCTAACCCAAGAGTCCTCGCACCTCCGCTGGAATTTAATATTGCTGTTTCCACCACCAGCTCTCCACAGCCTGGGTTCCAGGATGGCACTCGCCTTTCCCTGTGTCACTCTGGACTGTCCTTGCCCCATTCCAAACATGGATTCTGCTTCTTTGTTCTTGTGGATTCCTGGGCAGTGCACGTTTGTTAGTGGTTATAGATGGGTCCTCATGAAAGGTTATTAAATCCATGGATTGATACATGGACATGCTAATCAGTGTAAATGTTCTCACACTTTAGTCCTCTTGTATGGAACTAAGTGGACATCCCCCATGGACACATGTGAATATGTGTTAAATGCTAACTAGACAGTGCACATCAAACATCAGTTTAAATAAGGGTTTAAAAAGGTAGGAGCACTTCTAGAATCCAGCTGACTTAGTTCAAGCAATAGGCCATAGGAAGAGATTCTGTATAATTCCAAAGAATTTAGATGTGAAAGTCAAATGGAATTTTTCTTAACTATGCAATTCCGCAACTGAGGAAATAGCAGGTCCTTTCGTCCGTTCCTCAGAAACCGCAAGCTCCTTCCTGCTCCAAATTCTCATGCTCAACTCTTCTTTACCTGAAATCTTGTCCCAGGTACACCTTTTACTGGCATTTTCTCATCCTCCACTTCTTAGCTCAGATGTCACCTCAGAGAAGCATCGCTGCGCCCACCCAGAGAAGCCATACTCCTCCATCACTCTCCATCACATCCCCTGCTTTAGTTTTCTTGAATCACCACTCTTGGAAAACGTCTATTGTTTAACTTCTCCCCTGTGGTCCTTTGTGAATAGCTGGGAGTTTGCTACTACACAGAGCGGGTAGTCAGTAAATATTTGGTGAATGATCTGCAGGATGTTTGAGTGATGCTGATGGTTGGATATCTGAGTACCAGTTTCTTACAATAAATGAGAAGAGCAGGTGACACACGTTCATTCACCAAACATTTGTTGAGTCCTTGCTACGTCGGGTGCAGAAACAGAAATGTGGTTGGTTAAGCTCCCTTTTCTTTTCATCCCTCCCTATCCCCTCCTGCTTGCCTGCAAGCATTCATCAGATGTCCTTAAGTCCAGCACTATGCTATTTAATGGAGACATAGAAGCAGGTAGAAGGAGGTCTCTGCCCACAAGAAGCTCATCACACAAAGCAAGGGTTCCCTGGTGGTAAGAGGGACCAAGAAGAACTATGGGCTCACAGACAAAGTCTCTGCTTTTCCTTAGAGGAAGGGTGCCCTGAGATGCAGAAGGGCTTCCCAGAGGAGGTGGGGGAGGACTGCACTCAGCAGATACTCTACAGTCTCCCCAGGATCACTGACCTCAGGCCTGACTTCTCTGTCTCATCTCAGGACCATGCATTCTGCCGGCCACAGCCTATGGGGGTGGGGGGATGGGGAGTTGGGCCTAGCATTGTTCACGGAACTTTCGGTGGTCCCCAAATGCAGGGATCTGTTGCCAGCCTCCTGGACCCCCGCTCTCAGGCTGCTGCTGAACTGAAAGAGACTGTCCAGTAGGTGGCGCGCGGGCACCGCCGAGTACCCGGTCCCCATGCAGAGCCAGCCCCTGCCAGTGCACATTCTCAGAACAGAGCCCGGGCGACTGCAACCTAGGCCTGGTCTGAGTCCATTTCGTTTAGTTTCAAAGAAAGAATTAACAGAGGCTTAGTAAGTGTATCTGCTCAGAGGAGAGCGTTCTCTGAGAAAAAATAAACAAGACTGTGTGACCCCACGTAGCGAGCCTGTTCTTTTGGAAATACATCATTTGGTTTGAAAAAAAGAAAGAAAAAGAAAACAGAGCCTTGTGTGCTTTCTTCCTGACGGAATTGGTGAGGGCACCGTCCTCACTGCCTGGTCTGGGCACGAGTGGACAGATTGCAGCGTTGAGGGGAGGGCTTACAACTCAAGTCAGTGGGTGCCTGGGTTTCTGTTGGGTGGGAGCTACGCCCTTTCTGCAAACCTTGAGAACCCACAGCTCCTGTGACTGGGTGTGTGCTTGGACACTCAAGGGATTGATGGGGTCTGGAATCAATCCCACAGGTATTTTTTTTATTATGGACAGTGTGCTTATGAATCCCCTTTGGGTGCCAGGCGCCGCAGCACCCAGGCTACCAGGAATCACAACACTGCCCTCACCACGGGTCTCGGGCCAGGCCTTGTGCTGAGAGCCCTGGGTGCCTTGCCTGGGTCAGTTCTCATTGCCTCGTGCGTGGAGTGCTCACCACAGAGGGGTTGACTGTGTGTGAAGATTCTCTATATATAATGATTTAAAAAATTAAATTAATAAATAACTACATATTTGAAGGGCAAAAAAGATATTCCCTGATGCTTAGGCCAAGGAATGTGTCAAGCAAAAAGTAAATTCGGGTCAGTCTTCAGAAGAAAAACCAAGAAGACAGCTATAGATAATTACCCACCTCTGTGAGCCCATAGTTCTTCTGGGTCCCTCTTGCCAGCAAGGAACCCCTGCTTTGTAGGACAGTGTATTTTCTTCATAAAATTAAGCTTATTCAACTGAAAGAATGTTCTTTAATCCTGAAGCTGTGTCCTCAGGTTATTTGACAAAATGCCAGGTTGGGCTGCAGAGCCTCTGTCAGCCTCTCCAGACAGCATCCCCCTGGCCCTAGGATGCCCACCTGTATGGAACACAGCAGTGACCCCTCTGATCTGGGCTGCGACTCTGGGTCTGCTGAGTGGGGGACACTCACAGGAAATGGAGAGAGGGGAGGGGAGTCAGGCTGTGTGTTCACCCGTGTCCTCTGGGACTGGCTGCACCCCCTCTAAAGCTTCATAAGCCTACTAGTCTCCGGGCTCCGGCACCTGCTTCTCCCTCTGACCCTTCATGCAGATGGGTGGGTGCGCCCCACTGTTTCTAACTTCAGGGTGCTGCACCATTTCCTGTCATTTCCTACACCCTGCCCAGGCCTTTCCAAGAGCCTCTTTACTAAATCCTCCTTAATTTGCCAGCTCATGTATACCACGTGCTTCCTGCTGTGGCCCTGAGTGATACGAAGGTGAGAATACATGGAAGGTTTGTCTTTTATAGTCATTACTCTGCCAGGAAAGAAAGAGAGAAAGAAGAAAGGAAATATGGAAGAATGCAAAGAAAAGTGAAGGAGGGAGAGAGGAAGGAAGAAAGAGATGGAGGGAAGGAAAAAGAAAAAGGAAGAATGAGAGACCCTCTGTCCTTTATTGATTGATTCATTCATTATTTATCTATCTCCCATTGTAGTGGGAGTGGAGAATTTCCATATTCCCTTCCAATAAGCTCCCCCTTCTGCTCAAGTGATTAAGAATTGTTATCTGTTGCTGGCAACCAGAGCAGCCTGACTGATCCAACCATGAATCCCAAAGTCTGGGAACCACTGCTGGGTGTGGCTCTGACCCCTGCTCTCAAGGAGCTCACAGTCTGACACCACCTCCTGCTGCCCTGTCACCCCTCCTTTGTAAAACTTTAGTCCTCTCAGCCTCCCCTTCCCCCACAGAGGGGTCTGTCCCCATTCCTCAAGTCTTCTTGCATGGACCTTTGAGTCTGGGCTCCCCACGACATTGTAGAAATATCATGACACATCTGCTCCTCTGTGCTGCAAGTAGCATGAAGACACTGATGAGACTGTGTTTTGTTCAGCTTTGTATATCCAGGGCCTGGTGAGGTACTTGGCAAAGGAGGTGGAATGACAAATAAATGACGAGAGAAAACCCATGTGTAGGAAATCGAGCACACAATGAAACAATATGTTATCAAGCACCACGGTTGAGAGTACTGACAAGAAGGAGAATTTATGAAAGTACCTGGTGTCTCGCTGTGCACTGGGTAGCTAGGGAAGGCTGCAGGGAGCTGGTTTGCAGCCTATAACTTTGAGGCCACAGTCCAGCATGCTTGGGAGCAGCAGAAGGCCTTTCAGATAACATGGATGAGTTACTTGCTCATTTGTGTGTGACTGGAACCCTTCCTCCCTTCCTTTTTCCTCCCATCTTTCCCTCCCCCACCTGCTCCTGTCCTTCCCTCACTTGGCATTTGTCTGTTGAACACCTGTCATGTGGCAGACACCCTATTAGATGCCAAAGATCTAGTGATAAAGCAGATAGAATTGTCCCTTTATTTGGTGTTTTCATTCTCATAGAGAAGATGTGGGTTTTTAAAGTTCTAAAACAAACTGATAAATAAAAATACTACACAATTTGGATAAGCTCGCCAAAAGAAACAAAAATCTGAGAAAACAAAAAGTCGGGAGAGGTACCTGCCTTAGTTAGATGGTCAGGGAGACCCTTTCTTAAGGATGATGGTTTTTTCGTTTGTTTGTTTTTTGTTTTTGAGACAGAATTTCACTTTGTTGCCCAGGCTGGAGTGCAGTGGCACAATCTCGGCTCACTGCATTCTCCACCTCCCAGGTTCAAGCAGTTCTCCTGCCTCAGCCTCCTGAGTAGCTGGCATTACAGGCACCTGCCACTATGCTCTGATGACTTTTTGTGTTTTAGTAGAAACAGGGTTTCATCATGTTGTCCAGGCTGGTCTCAAACTCCTGAGCTCAGGCAAGCCACCTGTCTTGGCCTCCCAAAGTGCTAGGATTACAGGCGTGAGCCACCATGCCTGGCCAGGATGATGTATTAAGCTGAGTCCTGGAGGATGAGAAAAACTGTGGAGACTGGTCCAGGCTGAAGAAACAGTGTGTACAAAAACTCTGAGGCATGGGGATGGTGAATATGCTGGGTTCTGGAATCTGTTCATAGATTTAGGCCAGATTTTCAAAGAAGGGTAGGTGACCCAGGTTTTGTTGACAAATTCCTATTTGAGGCTGCATGTCGTGAAGTCGTTGCTGGTACTGCCCCGTTTCCTCCACTCTGCTCTGACCATTCCTGTATGTGTAGCATGGCTCATACCTGACAGCAGCTAGGTGAAGGCTTTCTCTGGCTTCTGTAGTCATCTCTTCTCAGGCATGCAGCAGACAAGATGTGACGAGAAATTAGCATCCCTCAGCCAAAGACTGCCCTTCTCAGGTGGGGTGTCTCTGAGGGTTGTGTTTTACACTGGCTCCCAGAGTTCCCTGATGGGATTATGCCACAGTTGCCCGTAGTGGTAACATGCCTGCACCCTGTTGGCTGCCCTCCCATCTCTGAATCACTTTGCCATGTCCCTGCGGGTATTTCCTGGGAATCCCTGTCAAATAAAAACTTTGCACTTGAATCCTGTTCTCAGGGACTTCTGAGAGAATTCAAGCCAAGACACCAGCAGGCTGATGTGTCTCTGCAAAAATTGATTTGCTGTAGACTAGAGCTTCAAATGCAGTTTTGAGTGCTCTCACATAGGCTTTTACATTAACACCATGGCGTTGAGCATGCTTCCCATTCCATTTCAGGCCCCTGAGCATGTATTCCTAACACACCAGCCTGCTTGGAGAATCCACATTTGCTTGTAGAAGTACCAAGGAGCCTTGGCTTTATGCTATTAATAACTGAGAGTAGGCACTTTAAGGAAATTTGATTTAGAAGATAGGATTCTCGGCTGCTTTATTATTTGAAGAAAGGATTTGATGAGGAAAAGGCTTTTCTTTTCACTGGACACACTCTGACCTTTGTTCTACTAGATTAATTTCATATCTAGAATGCCCCATCTTGGATGATGAATTAGCAATAAAAACCTCATCAAAATGTAATTACAGGCAAAGTGTTGAATAATGATCTCTTAAAAATTCCTGTAGATTTGTCTGCACCTCCTTCCCCTTGTGGGGGAAATGAGCCTCAGCTGCCAGCTACTAGCCTCAGCTCAGGAATGCAGACCCTAGCCCTATTGCAAGGCTGGGATGTGAGTGCTGGCTTCTAACTTGCCCAGTGTCATCTAATTGATCAATTGCTTTTCTCCATGTGATTGATGCACATCTTTATGTAATTTAAAGGACCATCTCACCGGGGGTAGGAATACACAGGAAGTAGGAGCTCAAGGCAGAATGAAACACTCTCCTCTTCCATCTGTGACAGCCTGCTGGGGGGAGAGAGTTATTAA